>NC_000003.12:63646363-63949393 GCF_000001405.40 Homo sapiens | reverse complement strand
TCATTTTATGAAAACGTAAAGCAACTTTAATTTTAGCTTTCTAAATTCTTCACTTTCAGATATCCATATTTGGAAGTAAACTAGAGGATACAAAATAATTTAAATAAAATGCTTCTTCAGGAAAAAAAAAAAAAAAAGGAATTCTATATTCTTTTTCTGCTCTGGGACATTCCAGGGGCCTTAGCAACAGGAACAGAGTGTGGAATGTTGTGGCAACAGAAAGAAATGAAATAATGTGTGTGTGAGAGACAGTATGTATGTTCCTAAATATTTTAAAGCATAAATTCACAATCAACCCGTCTGCAAATTAAAATAGGGATCTTGCTCAAATGCTGTGAAAAGCTTGATTTACAACAGAAAATAAAAATATAAAATTAATAAAAATGAATTCATTATTCAATTAAAAAGTTTACAAAATATACTTGTAATATACAACTTAGGCCATTAATTATGTACTTGAGCATAAAGTTTAAAAATTGTACTTGAATTAATGGATTCTAAACGAATTTGAAAGAATGGATTTTATTGTTGTGTAAGCCCTAAATCTTTCTCAGGATTTAGGTCACCCCTATGTTCCAATTAGTGAGTGGGCCAGCACCCACATCTAGGCCATCATGTACTTTGGAGACCCCAGGCCAGCATACTAGGGAGGATTAGGTTTAAGCACAAGGACACTTGAGCACATGTATATGGAAACTTCAGTCACATGCAGAATGAAGTCCCTCTGCTAGAAACCATACCCCAAACTGTGGTGAATGTATTTACTTTGGTGTTGCTATCTCCATTTTGAGGACTTTGTTCAGTAACAAGAAAACCTGAATGGCACTGCAAAGCATTTAACCTGCCCAGTACCCTGCGTGTCTCCCTTTTCCCACGCATCCCAAACTTCTACATGCCACTCACAAGTTTCTATCTCCAGCCCCGACTGCTCCCAAGCTCTGTCTAGTTTCACGTACCAGACTGCCTACTAGACATTACCATCTAGATGTCTTATATACATTTCAAACAGAACAAGCATGTCCAAAACTTCACTCTTGACCCTTCTCTGCTCCTCACCCAACAACCTTCCCCATTTTGGGTAAATGATACTATTCATCCCCCAACAGCTCAAACTAAAAGCCCAGGTGTCACCTCCAACTCTCTTGTCCCTCAACACATTCAGGCCACTAGCACACCCAGTTAAGTTCTATCCTAAAATCTTCATCCACTTCTCTCCACTGCCATGGCCACCACTATTGGGCCTGCCACCAGCACCCTTTCAATGAACTCTGGAAGAAGTCCCCTAAGTAGTCTACAAACCTTTCCACAAGGCTGCCAGAGTGATTCTTTAAAATTCCCCACCAGATCACATCACTCCCCTGTTTAAAATTCTCCAGTGGCTTTCTACTCCTCTTGGAATAGAACTCCAGCCCTTACCCTGGCTCCCAAGGTCCTGCCAGATATACCTGCACTTCCCTCTCATCCTCTGTTCCCTCGTTCCCCACTTCTCTCTCCTTGGCTCACTCTGCTCCAGGCACACTGACCTCCCTTCTCTCCTCAAACCCAGAAACCTTTTCCCCAGCCAGACTCTATGCTTGCACTTCACAAGATGCCTGGTGTATTCTCACACATCAGGTCTCAGCTCAGCTGTCACCACTTCAAAGGGCTGTTCCTTCCCCCTCCCCAGTTAGTTACTATCACTGGCATTTTAAGCAGAGTGGCTAAGAGTGTGGGTCAGTATCACTCTGAATCCTGGTTCCCTCAATCAAAAGAAACGTGACCTTGGGCAAGTTATACAATCTCTTCAAATTATCACTTTTTTTTCCAGACACAAGGTTTCTGTCGCCCAGGCTGGAGTGCAGTGGCACAATCACAGCTCACTGCAGCCTCAATCTCCCAGGCTCAAACGATCCTTCCACCTCAGCCTCCTGAGTAGCTAGGAGTAATCACAGGTGTGCACCACCACGCCCAGCTAATTTTGTTTTATTTTTTGTAGAGACAGGGGTCTCACTATGTTGCCCAGAATGGTCTCAAACTCCTGGGTCAAGTGATCCTCCCACCTTGGCCTCCCAAAGTGCTGAGATTACAAGTGTGAGCTACTGCGCCTGGCCAGCATTTTCTTCACATATTGAACCGTGATGACCATAGTACCTACTTCACTGGGTACTTCAAAGGACAGAAAGACTAAGAGAGCTACTACATGCCAGTCTTAGAAATGCACCTGGCCCTAGGAAGTGCTCACTCAATGTTTGCCCACAGTCTATGAGATAAAAGTCATGATTGTTATTTGTCAGGAAACTAAGGCACACAGGATTGAAATCTCACAAACTAGTATATAGCACACCCAAGGTTTAAACCCAGGTCTGCTAGACTCATAACACCCCTGGCAATTTCCAGTATTCTCCCAGAATCACCTCCTCTATGCCAGTGCCACTCCCACTGCCAGTGCCCAAGGTCAAGGTATGGGGCCTCTACTCACCTGAACAGGTCTCCTAACAAGGCCACAGTTTGTTCCTCTTACGTAGCCTCCTCCTCCCAGCTGCCTGAGCCCACAAACTTGTAAAGCAATAATACCACTTCTCTACTTGAAGACCCCTGCTGGCTTCAAAGTGGGGGTTGGACTCTGGACCTACTGCTCTGCAACAAGGCGCCTACCTAGCATTCTGGTCCCTCCCATCTCTCCAGCCTCAGTCAATGTGATTCTGCCTCAAGTCTCCTGTCATTCTCAGAACCTGTCTTGTTCTCCTAAAATTCCTTTTTTTTTTTTTTTTTGAGACAGAGTCTCGCTCTGTCGCCCAGGCTGGAGTGCAGTGGCACAATCTCGCCTCACTGCAAGCTCCGCCTCCCGGGTTCACGCCATTCTCCTGCCTCAGCCTCTGGAGTAGCTGGGACTACAGGCGCCCACTACCATGCCCGGCTAATTTTCTTTTTGTATTTTTAGTAGAGAACGGGTTTCACTGTCTTAGCCAGGATGGTCTCAATCTCCTGACCTTGTGATCCTCCTGCCTCAGCCTCCCAAAGTGCTGGGATTATAGGCGTGAGCCACCGCGCCTGGCCCACAATTCCTTCTTTTGGACAGAACAGCTCCTACAGCATAGAAAGCTCTTCTCTCTGCTCTTTCTACAATTCCCACCGTTCGACAAGAACTAGCCCCAATGCCCTCTCTGCTAGGCTCCTACTCATACCCTTTATGCCTGCCATTTCAGCCCTTCACTCACTGATTTATGATTTATGAATAAAAATTTACAAATGGAAACCTCAGTAGTCCTGTCTGGACAGCAGACTCTTTGCCTTGCCTAGCACAATACCTGAGAAGTTCCCTATCACTGTGTGTTTATGAAGTAAATGACTGGCATTTGGAACTTTTCTGTAGCTTTCAGTTGCTCTTAGGATAAAAGCAATGATCCCTGACCTAGCCCACCAGCCTTGAACAGCTTGGCCCTGCCTCTCTGCATCTGGTTACTCTGGCCTTGGTTTTGTTCCTGAACTACACCACACTCTCGTCACAGAATCCTGTGTGGTACTTGCTGCTCTTTTTGCCTGGAACTCAGTTCCCCCAGACCTGTACCTGGCTTGTTGCTCTACTTCATTCGGTCTTAGCTTCAATGTGGCTTCCCCAGAGACTTGGCTAGGTAGGGCTCCTAGCCAAGCACTATCTCCCATTTGTAAACATTCATCCAGCTGTGCAAGCCTTAACTTCCTCCCACTAGACTACATTCCATATCTATCTTGTTGACTGCTCTGGTGGCAGTGCCTAATGGTGCCTAACCTGGCTGACAGAAAGCAGCAATGAATATGTGCTAAATATTACTTGATGAATAATAATTGAAAGATTAAGTCCTTGTGATGCCACCGTAAGTCAGAAGGTTATAATTGTGCTTTTATGTCATTTAGTGACACATGGTCATCATCTGCTGGAATTGGGTATGCCATTCAGTGACAGAGAAGTTCAAGTTCAATAGTCTTCCCTGAAAACATTTTATACCTAGAGGCAGTTTCTAGTAAAACTTCTGTATTTCAATGTCTGATTCTCAAATCTGCATGTTGACAAATTCTTTTGTGCTAGTGAATCCAGCACAGTAGCTAAAAGCAGTTCTGCAGTGAGACTACTTGTATTCAAACGTCTACTCTTCCTCTTACTAGCTATGTGAGCATGGTTAAATTATTTAACCTCTCTGAATCTCAGTTGCCCTGTGTCTAAAATACAGTTAACAGGACCTGTGTTTCACAATACTATTGTGAAGACTGAATGATCCATGGAGAGCGCTTAGTACTACTGATAGTAATCACTCAATAAAGTTAGCTCAAGAAAACAAAAACACAGGTTGGGTGCGGTGGCTCATGCCTGTAATCCCAGCACTTCGGGAGGCCGAGGTGGGTGGATCACTTAAGGTCAGGAGTTTGAGACCACCCTGGCCAACATGGTGAAACTCCATCTCTACTAAAATTACAAAAATTAGTTGGGTGTGGTGGTTTACACTTGTAATTGCAGCTACCTGGGAAGCTGAGGCAGGAGGATTGCTTGAACCTGGGAGGCAAAGGTTGCAGTGAGCTGAGACTGCGCCACTGCACTTCAGCCTGGGTGACAGAGCAAGATTCTGTCTCAAACAAACAAACAAACAAAAAACAAAAACCAAAAACTAACAAAAAACAAAAAAAAACATAACTCACAAAATTGATCCACATTAGAAATGTTTGTCTCAAGGTCCCCGGCTCTTACTAATTAACAGAAGTCTGGTCTACAGTAATCCCCGCTTATTCATGGTTTTGCTTTCTGAGGTGTGAGTTACCTGTGGTCTGAAAATATTAAAATGAAAATTCCAGAAATAACTTCTAAGTTTTAAACTGCAAGCCATTCCGAACAGCAGGATGAAATCTCGCACCATCCCACTCCATCCTGCCCAGGACATGTATCATCCCTTTGTCCAGTATATCTACACTGTCTACACTACCTGTCCATTAGTCACTTAGTAGTTATCAGATCAACTCCTGCTATTGTAGTACTTGTGTTCAAGTAATACTTATTACTTAATAATGGCCCCAAAGCACAAGAATAAAAATGCTGGCATACTGTTATAATTATTATTATTTTATTATTAATTATTGTTGTGAATCTCTTCTGTGTCTGACTTATAAGTTAAGCTTTAACATAGTTATGTATGTACAGGAAAAAACAGTATATATAGGATTCAGTACTACCCTCAGTTTCAGGCATCTACTGGGGATCTTGGAAAGTATCCCCCGCAGATACGGGGGAACAACTATATACACCAATTAGCAACTGACTATTTCACAATGTGAGCTTAACTCTCAAGTGGTCTTGTGCTCCTACTGCTGGCCACACACTCCTCCCTGAAGGCCATGCAAGGGAGAGGTAGGGGAGGCATGCTGGGGCTCCAGCAGCAGAGGGCCAATACTGCAAGCCAAGGGCAACCTACAACTTTTAGCAAGGAAACCACAAGATCCAGAAGGTAACTCTGCCATGAATGTGTATTGACCTAGGTAAGGAAGGCAGCTCCCAAAGGCTGATGCAATAGAGTGAGACAGGAAGAGACTATACAATGAAAATGAGTGAAACCAGACTGAAGACATGGTCTAGAGTACCCTGCAAAGAGCTCAGGAGACCATGGATGTGAGGCTGAGGCAGAGGAAGGAATCCAAAGATGAGTCTGTAGTTTCTTCCTTCTTTACTGCAGCTAATATAAACACATGAAGGGTTAGGCACAGAATAGAAGAACTCAAGTTGTGTTCAAATCCCAGCCCTGCCACTTACTAGCCTATACCTCAATATTCTCATTTCTAAATGGGTAAAGTCAAAGTACCTACCTCACAGACTACTAGGAGGACTACACGAATATATGTAAATGCTTCAAATAGTGCCTCCTACACAGTAAGTACTTTGGAAATTCAAGCCATTTTTATCATCTTCTCCACTGTCGTCCTTTGGTCTCTGAGCTGGCCGTGCTTACCAGGGCCCACTCTACACTCCCCCTGCTCCCCAGTAACCACAGTGATACTTTTAAATCATAAATGTCATCAGGCCCAATTAATCTCCTCAGTGGTTCTACAATGTAGTCAGAATAATAACAAATACTGGAGGGTCCTGCCTAACATCGGCAACCTCAAGACACACTGCTCTCTTCGAACTCTCCGCTTTGGCATTCTGAAATCCTTGACAATTATGCCAACCCCACTTCGGGCCCTTTGCTAGTTCTGTTCCCTCTGTATGGAATGCTTTGCCTGCCTGGCTCTAGGCTTGAGCTCACATTTCATTGGAAAGACTTTCCCTGAATACCCAATTTAAGGCAGGCCCCTGTGGCTTCACACAATTCTCTCTTGTCACTCAGTTATTTCTTATTTGTGTTGTGGCTATCTCCTTCATTAAGATTTAAACTCCATGAGGTCAGGGGCCACAAGTACATAGCACAGTACCTGACACACAGGTTTTCAACAAAAAAATTTGAGAATGGCCTCTGGAATAAAACTGAGTTCAAATCCCAATCCTATCACTCATTAGGAGCATGACCCTTGGGCAAGTTACTCTGCTCAGTATACTCACTTGTAAAATAGAGATTATAGCAGCAACCTTAAGGGTAGTTATGAGGATAAAGAGAATTACCACACATAAAACTTTTGTAACTGTGTTTGGCATGGAGCATGTGCTATGTATGTAATACTATTACAATCATTTCTATTTTTACTATCAGTGGGATACACTAGCCACTGCTTCAATCTCTACTGGTCTGTAGCCACTACCTCTTGTAACACTATGTATTAAGTACTTAATGGGTGTCAGTTATTGTGGCAGGTATTCTAAATACATCATTCATTCATTTATGCACTGAATAAATACATGAATGGCTACTCTGGCTAGGCACTATTCAAGGTATTGGGTAAATATATCGGTGAACAAAATTCACAACCCTACACAAAAGAAAAAAAACCCTGCGAAGTGTTGATACGTATAACAAAAATAAAACAGTTTACAATTATGGAGTGCCTCCTGTGTTCCACGTACAATGCTAAGTATTAACTCATTTGACTTCTCAGGGTCAATAACCTACTTTATAGAAAGCAAGTGAGGCAGCACAGAGAGGCTGTGTGCCTTATGTCACAAAGTCAGTAAGCAGAGGAGCTGGGATGTGAAGGTAGGCTACTCCAAAGTACATGCTCTTTACCATCTTATTAGATGAGCTCCTCCACTACTCAGTGCCCTTCTTGAATTACTCTCCACCTCTCCCAGGAAATCCCTGCTCTTCTGTCTCATTTCATGAAAAGTCAATCAAGCTGTTCCTATCTGCCAGCAGACTCCTGCGGGTACCTCTGTACTGTCTGCTCTCACCGCTGCTCATAGGTTTCCTGAGATGCTAGGACTCTCGGCTCCATTGTTGGATATATTTCTAAGAAACCAGAGAGAAGAGGAAGGCTGGTCTCCACGTAACAGGTTTTACTACAGTCAGTTCCAAATTTATTTCAACAGGTGACTCTCAATAGTCGGTAATCAAAAGTAGCATCAATGATATTTTTAAAGTTTTAAATTGCTGTTAAGTGAGCTTTAGTCTCAAGTAGGAAAGGAAAAAGGTAGAATTTTATTTCCACCTTCCATAAGCACAACTCCCAGATTCATATTGTCTACTCCAATAATTAAAGATAACTGGATTTCCCTTTGACCAAAAGATGTCAAATGATGGAACCAACGAGAGACCAATCAGCAAGCTACTAAATGTATGAGGTCTGGCCCTGCGTAAACCAAAGCAGTCAATAAATACTAGATTTAAAGAAAATAAAGTGAGATGTTTCAAGTAAAAAGCAAGCAACAAAAACCACAGCAGCAGTCCCCAACCTTTCTGGCACCAGGGAACAGTTTCGTGGAAGACAATTTTTCCATGGGACTGGGGCAAGGAGAGAATGGTTTCAGGATGAAACTGTTCCACCGCATATAATCAGACATTAGTTAGATTCTAGGAGCACACAACCTAGATACCTTGCACGTGCAGTTCACAATAGGGTTCACACTGCTGTGAGAATCTAATGCCACCGCTGATCTGACAAGAGGCAGAGTTCAGGCGGTAATGCTCATTCCTCTCTCTCTCCCAAACCCCCCACCCCATAGCCTGACTGCTAACAGGCCACTGACAGACTGGTGCTGGTCCACTGCCCAGAGACTGGGGACCCCTGCACCAGACGACCAAGGAGCTAGAAAGATGAAAATATTCCTAATATTAATTACTCACTAATTACAAATGGCCAATATTATCAATAGTGACCCCTAACAGGTAAGAGTTACAGTGTTTACATTGTCATTGCTTGTACTGAAATTGAGATAAAATGCTGGGGATAGAATAGAGTAGGCAAATATCAAAATCCTGAGGAACCTGCGTTAGGAATGGCAGGTGGGGCTACAACAGTGACCAACATGGCAGTACACACGACAGGTTTGTCTCACGGGTTCCTTAAGCTACTCCTCAAAATACTGTCAGCAAATCCTGACCTCTCAAGTCAGAAAACAAGCTTTCAATGCCATGTGTCCCAAATCTGGAAGTGCCTACCAAAAACCTTATAAATCTTGTCTGCATCCCTACCATTTGGACAAGCATGTAGTCTAGAGTAGGATACGGGCTCTAAGAGTCTACCACTTAGCTTGGTTTTGTAATCTCCAGCAATGTACTTAACCTCTAGGCACATCTAGGCATACAGTTTCTACATTTGAAAATGATAGTATCAACTTTAATGGACTGTTGGACGGAATGAGATAATTCATGTAAAAAGTTGCGGTCTATATCTGTCTAAACACAGTAAGCAGAGTGTACACATAAGGGCTCGATAAAGAACAGTGTTTATTTTGTTACTATTATTATTATTGTGGTTATGATTATAATCTCATGACTCAGTTAAGAATACCATTCCTTCTTTTGTTCATTGCAACACCACATCTGTCAGGTATATTGTGTAAATTCCATGGCTCTCATTCAACTTAGAACAGAATTAATTATGAAATGGCATTGGCTACTGACCTGTCTTTACGTTTTTAAATGGTTAATGTAGCATTTATGTCTGCCGTAAGGCTCCCAGCCTTGGCTGAGGGGCTGTGTGTGTGTGTGTGTGTGTGTGTGTGTGTGTGTGTGTGTGATGGGGCATGGCCTCAATGCTCCAGCAGGGAGTTTATGACTCTGCTTTAGCCTTCACTTCCTGCTTGTATACAGCCTCCAGGTTAGCAAGAGGTGAGATTAGGGCCTTCTCAGGTCCTTTCTGGGCATGCGCACAACTCTACACATCCATGTGGTTTTCTGGATTCCCAGGAGTATGGTGGAACTCTTTGAAGCCCCCAACTGACATCTCATTCCCCAGTGTTTCCTATTTACTTTTTTGGTCAGCCTCTTCTTAGCCCCAGTTGGCATTACCACCTCAAGCAACTGTGACATTGAAGAATCACTGCTGATTTTTTTTTTTAACACCCTAGGAATAGGTCACAGAATGAGCTCTGAGCTAGCCCAAATAAAGACAAGTCCTGAGAATGGGGCTTTTCAGGGAGCTACCAGATACATCAGTGACAATTCTCTGAAAATAAGGCTTTGGGGGAGTTCCAAACCCATTCTGTCCCCTCCAGTGGCTGCTAGACTGCTGGCTTTCACGGCTACCCTAGTTGTGAAGCTGCTGGTTTTCAAAGTTACTGTGGAGTTGGGGAGGAGAGGTTGAAATAGGGCAAGTTAAAACACTATAGAATTCTCTGTACTTACAGATTCAGCCATTTTTCTTGAATATATGCTCATCTGAATTTGCAAGCCTTTGGGGTTAATTTGCACAATTCTAAACAAGTTGATTTTGACAATTCTTGCCAGTGCTTTTATTGCTTTTATGGCAGAGCAGATTTTTGGAGGTCCTTACTCTGACATTCGTTAGTGCTTAATAGAAGCATTTTAATGAAGGATAATATCATCAGTTTGTTTATTATTATGTTCAACATTGCTTCGACTATAGTATGGGGAAGGGAGGTGCTTGGTTTGAAAGTGGAAGTGAGGAGGTCAATCAAGAGCTGTCTGCAGCAGTACAGGGTGAAAGACATGGGGATGGCAGTGAGATGACAAAGAAAGGATTCCAAGACATTTAGAAGGAACTGTTGACATGACTTTGTAATAGCCTGGATACAAAGGTGGTGAAGAGAAGGATGCCATGCTTCCCATCTTACAGAACAGGATGGATGGATAAGAGGTATCAGTCTCTGAGAAAGAATCCTGGAAGAATGCCAGGTCTGAGAATGAAGCCCATATATGTGGGACATCTAAGTTCTAAGGGCCTCTGAGACAGCCAAGATACCAAAGAAGCCATCATCTTGAAGATTCTCCCCTAGTTTCAGGCAAATGTCTTACAAATCAAGTCCTAAAACTTTATTTCTTCCATATGCAAAAAAAAAAATTAAAAAAATTTTAAAAGGCAAGGCACACATACTAAGTATCAATAATTCAAAGTCACCCAGGAATTTAAAATATGGTTCCAAGAATGATGAGAACCATGCATTAATATCTGAAACTACTAATTGCTTACACTGAAGTGAACTAAAGTTTTCCCCAAAGGTAGCTTTATTTAAAGAGAAGTTACAATAAAAATAAAGATAAATCTCCTGTGTCCAAAAGATTCTGTTGCACTCATACACATCAACTTAATGCTTTCATTGATGCTTGTGAAAACAATTCAAATCAATCAGACTCCTTCACTTTTCCACTCATTCCATAAATACTCATGGTGCCTCACAGCTGACAGCACTTGGTCAGACCAGGTCCTGTAAGTGTGAACTGTTCTTTTGGTTTTAATGCCAACTTCTCTCAACATTGTACCTTTTTAGCTTTGAATGCATTTTCCTTAGGTCTCACTTTATGCATAAAACCCATGTGTACAGCTGCTTTCTCTGGTTTGGAAAGGGGAGGGGAGAGATTTGTAAGGCAACACTGAAGAGGGGAAAGGGGAGTGTTAACTGCTGGTTAATTACTTCTACTCCTAATCCTTCTTAATATTACAAAGGCTTTTTCTGTTTAAACAGATTAGGTGCAGTTTATTACCACTGGGAAATACTTAAATGCAAGTTTGTTTTGATCGTTAGTTCATCTGCTTATTTCTGTTTCAAAAACTAGAAGACCTAATGGCAATACTTCCACAAGAAAGTATCATGCATTCTCTTATCTCAGTTTTACTTCTTCAGACTTTGCAGTTTCACTATTTGTCCTTCCCGGGGAACCTGGTCAACATACCTGAACAAGGTACTCAAAGCTCACTTTACCACAACCATATGCAAACAAATGTGGTTGGCAGCTAACACCCTGACCAGCTACAATTCAGATTGATGTCTCAACCTAAAACACCTATTTCTTCCCAGATTTGTTTCGAGTGCTTCTGAAGTAAAAGGTCAGGCAAATGTTTAAAATACAACCTAACAACAGCTACCATGTCAAACATTTATTGAGAACTTAATGGGCCAAACAGTGTGCTAAGTACTTTCCATGCTTTATGTTACGTAATCCTTGCAACCCTGTAGTATAGGTACCATTCTTAACCCCAGTTTACAAATGAGGAAACAGGCAGGCACCGCAAGATTAAGTAACTTGCCCAAGATCACACAGCTGACAAGAGGTGGGGCTAGTGTTAAAGGTTAAAACTAGTTGACTCCTGATCCCAGTCCCTAACCAGCATGCAATGATACGTCACTGGTTACAAAGCTTCATTCCTTCCTCCAACACATATTTACTAAGGGTCCTACTATGTTTCATCTCTAGGGAAGAGTAAACAAGTAACTTAAAAATTCAGCTCTTACAGAAGTGACCCAGCGTCTTACATTACAAATACTGTTTACTTTAAGACACTTGTGTATGTAAAACTATTCACGTAAGTTACTTTTACACATAATACTACTTAAAATTCACCACTGGCCTAATAAACCTCTATTACCCCAAACTATGGTGTACAAAAAAATTATATTGAAAATGATTTGAGTAGGGGTTGAGTTCCAAATATGTTCATTTGAGGCATAAACCATTCAAGTATTTTTGAAAAAACTAATGTGACAATCCACATTTCCTCCCCACATTCAGCACTTAAAGACAAGAAGAAAAAAGAACTTTATGCGCTAATAAATGGAAACCAACAGAAACTATTCTTTTCCCCTACTAAGCCTTTGGTCTATTTTATTTTTGTTAACATATTTCTGTCTTCCCTCATTTCTGAAAAACAGTCGACACACTGCCTTATTTACGTCCATGCTTATCAGTAATTACATGGCCATATCTCTGCAAACAGTTGGTTAATTAATTCGTACCCCCATCTTCTGGCAGCCTGCCTATGCAACTGAACAGCAAAAATAATTACACTAGGCTAGGCAGGAACATTTTCACTCTTATTTTTTAGACTTCTTATCATTGAGCTTGTTGCCTTTCTTTAAATGAGTTTCAGTTGTAGAACACTTACAAATTAGATTGTGGTCATTTGAAAATGATAATATTTTCATTCTTTACTATAAGCTTGAATATTCCACTGGGACTGAAAGGGGCAGACTAGAAAACGGACCAACCAGTCAAAGGTACAAAATATGGGCTGAGTAGAATCACGGATAAAGAAAAATCAAGCTGTATTCAAGGAGAGATCATTATCTCTTTCATTATGTTACAATCTGAGGTTAAATCCATCAACAAATATTTACCTAGAACCTATCACAGGCAGTTCCTCCTACTTTCCTACACAAAACCATATGTGAGAAAGTCAAACAGGAGGTTATTGGGATCCTGTATGCCCCACCTCAAATCACAAAATTTCTACTTATACCTCACCTTTGGGACTCAGTCTGAAGGGATATATTTCCAGCACTTCAAAGGTAAACACGACAGTCTCTTGACTAGCGTAAGACCACCTAACATATAACTGAGGTCATAACTTACTGTATATCTAATGATTTTCCTCCGTCTTGATTTTATAGCAGGTTTCCATTTTAAGGGAGCATTCAGTTGGCTATTTTCAAGTCAGCTAATATAATCCTTGAAAATTTCACAGACACCACATGGAGGCCAACCAGTTAAGTCCTACACAGTAAGCTGTGTCACTGATGTTAGCACAGATGGCTGTTTCAACCAGGTGAGATAGCTGGCTTGCATTTAGAGGCCTTATTGTATGAAAAAAAAATCCATATAATTAAATACCGGAATCACAGGACAATGTGATGCTTATAGTTTGAGAGACTTGCAGGAATTGAGACTGAATAAGGGAAAAGCGACTAACGTTCCACAATTATTTGTGTGTTTACTATGTTTAAGGTACTTTCTACATGAAAATATGGTAGTGAGCAAAACCTTGCCCTCATGGGACTTACATCTTAACATCTTAGTTGATTCATACCTCCTACTCCAAGCATATTTCAAAACAATATGCATTGAATGACTGGTAAAATTAGCCACACTATTTTTCTTTCTTTACAGCATATAGTACAATTTGCCTAAGCTAACAACACTTAAGATGCAACCCTGCTACATAAGGTTCGACATATCTGTTTATCCCCAGCATCTGGACATTAGTTTGTGCTGTATACTCACTTTTATAATGAGCAAAATGCAGTAAAATGATCAAATAACCACTCAAACTCATTGCTGAAAGGGCAAAACAGTGACTATTGAAAAAAAAAACGTTGGTACTAATATCATCATGTGAAAGACTGTACTGTTTGTTGTCCTGAGCTGTATAAAGGTCCAAAACCATACGAAAGGCAGTTTAAGGGCATCATCACACAACACAGGAAAGTGCAGACTGTTCAAAAGTTTGAAGCAGTATGTTCCAGTCACTGAGCTCACTACTGGGGAAAAAAAGGCACAGTATTATAGCCTTTGCCCATAAGGAGCTTCCAATTCAGTTGCAAAGCCCAGATATTCACAGAAATACCACATTCCTTAATGTCAAAGCTGCCATCGAGTGTGTGTGAATAGCTTTGGGGGAATAATTTTTTTTTAATGTACCCTTAAATGTTATAATCCATTCTGATTTCAGAAATACTAAAACAAGAGAAAAGTAGGCATCTTGGAAATAAGACTATACAGAGCAAGGGCTACTCTGGAACTTCATAGGTGCCACTGTGCAATACCAGTGAAACTCAAGATAGGGAGACAGTGCTCCCCTTGGTAGCCACTCCAAATAATTTAGTTACTGCAGGGCCACAGGAATCGCCGTAAGTGATCTCCTCCATAATGTGACTGTTGAGAAAGGAACTAGCACTCTTTCAATAGTGGAAGAGCAGCAGCATCAACATTCATTCATTCATTCATTCATTCATTACCTTTACTAAGCTACCTACTATGCAGTAAACACTGAAGAACATTTCTACATACCAGGCACTGTGCTCAGGGCTTTCTATATATTAAAGTTGTGGTTTTCAAGCACAGACAATTTTGCCCCCAGGAAACACTGGCAACGTTTGCAGACATTTTTGGTTGTCACAACTAGAATCCAGTGGTAGAGGCCAGAGAGGCTGCTAACACACAGCAAGATTAACTACTGTAATCCTACAATGCATAGAACATTCTCTCACAATAAAGAATTATCTGAGCCCAAATGTCAACAGTGTTGAGACTGAGAAACTCTACATTAATTAAAGCATTCTCGTAAGAGCCCTATGGGGGAGACACAATTCAAATCCATGCCCACTTTGAGGAAACTGAAACAAAAAGGTGTTAAATAACTTGCCCAAGGTCTGTGGTAAGTGCGGTAGGGACTCTAACCCAGAAATCTGATGCTGCTGTGCAACAAACATTAAGTTCCTACAAAATTCTTGGTGATTACAGGAACTCAGAGAGGAAGTACTTTAAAAACTGAGTCACCACAACATAATACTCCTCAATTCACTCTCTATTCCTTCAGTTCCCATCTAGAAATATTCTCTTTCTGCCTCTCACCAAGAACATCTCTTTCCTAGTGCCCCACCCCTATTCAATTTTGATCTCTGGAAAGAAGTAGGATGACTGTATGATTTCTCCACCCATGGCTCAGAGTGGTTCCCATAAGCATAAACAAAAACATCCCCTGCCCCCAAGAACCCAGAAAACCAGCAGTTCTTTCCCTCTGTGAATCTTCTTCCCAGAAGCGGCAAATCATCAGGACACTGTGCGCCAAAGAGGCCAGACTCTATCATAGCCTCCGAGTAGGCAGGAATGAGTAGGCTGTGGGAGGTGGAAGAGGCTGCCAGCAGGCAAGAAGTATGAAAGGACAGGACACAAGGGGGTGGTTTCAGACTTCCCCAGCTCCTGGAGGAATTAGTCTTTGGCTTCTCAATACGAATACAGTGTCAGCAATTAGCTGCAAAGGAGTTAGGCCAATTGATGATTCTAAAAACAATGATGAACATAAGTAGCTTTTTAAGTACAACATTTGTGATTCAACCAACTACGCAATTTCCAATCACCACTGTTTTGGAAAACCCAGGGTCATATCTTAAAATAAATAACCATACTGGCTAATTTAGGAAAAAAAAAAACAACAGAAAAGAGAAAATCAACTAGCCACTCCCTCCAATAGGTAACGACAGTTATGAAGCATCAACTTGACTACCCATTCAGCAGGAACCACTGCGCACCCCTTTATTGCCCATTAAATGTTATATAACAAACTACTTTGCACAGGTTTATTTCAATACCCAGTAGAGAATACCACTTAATTGAGAGGGATACAAGGGACATTACCACAGTCACAGGGAAATTTTACTTCCCTTTTTTGCAAAAGAAAAGTAGCTGAAACTATAGTCACTTAACATTTTGTTTCCTGTTCAACCCCAAAATCTTGTTACAAGATATATAGTTCACTCATCACAGACTTTCTTGAGGGAGGCAAAAACAGTTTTTGCTTTTGAGACTGTGGAGGCCAGGGCTTGCAGAGTACATGAAGAAAGTCAACAACAAGGTGGCAAAAACTGTACCTCAGATTTTGTGTGGATTAAAAAAGCTAATGTCCTAGGTACTTTCAGATGCTGGATGAAGAACATTATTATAACCAGGAAGCCTACAATTAATTCTTCCTTTAACAACAACATTGACTACTTTGAAGGTCAGACTGCATTTTAAAATCACAGGGCTCTAAGTTTCTACAGGACAGAAAACTATAATTTCAACAGCCCAAAACTTGAAGAAAGGGAGACACAGGAAAAAAAGGTAGAGCCTGCCAGTTCCTTAGGGAGAGACTCAGAGAGAAAGGAAACATGTCCCTAGCCATAAAACATACTTCTCTGTCATCTAGATAGACCTCTGACACCTGAAACTAGTAGAGCCTTTTTGGAGGGCACTTTGACATTACCTCTTTAGATACACTCTTAAGTTGTCTGAGTTTACTTACAAAACAAGCAAACAAAAGCATCACTACTGCAAATAAACTTGTAAAAATAACTGTAGGACTGTCGGTAAAAGCAGCAACACTGCCAAGAGTCTGTATGTCCATCCATAAAGGTCAAGTTTAAACAAGAATAGCACACCCATAATACCAAAAACTAGGTGGTAGTTGAATAAAATTAGACAGATCTATCTGTGATGACATGTAACAATCTCCCTATGGCTGAACACAAAAAGCAAGGAGCAGACATAAAACTGGACCAGAGGCCTGGGGAAGCTGCCTGGAAGAACTACTGCCTAAGCCCCGATCTAAGAGATGAGAAGTAATTTTCTCTTTCTTGGGGAAAGGGGTCACGGGAAAGGAGCAGAGGGAAATTGTCTGGGAAAAAGGAAAGTGTACCTACACAGGGACAGCACATAACCTGTGAAAAAGCCAAGGAGTTTAGAGGCTGTGGTGGCCTTAGGCAAATACAACACTGTCCACCAGCCACATTAAGTAGTTTTACCTTTACCCTAAGGGCAATGGCAATCAATGAAGTCATTTAAAAACAAGACCCTATTATATGAGAGTATTAGAAAGATCACCCTGGCTGCCACCTCAAGTCCTAAAGTCTGTCTCCCATTTGCCCTTAATTTACAAATAACTTCAGTTCCAAAACCTCAGGTAGGACTGAAATTTTTTTGTCTATCTGAAATGATGCATGCCTATGTGGTATTACTATGACAAAAAAAGGTTCATCTTCTCAGCCTGGCCTACTTCTGACTCTTAACTTTTAATGCAGCCAAAATACTGTATGTTTCTGTAATTAATATTGCAGAAAACACAGCAGTGAATGCACTAAGCAAAACAAAACATTTAGAAACCAAATTAAAAAATTTTTTAATTACCTTGAATATGGGAACCTGCACAAACACCTGCTTTAAGTACAAGTAAAATAATAATGGAAATTTGTGATGATCTTATAAAAAAACACTTTGGATATTCATTGGTGGTGCTAAACACTATTGAGTCATGAGGGCTTTTGAAAATCTGTTGGAAGGTATATTTTCTCTCCCTACAAAACTGTACTCAGGTAAATATGGCCAATATTTTGCACATATACATGAAGTGATGCAAGGACCTCCCATTGCTCAAATAACCCCAGTTTGAGAATCCCTGATTTCAAAGCCCACACCCTCGTCCTTCCTGTGTCTACTTCCAAACTTCAGGCTTCTCTTTCCTTTGACACAGTTTTATTATCGTTAAAACTTACATCTGCCACCCATGTCACCTAAATGACAAGGGAGACACTAAAAGAGAGCAGCATTTAATGTAAACTCTTTTCCTAAAGTAAAAGTTTCAGGGGCAGTGGGGCAATTTAAAGAGGGTATGGGTGGAGACAAAGGAGATCACCTAATACAGAATAAATACAGTCAAGGGTATTTGAAAAAATAAAAAAATAGATGGCAATAATGTTCCTTTTCTCTGAAGAGAAGACAAAAAGGCCATAAGGAAAAGAGAACACTGGATCAGACCTGTAGCGGCCTCATTAGCCAGGGGCCTTCAGTTTGCTCTCTGTAGCAAGAGAAAGTCCCGAAGTGTCCTCTATGGCCTCCAGGGGCTCTCCCTGAGCCCCTGACAACCTAGTCAAGGCCAGACACACTATAAGCATAGATTCCACACATGGGTATTCACAGCTATTGCCTACAAAACCTTTATCAGAGTTATAATACAACTTGGGGTAATTAAGCTTCATGCTTTCTCCTCTACTTTTTTTTGGGGGGGCGGGTGTTTACAAGTTAGTAACAGCAAGAAGATCAGCACTAGAAACAATAAATCAGCAAACTTCTGCTGTAGGCTGGATGTGGTGGCTCACGCCTATAATCCCAGCACTTTGGGACACCGAGGCAGGAGGAATGCTTGAGCCCAGGAGTTCAAGATCAGCCTGGGCAACACAGTGAGACCTTCTCTCAAACAAACAAACAAACAAACAAAACTTCTACTGTATATACCATTAACTCCAGCGTTAAGGGTCCACCTCTTCTAGATCCTTGTGTCTCACCTTTTCTTAGCAGTTCTTTGAAACAGCATCATTCTACTCTCCCAAGCCACATACGGCAATCAACAGCCATATTTAACAAAATCAATGCGCAAGTTCTTATTGTATCTTCACAGAAGTAGCCACCTGTCTAGTGTCCTAAAACTTGGTGCAAAAATTCTTAAGCAGTACAGATACATTCGAATCCATTAAAAATTTTGTAAACTTGCCGGGTGCGGTGGCTCATGCCTGTAATCCCAGCACTTTGAGAGGCCAAGGCGGGCGGATCATGAGGTCAGGAGATTGAGACCATCCTGGCTAACACGGAGAAACCCCGTCTCTAATAAAAATACAAAAAAAATTAGCCGGGCGTGGTCGTGGGCGCCTGTAGTCCCAGCTACTCAGGGGGCTAAGGCAGAATGGGGTGAACCCGGGAGGCGGAGCTTGCAGTGAGCCAAGATTGCGCCACTGCACTCCAGCCTGGGCAACAGAGCGAGACTCCATCTTCAAAAAAAAAAAAAAAATTGTAAACTCTGGGATTTGAAAAAGATCAAGTGGCTATTCTTCCACTCTGGACTTCTCTCTTCATTTGACAGTGCCCAGATATAGACAGAATCATGGCCAAGGCCTTCCAGGGAAAGCTGTGGAGGGGCTACACACAAAGGGATCCTATTACAGGATATCTTCATCAGGCAAATAAGAATTTGAGTAATGAGGCCAAACCAATAGCTTGCAAGGTATATTCCCTACTCACTCTCTAGTTACCTTTTCACAAAACTGACAGCACTTAAAATTTCCTGGGGATTTGGGAATAAAAATAAAAACTTATCTTTTAAAATGCAAGGAAAATCTGTCTCTGAACAGGGGCTGGTAAATTTTACCAAATCAAGCATTAAAGCCTGACCTCTCAAAGTCCTCGGCACTATTTCAGAACCATTAAAATATATATTAAGACCCATTTTTCATGTTAAAAAAATTATGTCCTATTTAGTCATAACCATTTCAAAACCCTAGATTCCTGCCAAAGACTACTGGGCAGGTAATTCCCAGTTCCTGTGGATGGATCGGGGAGCCTCTCAGTCATCTCTCCACTACTTGTCAGTCAGCTCACTGGCAATATACAGTGTGAACCACTGTGTGATGAGCCAAGGACAGGGTTCTGGGACAGGCTCTGCGGTCAGAGAGAGCAAGCTGGCCTGGTCTTTGAGCAAACTCCCATCGGCCTTGTGCCCGCCCTGACACACACAGGTAAGGCCACAGTAATGTAACATGACCAAGTCTAAAGAAAATATCTGATGAAAAGTTCTGTCCTTTGTTGTTGTTTGAACTTATTTCCTTTCTGGGTAGCATTACCACCCGGGCAAGCAGAGATGGGGAAAAAAGAATGAGAGGTCAGATCAATCTACTTAGTTACTTAATATCAACCAGAGCCTTGCTTAATGGGTACGAGTAAAAATTAACAATTCTAATTCTCAAAAGAAAGGCAGGCCGGGCGCAGTGGCTCACGCCTGTAATCCCAGCACTTTGGGAAGCAGAGGCAGGCGCATCACGAGGTCAGGAGATCGAGACCATCGTGGCCAACATGGTGAAACCCGGTCTCTACTAAAAATACAAAAATTAGCTGGGCATGGTGGCGCATGCCTGTAATCCCAGCTACCTGGGAGGCTGAGACAGGAGAATAGCTTGAAACAGGGAGTCGGAGGTTGCAGTGAGCCGAGATGGCGCCACTGCACTCCAGCCTGGCAACAGAGCGAGACTCCATCTCAAACAAAAAAAAAAAAAAAAAAGAGAGAGAGAGAGAGAAAGCTTCCTAGATAATCTTTGGATTACAATGATTTCCATGCATTATTCTAAAATGTTGTAATAGTTGTGTTTATCTTCTCAGATGTAGACATTGTCCTAAGTGGGTAATAAATACGCCATTTCCCTTTTATGTTTAATTTCTGAATTGTTTTCACCTGTCTCAACTAACCATTAGGATTTGCTTTCTCAGAGTTAACCATTTCTCCACCATGCATTCTACAAACTATATACCCTACAGAGTTTAGATGAACCCTTATGTGGACTAATATGCACACTCAAGCCTCGCAAAGGTTTTAGGCCCAAGGTCCTGACATAATCCATTTCCCCCTCTCCACCAGAACTTCACTACTGCTGCTATTATCTAAAACATTAACCAAGCAAATTCCCTGATTTTAAACTGCTCTCTGGAGTGCGCCTGATGCTTTACTCATTTACCAATAAATAAAAGCCTATTCCTGTTGTCCCCACAAATGTCAGCTCAACATGCAGAAATAAGCCACTGCTGAATTGATAAATCAGGGAACCATCTGGCCATGGGGTGAGCCAGACCAGGAATCGCAGCTTTGCCACTCATAAGCAGTGAGATTTGGGACAGTGTAACTTTCCTGAGCCTCAGTTTCCTCTTTAAAACGGGGATAATATAAATACCTGTTTCAGACTACTGCTGTAAGGATTGAGGCAGTCCATGTAAAGCTCTTTACTCAGTGCGTGACACACACAGTAAGTGCTCAAAGAATGAGAGCTACTATTATTACTACCACTACTTTCTACCAGGTATTGTCTAAGATGCTTAATTTTTTAAGTTATCAATTACTTTTCAAAAATACCTTGGCACTCAAAAAAAAAAATGGGTATGCAACCACATAGCTATAAGGATTTGTCACATGTTCATAATTCTTGATTGCCATCTATCTAAATCCTATATATAAGTAGCTGTTTTTTTGTTTGTTTTTGAGAAAGGGTCTCGCTCTGTCACCCAGGCTGGAATGCAGTGGCATGAAGACAGCTCAATGCAGCCTCAACCTCCTGGGCTCAAGTGATTCTCCCAGATCAGCCTCCCAAAATGCTAGGATTACAGGCGTGAGCCACTGCGCTCAGCCTTCAGTAGCTATTTTTACTTCAGAATTACTAGTGAAGAAAAAAAGAGGATCTTTGTGAAATTTCTACAAAGACTACCCAGCACTGATGAATAAAAAAATTAATTGTTGTATTTGTTACCCTAGCGTAACTACAACCACAATGAGAATATGATTCATGAATAGATTATAAACTCACACAACACAGATTATTTTCAGCAACAGCCACCAGCTTTTAAGAAAACATCTACCAAACAACAACATCTTTTGAAGAAATAGCCATCGCAGCTGCCAGTTAACAATGAAAAGCTCACCAGACATGGGGCTAAGATAAGAGGAACAGAAAGTGTAGCATTTAAAATCTACAGCAGACACCGAGTCTGTCTCCAGTACAGTAGTTCATCAGAGTGGAAAGAAAAAGGCCTAGAAACAGAAATAAAGGGAAGGGAGAAAATAAATATCCTATTCAGAGGCTGGAAAAAAGCACAGAGTTTATCTTGGGAAAGAAAACCCTGGTGATGTAACAGAGGGATTCAAGCACACCGTCATTTATTTGTATATACCAGCTATTCCAAAACCATTTCTCTCTTCACGGCTTATTGTTACTCAATCAAAAAAGAATACCAGGACACTGGAACCAAAGACGAACCACACTCTATCACCAACAGGGGAGTGTTATGCCGTGAATGTTATCTCCCTCCTTCAACAAGAATTATTATTAGTGGGTGGTCTATACTGTTTTCCCCCTCCGGGCCAATTGTGCAAATTAGCCAAGACCTATGTAAACACTTCTCATGATAATTCCTTCTACCTGGCATTTATACCCCAAATCTAACAATAACAGCACCTTTCAGCAAGAGTGATGGCTTGGTTTATGTTGACACCAGACAGCAATGGATATCTTTTGATAATGGCTATAAAGCAATATAGAGAGTGATGTGGAAAATTCAAAAAGGTGACTCCTACCAGAAATACATTTGACCCAGCAGTCCCATTACTAGGTATATACCCAAAGTATTATAAATCATTCTACTATAAAGGCACACGTACACGTATGTTTACTGTAACACTATTTACAATAGCAACACTTGGAACCAACCCAAATGCCCATGAATGATAGACTGCATAAAGAAAATGCGGCACATACACACCATGGAATACTATGCAGCCATAAAAAGAATGAGTTCACGTCCTTTGCAGGGACATGGATGAAGGTGGAAGCCATCAGTCTTAGCCAACTAACACAGGAACAGAAAACCAAACACCGCATGTTCTCACCCATAAGTAGGAGTTGAACAATGAGAACACATGGACACAGGGAGGGGAACATGACACACTGGAGCCTGTTGGGCATTGGGGGGCAAGGGGAGGGAGAGCATTAGGACAAATTAAAAAAAACGGTGACACTTAACCTAAGTCTAGCAGGTTTAGAAGAAACCATCAGGGAAGAGGTGTGGGGCAGCAGGAGAAGCAGTAGCCCGTCAGTGGGAAGAGCATATGCAAGAACTGAGGAGTGGGAAAAAGCCCAAGTGGAGCCTGTAGGCAACAGTAAAGGATTTGGATTTTCAGTGGGCTACAAGGCCCTGTGTGATCTGCCTGCCCAACTCACTCATAACCCTTCAGCACCTGACCTTTTTCCACAGCATTCTCTCCACACTGGCCTCTCCAGCCACTCCGCCCCCTGCTGTTCTTCAAAACACCAGGTCTTCTCCAACCAGAGACTTCAGATTTGCTGTTCCTTCTGTGTGAAAGCTTATCCACAATATGCACGACTGAAGCTCTCACATCCTACAAGTCACGACTCAGAAAATCCCTTCTCACCCCATTTAAAATTGTATTTCCCATACTTCATCTTTTTCCAAAACACCCCTTACCACCTGCCATATACTTTTCTTTAACTCGTTGTTGTTGCCTGTCTCCTCCACTAAAATAAACCTTTAGAGGGCAGTTCTTTGCTGTTGTTTTCCTGAAAATACCTAGCACAAAGTAGATGCTCAATAAATATGTGTTGTATGAACGAACAAAGGCAAGCAAATAGAAACCATTAAAGGGTTTTACCGGGGAGAAACAATTCATTTTGATTCATTTGATTGTATAAGTACATTTTAAAATTCCACTTCCTCCATTTATCATTACCTAGAAACTTGGGGATTTCACATTAGGGAGGTGGCTACATGCCCAACTGGCCCTTAACTTTAGCTACCACCAATTCATTTCTACAATGCTACCATAGTGATCTTTCAAACATATCTACTCCCATCTCCTGTCCTCCACTACCTACCTGCCAAGGCTGCAACAAGTTCCAGGCTCCCACACACTGATGCCCCAGCCTCACAAGCTGCTTCCACACCAGACTGGCTAACTCTCCAACTCTCCCCATTCGCCTCTTCCAGGAAGCCTTCCTTTCCTGATCTCTACTTCTTCACCCCAGTGCTCTGACAGGATTCCACCTCAAGTTGCTGAGATTTCTGATTTTCTGGGCACACACTCCCACTATCCAGGCCTTGCTAGGGAGTTTACATTTTCTTCTAAGGGTGCTGGGAAGCCTCTGAAGCAGCAGTCCCCAATCTTTATGACACCAGAGACCAGTTTCGTGGAAGACAATTTTTCCACTGACCAGGGTTGGGGGGGTCAGGGGAACCTCAGATCATCAGGCATTAGATTCTCATAATGAGCACGCAACCTAGATCCCAGGCATGGACAGTTCACAACAGAGTTTGTGCTCCTATGAGAATCTAATGCCATTGATCTGACAGGACGTGGAGCTCAGGCAGTAATGCTCAGTCCCCCACCCCCACTTACCTCCTGCTGTGTGGCCTGTTTCCTAACAGGCCATAGGCGGGTACTGATCCACAGCCGAGAAGTTGGGGATCCCTACTACAAAGGATGCATAAATGTCTGTTGTTACTTGGCTGTATCCCTGTATCCTTGACTGGATACTTAAAAAGGAAGACAAAACTCTTCCTCTTACTGTGAACAGATGATCTCCCAACTTCCCTCTTCCTTCACAGAAATGACGAGAATGAACTAACCATCTTATTCCACAATTCTACATCCCTACCTGCAACTGAATCCATATGCTTTTCCTCTCATGAGAATGTGATAAAGTCTCTGATTCCATCCAAAACCAGCCTGTCCATGTGGACTCTGAGTTGCATCTCCTTTTTCCAACTCAAGGTACTATACTTGTGATTATCAATTCTTTTCACATGTGACCAATTATCCCTTACTCTTGGATCATTCCCAGTGGCAGACAAACATTCCCTAATACTATCCAAATAAAATAAAACAAACCTCCTCATCATTCCCTTAGATCCTTTACCCCATGTCTTCATCCTGCTACTGCCTCATTTCTCCAATCCCCTTTCAAAGTGAAACCCTTTAAAAAGCTGTCCATACTTGCCCTCTCCACTTCTTCAGCTCAGGCTATCACTTCCCCATACAATGAGGGTTCTGCCTCCCCAACTCTCCAGATTAAGGTCATTAATGACCTTCATACTGTCAAAGCCAGAGATCGATTCTCTGGCCTGACTTTACTTCACAGCAGCATATAACAGAGACCATCACTCCTCACTTAAAGCATGTTCTTCTCTCTTCCCAGATTCACCACCATCACACTCATCTGGTTTCCTTACTGCCTCACTGAAGAGTCCTCCTCGCCCACCCACCACCTCACTGTGGAGGGACCCAAGGCTCAGCCCTTGGCCCTAATGGATTCTTTATTGACACTCCTATATTAGGAAACAAACCTAGGTCCCACGACTTTCCATGTCCTCTGTATGTTGAGGATACAGACTGACCCAGTCTCCACCCCAGACTGCTCCACCATGCTCCAGATTGTGTATTCAACTGCTGACACCACAGCCGCACATGAATGCCCACTAAGTACGTCAAAAGCAGTGTGGCCAAAATCAGAGCTGCTGACCCTAAGTCTCCCACATTCGCCAGCATTCCTCAGTTCATTAAGTGGTACCATTCAGTTGCTCAAGCCCCAAATCCCAATTCTTATATTTCTCCCTCATCCACATCCAATTTTTCATCAAATCATGTAAACTCCACCTCCAAACGTATCCTGAACAGGATAACCTCTCTGCATTACCACTGCCATTAGCAAAGTCCAAGCCACTATTACCTCTAACCTGGTCAGCCAGTCCCTCCACATATTAGCCAGTGATCTTAACATGAATTAGATCATTCCCTTGCTGAAGCTACCCCTAACCACCAACTATCCCCCCAACTTTCATTACACTTAAATCCAAATTCCTTTCCTTGGCCTCTACAGTCTAACCTTGTCAGCATTATTTCCCTACATTCCTCCCCCTTCCCTTCTCAGAGTGCCCCTTCCAGATGATCTGATGGCTGCTTCTTTCTTTTTTACTTTTTGTGACAGGGTCTTGCTCTGTTGCCCAGGCTGGAGTCCAGTATGCGCAATCACAGCTCACTGCAGCCTCGACCTCCTGGGCACAAGTGATCCTCCCACCTCAGCCTCCTGAGTAGCTGGGATTACAGGTCACCATGACCAGCTAATTTTTTTTGTAGAGATGGGGTCTCACTATGTTGCCAAGCTGGTCTCAAACTCCTAAACTCAAGTGATCCTCCCGCCTCAGTCTCCCAAAGTGCTAGGATTACAAGTGTGAGCCACCACGCCCAGCCTGTGGCTACTTCTTTCTCGGCATTCTGGTCTCAGCTCAAATGTTAAATGCTTAGAAAAGTCTTCCTTGATCATGTTAGTTAGAATCCCCCTAACCCCAACTCATTACCCTACTTTTGACTTCACAGCATTCAACAGTCCTTGGAAATATTTGTGTATTTACTGTATCTCACTTCCCTAGAGGGCTGGGGCTCCATCTGATTTGTGTCACTCTATCCCTAACACCCATCAGAAAACCTGGCACTTAAGTATCTGCTGACCAACTGCCTGACTTGGGAGTTAGGACTGTGCTTTCTCACCTTCTGTGGAGTTGTATCCTCAGACTTTATCTAGCCTAGCATGAGGCCCAGAGAACATGGGATAAAAGCTAAATGAGTGAAGTTAAGGCAAAACAGTCAGAGGATTCTCAAGGCAGTAATCACAAAATAAACAAAATACACTGAGGCCTACTAAAGGACACGGTCTGAAACTGGTCAGAAAGTGAAATGACCAGGTTGGCAAGTTTCAGTTTTGCTTACCAGTAACTGCCCAAAGTAGTTACATAGGTGTCCTTGATCGAGTGTGATTTGCCCTAAGTCCAAATCCTGTAACTGAAAATACAAAATTGGCCCAGAGTGGGATTACACAGAATGATGGCTTCTGTGTTCCATACTTCTATTATTAGTAAAATCTTTACAGTGAGCATGTATTAACTTCTGTAATAATTTTTTCCATTAAAACCAATCTTCCTATATAGTTTCCAAAAAGAACAAGGTAATTTAAGTGAAGAACTGCTAAGTTAAATTGGAAATTTCCAAGAACTGAAAAGGCAATTTTCTAAATTCCCTCTACAGGCAGAAAACCCCCATGACTATCACCACACATTAAAAAAATCATGTAAGTAGGATCCTCATTTATCTTTCTGATCCACTCCCCACCTTCATGATGACTTTATTACATTGCCTATAATTTACCTTTTTTGCCCAGAAAAAAGGGGGTTTGAAAAACATTACAAGCAGCAGCATAAAGAAGCACAAACTACAGGCTTCCAGAAGATGAGCAAGTACAACTCTGCATAAGCAGGAAAAAGTAAATACCCACATCATGCTTCTCTCTGCAAGTCAAAGAGGTGGCTAAAGGAGGAACTAAGAAATGTCACCTCCCACTTCCCATTTTTACTAGAGTCCAAGAAGGCATGAAACTGAGGTTTGGGCATGATTGCTCATGCCTATAATTCCAACACTCCGGGAGGCTGAGGTGGGAGGATTTCTTGAGCTCCAGAGTTTGAGACCAGCCTGGGCAACATGGTGAAACCCCGTCTCTACAAACAAAATACAAAAATTAGCCGGGCATGGTAGTGTGCACCTGTGGCCCCAGCTACTCAGGAGGCTGAGATGGGAGGATTGCTTGAGACCAGGAAGTGAAGTCAAGCCTGCAGTGAGCCATGGATCATGCCACTGCACTATAGCCTGGGCAATACAGCAAGACCCTGTTTCAAAAGAATAAAAAAGAAAAAAAAAGAAAAAGAAAAAAACTGCGGTTCATTTGCTACACTCTGTCATGCCAGAGTTTCCTCTCACTGCCTACACCTTGTGTGCTAAAGCAAAACTGGCATTTCACTTTCTGCTGCTCCTCTGACAGTCCTGGCTGATGACTTGATTAAAGGCGTGCTTGTGACACTGTGCTTTCATTACTGATAACCTGCATTATATCATTTAATTCTCCCAACCCCTATTAGTTACTAGCATTATTCTCATTTTATACCTGAGTCAAGTGAGGCTCAGTAAAGCTATGCGGTTTCCTTCAAATTGCTCACCTACTAGATCTTAGATTTGAGCCCAGGCTTAATTCTAGAACTGGGGTTCCCAGAACTGTCTCTGTGTAAAGCTAACTTCTGCAAACTTGCCATATGGAACCTCTTTTCTGCATAACACCAACCAAGAGCACACAGAAACAGGGTTCCCTGGAACACGCTTTTGGAAATAATGATTTAAAGCTATGGTACTCAAACACCAAAATAGATACTCTTCTCTGCGAAGACCACAGTGCTTTTTCACAATTAAAGGACTGTCCTTTATTCCAAAACAATGTTCTCATACTTTTTTGAGGGGAAGTACATATAAATTGCCAACAACCGTATGTCTGGAGTCCCCAAATTATTTCTGAAACTTTCTTGTTTGAAATATAAAGCCTGGGGACCACTGGTTAAAAGCATTACCTTTTTTTCTGTTGCATGACTGGAGTTCAGGATTATGGAAAACATCTGTATAACCTGGGAGGGAAATAGTTTCTGTTTTAAGATTGTGAATCTAATTGATAATGAACTAGTGCTTTTTCCTTGCCATATGCTTACATATAAGAGAAAAAAACATTTCATGCTAGCAGGGTCTTTATTACAAAGAAGAACAAGAATACTTAATCTAGTTTTACGTTATGAGTGGGTGAAATGCAAAAATCGTTCTCCTTCTTCTGCTCATTTATTATAATCCCTGCTGTACAAGATGAATATAAATGTAACCCTCTGCCTTTTTCTCAAAAGTACAGTAACTCCAACTGCTAAGTCTACTAACAGGCTTCTTTTTCTTAGAACTTCAATCAAAAAATACTTTAATAATCAGAGGGGCACATTTATTAGAAATACTGCAATAAAAACTTTCAACAACAATGTGATTAAAAGCAATCTTGCACTGAAATGCTATTTAAATAGTGAAATTTCACTTCTCCCTTTCTAAAGGAATTTTTTTTAATGGCACAAATCCCAGATGATTGTGTTTGCTATCTGCTGCAACCTTAGCTTTCATTTAATCTTTTTTTAAAAAGCCCATTACTTCTAATGCAAACTGTAGATACTTCCCCTCCCCCTCAAAGAAAAAATGTTATAAAAGAACAACTAAATACAACACACCGACTGTTGTAAGGCACAGCAAGAAAAGGCTCTGATATTTTTACTTAAAAAAAATGGCTTTTGGTAAAGGTCAGTATTTCTAGACAAGGATAAGAAAAACAAAGGTTAGGGTGACCTGCTCAAGCTCATGAAAAGCCATGTACATTCTGGAAAGGGCTCGGAACAGCAGAATGGTTAAGCATGTGAGCTGTGGAGTAATTAGACAGATCTGGGTTACAGGGCCTCTTACATGCTTTGTGATCTTAGCGGGCTACCTCACTTTTCTGAGTCGTAGTTTCCTCATCTGTAAAATGGAGATAATGGTGATACCTAGATCACAGGACTGTGATTTATAAATACCTCATACTTCCCTCCTGAGATTAGAGTTTACAAGAACCAATCAAAACTGTAAATTGGACACAGCTTGGGAACCCCATCCTACTGTGCACATGGAAACATGTGCATGGTCTCCATGAATTGCGAAACATGAGGGTTCAGAAATTCAGCATGGATTGTGCCAGGTGTTACTTTCCAGTAAGCACAAAATTATAAAGATATGGGGCCTAAAGAACAACGTCTGCCTTCTTCTCCAATCAAAATGCAGATTTGTTTCCCCGTGAATTCTTCCTATAACTCCTAAGACCTGTAACAAGGCTTCAGCTTCTCTAAACCAGCTCAGGGGCAGCGATTCTGGAGAATTTGAATGGAAATTCCATGAAAGTTCTGGACTCTTTCTCTTGCATATTTACATACCATGAGGGGCTTAACAGAACACAAGCACCATTCTCATGGTCCATGGCTCTTGGAAGCTGGGGCAATAACAGCGCTATTCGTGCTCTGTATGTGAACTGCTCCCAACCAGGTGTATGCCATAAAAAAGTCACACACCTGGGACTGTTGTGGGGTGGGGGGAGGGGGGAGGGATAGCATTAGGAGATATACCTAATGCTAAATGACGAGTTAATGGGTGCAGCACACCAACATGGCGCATGTATACATATGTAACAAACCTGCACATTGTGCACATGTACCCTAAAACTTAAAGTATAATAATTAAAAAAAAAGATAGTGAATGATAAAAGTGGACAAAGACAGCAACCTTCTTATGTGAAACCATTTCTACTCTCCATTATTTCCTTCTAACTCAACATGTTTCTTTAATATTGAATGAACTCTTGGTTTAAGACTAACGGATTTTATTATTTTGAAGATTCTCCCCTTCAAAATAGACAGTTCAAGAATAATAAGACTGTATTCTGCGATTCTGCAGATTGGGTTTCCTTTTATCAACCAAGGAATTCATCAGAACAGTGGTCAGCAAACTTTTCCTGTAAAGAACCAATAGTAAGTGTTTTGGGATTGGTGGGTCATATGGTCTCTGTTGTGTGTAGTCAACTCTGCTGTTCACTGTATGCAGCAAGCAGCCACAGACAAGTAAATGAATGCCCGTCACTACGTTTCAATAAAATTTAGTTATGGACACTGACACTGAAGTCTCATATAATTTTCACATGTCATGAAATCTTTTGAGTTTTTATTCCAACCAATGCAATGCAAAAACCATGCAGGCAAGATTTGGCCCACACGCTGCAACTGGGGAAAAGTCCCTGCTACAGGAGGGTCTTTCTGGGTCTCTGGGGGTTCCTGCACCTACGCGTTAGTGAAGAGCTTACAAGGAAGGAGACACGCACAGGAGCTGTCAGCAAGGACAATGCCCACTGTCACGGCCACGCTGATTCTCATCTATGGAGGTGTTTCTTAAGTGTGGGCGATCTGTAACCAAATCACCTGACTGCTCCTTACATGTGCATTAATGTTCAACAAGCACGAGGTGATGCTGAGGCAGGGAACTTGGATTTTACCGATTCCTGTCTGAGGCTTGGTTTATATCTGCACATAAGATATAAGCAGACTGCAAGTACTGCCATCTGCAGAACCTTTACACACCCACAGAGAGGATCAGGGATGGTAGCCTGACTTGCCTCAAAAGAAAGGTGCAGAACACAAAAAGCCTCCATTTTGCAGGAAATAAGTTGAAGTCCATGTGAGCAGAAAATAAAAACCAAAAGAAATGATATGCTTCAAAATAATTCACTGTGGGGAGTAGGGCAGAGTTTGTGAAGCAAGACTGGGCCATGACTCATTATTTGCTGAAACTGTGTGATGGATACAAGGAGGATCATTAAAATATTTTCTCTACTTTGTATGTTTCAAATTGTTCATAAGAAACAGTTGAGGAGAAAAGAAGACAAAAGAAACCCTAGAGAAAAACAGAAATGCTATTTAAGGGAGAGGATATTATACCCACAATGTAGTACCTTTAACAGTAAAATACTTCACAAACACCTGTTTTCCATTAATTAACCATGAACCATTTTTTTCCCCTAGGAAAGAAAAAAGGTGGTACTCTGTTGACTCAGTCTGTGTTTACTGAGGCTATCCAACTCCTAGCAAGCCTGTTTTGTTTGTTTGTTTGTTTGTTTGTTTTGAACTCTAGTTGCCTACAGGTGCTAACCACACACTTTTCCATCTTGCCCCAGGCTCAATCACGTTCAGGTTAATTATGAGAAGGAAATAACCTGTCATCAAGTGTGGACATCACACTGGGTTGCTATTCTACTTCTTTGCCTAAATATCAAAGATAAGAGAGGTGATGTCCTGTCTGTACCCTTTCTGGAAAGTGTAAATGGAGCACTATATTAAGGACAGAGCAACGAAAAGTGCTGAAACCTTCTGGCCTCCCCTGGGGCCATACAGCAACACCCCCTAAACACACAAACACACAGAATACTGTCTTCTTTTGGAGTCACAATACAATGAAAAATTGGTCATTTGAATCACACACTAGAGTGACTCAATTCAATCTTCCTAGTAGCTCTACTCATCCACTTTTGGGGCAAATATTTACTGAGCACAATGGTGTGCAGGAGCTGAATATGCCTTCATCAACAACACTCCTGCCCTCAGGGAACTTACTCTCTTAACAAGGAGCCATCACATAATGCAGAGTTTCAAATGCTGACACGTAGAATGCAGAAAGAAAAAGTACAGAGTACTTTGATACCACACAACGGTTAGACTTAGAGAAGTTATGGACAGCTTCCCAAAGAAGATGTCATTTTTCCCAATACCATTGTTGACTCCTACAATGACACAATATAGGTTTTAAAATCTGCTGTGCAACTAAGGCATTTAAAGTTTTTATTTTTTAAGGGTCTCTAAATATTCAGGCACTAATATAGAAACCCTAATCAGTTATTAGTACCAATTAATTCAATCTAAACATAATTTTGTTAACTTTCACAAATCCAAAATCTGTGGAAGTCCGGAATTTCACAAATCACCTTGGGGGAAAAAGCAGTAATTTGTCTTAATCATTTCAAAAACGTTTAATCATTTCAAAAACATCAACCAGGGTTGACGTTTAATCATTTCAAAAACGTCAACCAGGTGCAGTGGCTCATACCTGTCATCCCAACACTTTGGGAGGCCGAGGTGGGTGGATCACTTCTGGTCAGGAGTTCGAGACCAGGCTGGCCAACATGGTGAAACCCCGTCTCTACTAAAAATACAAAAAGTAGCCAGGCGTGGTGGCAGGTGCCTGTAATCCCAGCTACTTGGGAGGCTGAGGTAGGAGAATCGCTTGAACCCAGGAAGCGGAAGTTGCAGTGAGCACAGATCGTGCCTGTACCATTGCACTCCAGCCTGGGCGACACAGCGAGACTCCATCTCAACAACAATAACAACAACAACAACAAAAAGTCAAAATGTATTACCAATTTCTTCCCACCAAAATTAATCATGCTAACAACTAATATTGCAAATTACAGAACAAGAATAAGGCAATACAAATACAAGAATGCAAACAAAACTAGGTTGACCTCTGAAAAATAACCAAATTTTGTCTTAACATTTGCCTACTTGTGCCAAATGGCAGAAGAGGGAATGATATACTACCTAAACCACAAATAATTTCCCTCCATCTAAATCAAGAGTTCTAACCTTCTGCCACAACATTAACCCTTGGGTATTCTTGCCTTGGGTAGGTTTACTACCTAAACCACAAATAATTTCCCTCCATCTAAATCAAGAGTTCCAACCTTCTGCCACAGCATTAACCCTTGGGTAGTCTTGCCTGATAGGAGTTGGTCAAAGTAATGTGTTACAAGAGGAAAAAGTGAAAAGAAAAAACAGGCAGAGAGGTTAGCTTAGCAGTTTTGAATTTTAGGGGTGGGGACGTGTAAATGATCCTTTTGAGAATCCAAGGGAAGCTGTGAACACCTACCCTAGAAAACTGACATATTATTTTGCATACAATTTCAGGGGAACTACAATCCCCTGAAGCCTTTTCAAAGGTCACAGATTTTAAAACCCTGTACCTAGAAATATAGAATTAAGAAGTCAGGTTATCAACAGTTGAAAGAGTTAAAAGGAATTAGTGTGTACTGAGTCATTCACATATTATCTAATTTAATTTCAGCTCCTACAATAACCTTGGGAAGTAGGTAGTATTATCTTCCAAAGAGGGAAAGTATATTCAGAAAGATGAAATAACTAATGCAAGGTTAAGCAGCTTTCTCTCACATCCAGGCTTTCTAACCCCTAGGTCCAAAATTGCACATTGGAGAATTCAAGTCAAGTGCATATTCCTAGAGATATTTCAAGATGAGGAGTTTCTGGCGGGGGTGGTGGTTCATGCCTGTAATCCCAGCACTTCGTGGAGGCTGAGGCGGGTGGATCACCTGAGGTCAGGAGCTTCAGACCAGACTGACTAACATGGTGAATGAAACTCCATCTCTATAAAAAATACAAAAATTAGCCAGGTGTGGTGGTGCGTGCCTGTAATCCCAGCTACAAGGGAGGATGAGTCCAGAGAATCGCTTGAACCCAGGAAGCAGAGGTTGCAGTGAGCCGAGAACTTGCCACTGCACTCCAGCCTGGGTAACAGTCAGACACCGTCTCAAAAAAAAAAAAAAATAAATAAAGGGTCATTTCTGACTTCCAGTGATTCACTCACATGATCAATTTATCTACATATTTCTTCAATTTAACAAGAGGAATCAGTATGGATTCAACTTCAAAACATCTTTTCTTGGTAGCTGATAATTTTAAGCAGACAATGAATGAATAATAGTCTAATAAGTTTTGATAATATTAAATGTATTTTCATTTCTGAAGCAGCCTACAATGGTCTGTTAGGAGAACATAAAGGTCCACTGAGTGAGTGCTGAACATCCTCAAACTTGGATTTTAAAATATCCCCACATAATCCGCAAAGTCACAAACAAATGAAGAACTGACTGAATTTAAAACTTCGGTCTCAACTCAGACAGGTGTACGTTCCAAGTGGCCTGGTAGCTACAGCATCCTCTAAATGGTTAGAACAACTTTAAAAGGGGGAGGAGGGGAACCCTTAAAAAACACTAACAAGGGCCAGGCGGTGGCTCACACCTGTAATCCCAGCACTTTGGGAGGCCGAGGCAGGTGGGTCACGAGGTTAGGAGATTGAGACCATCGTGGCCAACGTGGTGAAACCTCCTCTCTACTAAAACACAAAAAATTAGCTGGGTGTGGTGGCCCGCCGCCTGCAGTCCCAGCTACTCGGGAGGCTGAGGCAGGAGAATCGCTTGAACCTGGGAGGTGGAGGTTGCACTGAGGAGGTGGAGGTTGCACTGAGCCAAGATCGCACCACTGCACTCCAGCATGGCCACAGAGTGAGACTCCGTCTCAAAAAACAAAACAAAACACTAACAAGATCCATGTCCCTTTTGTGCCTCAAGTAGGTAGTTTAACGTCTTAGTTCTTCATGAAAAACATGCTGATAAAAGTATCCCAACAGAAAATAATATATCTAGCAAAAATGAGGTACAGTCCCCTTAATTTGGTTGGGTCCCTGTCCAGCTCAAGGTACCCACTGAAACATTAATACACTTAACTCATCCTTTACAGCAGAATTATTGATAATTACAATCTTGTTTTCACACAGATTTAGAAACGTTTTATAGGATATGTATCCACACCCAGAGAATGAAAACTAAGAACAAGAGTAGGTCAGGTCCTCTAAAGTTCTACTCTAACTGCTTACTGTGAGAGTTGCCACCTAGTGATTTTAATTTTTTAAGCCCAGGCAGGCTGCCAATTCAGCACTAAAACCGGACTAGCAACTGATTTTTCATATTGCAACATCATCAACAAGTCCTGTGCTTTCCCTTGCTTTCCTTTACCCTCAAATAGCAATTCTCATTTTAAAAATCAACTAATTTGTTCTATAATCTGTTCCAATTGGAAGCTCTCATCGGGCTGTCACTGGTATTACTCTTCCTCCGAGTGCCAAGAGGCCAAAAAGCGCCCAATTCAAAAAAACCGAAACAGAGTTAAGTGAAGAAAAAGCAGGTGTGAAAAGCGAGAAGGAAATGTGAAGACAGTAACAATGGGCAAACTTTGGACTTAAAAATGTTCCAGTTGCCAAAGTTCTACCTATCCTTGGGCCATAGACAACAATTCTGCAAAATAAATGGCTACGAGTGAGAAATAAAATTGCATTCGGGGACTATAAACTCAGTATTCCGGGGCCAAACCTCACTCAAAGCCTTGTCCTAACTCACTGAAAGAATAACTTGAAACTGAACCCGAAGTTCACTGGACTTCAGAAGTCCTTTCTGACCACGGTATGCCCAGGCCTAGTGCAGGTATTAGACAACAAAAGCTTACTATTCAAAGAAAAAGAAAATCTCAAGAAAAAGTCTGACACTTTCCAGATACCTGGCCTGACTTTCATTTGGAGGCATACCCTATTTCCCTAGTGTATCTTTTTACCAAACAGTTTAAAACTAACAAATAATTAGACCCTGATTTCACCAGCCACGGGCAGTAAAGGCTTATTTGACCAAATAAAATTCTGGCTTTCTTTCCCCCGTGATATTGGCAGCTCGCAAAAAATCTGACCAAAATGCACTCCGGGTTATGATGACCTTTTTCTAACATCCCCAACTTGTACCTTAAATCCTACAGAAATAAGACTGCATAGGTAAAGCATCTTCTTTAAGTTCAAAATTCGTTTCGATTGCCAACAGAAAATGTCCCCTAAGCATTCGTGGAAAGGTTTCAAAGCTGAGAATTCCTTCCTCTACTCCTGTTTCTCCGTAAGGAGGTCAGAAATGCAGAGATCTAGGTTAAACTTCCCGCCGGTTCCCAGCGCTCATCACCAATAATGCTGCTCCTGCCTGGTCACAGAAGGATTCCGGACGCTCTCATTACAGGAGGCCCCCAAACCAAACTTTCCAAGCGCTCTGCCCCCTCCCTCCCTCCTCAGGCAGCATCTTCGCAGGCACGGGGAGTCGGGGAGTCGGTATGGTGGGCTGATGTTCCCGGTCCCAGTGAACTGTCAATGAAACTTCCCAGGGGTTTGTACAAACTCCATCAGGGGGGCTGGACTCACCTTCCCGACAGAGCCCCATGACTTCGCGGTTTTTCCCAAACTCCTTGAAACTTTCGTCCAATTCTGTCCCTAGGAGATATACACACACAGGAGGAGGGGAGAGGCAGGTCAGTGGCCAGGAGTGTGACGCACACTCACGCACGCACGGGGTAGGTGTGGGCACCTCCGCGTTCCGCAACCCAGCAAACGATAGCATCTCTGCCCCTCGAGGGGGCGGGTCACAGGAGGGGGGCAGGGGGGAGGGGAGGAGAGAGGAGGGGGTCGCGAGGGGGTGAAGGGGGGAGGAGGGCGTGGACACTCACCGTCCTTCCCAGGAAGTTTGGAAGCCTCAACCCACAGATTCCACGACTGTCCCAGCATCACTTCAGGACTGGGCAGAGGCCTGCGCTCCCCGACCGTCGCCATTGCGGCGGCCGAGGTGGAGGCGGCGCCGGGCCCGCCGTCCTCCGGCCGTGTGCGCCGTGGCGGCGGTGGCGGGTGCTGCTGCCGCTGGGGCTGCGGAGGCGGCGGCTGCTGCTGCTGCTGCTGCTGCTGCTGCTGCCGGGCGGCCGCGGCCGCTGCTCCGCCCGCCGCCGCCGCCGCGCGGCGCGGCTCCCCCCTGACGTCATCCGCGGCCCGCTCCGACATTCTTTCCGCTCCTACAATGTAACAAAAAAAAGGGGGAAAGAGTCGCGCGGGGGCCGTTTTTTAAGGAGGCGCCAGGGAGTTCCGGCGGCGTGCGCGGCCCGCGGACCGGGTGGGGCACGCTGACAGCGCCCCCATGGCCGCCCAGCCCCCCGAGCCCGCCTCCTCAAGGCCACCCCCCGCCCCGGGCTCAAAGTCCGCGGCGCGGGCTAGCTTTCGCTTTCGACTCCCGCGGCCGCCCGAGGGAGGGGACGGGCAGCAGGCGGCCCGCCACCGCGGCGCTGGGTCCCCTGCCTGCTTCTGCTCAGAGGACCTGGCGCGGAGGCCAGCGCCGGAGCGGCCCGGCTCCAACCCCGCGCCCCACCATGGCAGCCCGCGCGGGGAAGCCCGAGCCGCACCCCAGGACCTCCAGCTGCCCACCCTTCGGCCGCTTGCATCCCCGGGCCCGGCCCGGCTGCCCCGCTCCTTCCTTCCGTCCGCGCGTCCGTCCGAGCGGCGGCACCCGGCCGGCTCCCTTAAGCGGAGACGCCTCCCGCCGCCTCCTCCCACTTGCCGGTCCCTCCCTCTCAGCTCGCTCCGGCGAAGTTTGCACGTCAAGCCCCCGGACTGGAGCCAGGGCGAAGTCGGAAATGCAGCCACCTATGGAGGAGCCGGCCGGCCGGCCCCAGGGCAGCGCGGGAGAGGCTGGTGCAGGGGGCACTTTGCCCTCGGCTTGCGGGCGGCCGCAGAGTTGTCAAAAGCATGAATGGGAAGCCGCCGCAGAGCGGACTCCGGGCGTGCAGGGAACCTTGGGCTAGCGGGGAAGTGCCTCCCAGGTGTCTGCCCAGGTGTCAGGACGAAGTACCGTGTGCACGCCACGCCGCCCACATGTGTGCCCCCGACCCGCAATTGGAAGTCACACTGTGCGCCTGGGGAACTTGAATTCGTCCAGCAAAGAGAGAACATGAGATCAGTGTGCGAGGGAATGGAGGAGAGTGAAACAAACCGAGAGAAGCTTTAACCCGTGTACATATTTTAGAGGCACCACCCCAAGTTTCTGGAAGTGATTCATTCACCCCAAAAGTAAAAATCTGATTCATTTTTAACTTGAGTTGTTAGTCCTTCCCTCTTTATGGTTGTCTTTTCTTGGGCAGGACGAGACCCTAGGGATTAGGAGAATATAAGGAATTCCTACAAAACATGTTTAGAAAATACTGTTTTCGGTCAAATTTTGTTCACTAAATTAAGCATTGGCCCGCAAAACTTAGCACCCCTCCCCAACATACACAACATTTGCTTAGCGATAGGCTACAGATGGCAAAATAAAAGGCTACTTAATGACCTAAAGCATTAAAAATACTTGAAACAGTAGCAGACCACACCACTTTCAATAATTGTTGATATTACTATTTTCTCAAATTGATGTGAAAATTTGAAGCCTGAGACAAAAACAGTGATTCTTATCAGCATGTTTCACGCATGTTTCACACTGCAGTAGTATCAACTCCTGTAATGTGTGTCAGAGATGCTTGCTCACAAGTGCTTTCTCTGACTAGATGGGGAGGAAGTGGAATTCTTTTTTTTTTTGTACCTCAAACATCTGATGTGACAGAGGTAGCCAACTTCTTTGTTGGTCCAACTTGCAGAAACACAGGAAGTTTACATAAGCATAAAAATTAATAAAGAAATGTCACTGCAACCCAAACATAAGGTGGGATTGCTAGAGAGGGTTTGGGGTTCAAAATTTAAAAGCGCACACACACACACATACTTACACATACACACACACACACACATTTTTATTTTAGAAAGATTTAGAAATAAGTCTGTAAAATTTTTTCCTGGATTGCGTGCAAACAAGTCCAAAAAGTGAAACCATGGTTACTTCCTGTCCTTATCAAAATAACCAAAATAGTAGAAATGATTGGAAAGATTTAATTTTAAAAATCATTTCTACAGCTTTAACTTCCTCCATAAGACTATCAATGAGAAAAATGCACAGGAGTAAAACATATAATTCCCTTGACAGGAATAGAGTTCCCTTCTAACTTTTAACATAGCTTAGATGACCCCTATGCAGATTTTCAATTTTTCATTCATTCCAAATCACTGCAAAATCTGAATAATTACATGAAAACACCCAACCTCTGTTTTCCTAAAGTACACAATTTATTACTTGGAATTGTGAAATTCTACACTTAAGAAAAACGAAAATTTGGATTTTAACGGCATTTGAAGCTACCATTGAAAAGAAAAGCTTGCGGCCACCAAGCCATATAGATAACAAAGGGAGCTTGCTTGTTGAGTACAGCTCTTCAGATCCCTGAAACTACAGAGTGAGAACAAAAATAAGGAGAATGGCAAACATGAAGTATGGTCCTACTTCCTCAAGACATTGCTTGACTTTCCTCTTTTGGATGTGAAACTACTTCAAGATTCACTAATATGACTTCTAGCCAATGGGGATCAATGCAGCAATTTAGAGTACTTCAACTTCTTTCCCAATTCCTGCTTGATACCTCTTTTTTTCTTCAAAGTTTTTGATTGGTTTAATAAAACACAAGCGGGCTTAAAATGAAAAATATTAAGTATCCTCTTGGCATTATGATCGTTATTAAGGGAAATTATTACAAATAGCAGTTACCAATTATTGAGTACCTCAATACTCAAAACTAATAGCAAGCTATCAATTATTGAGGAATCTCATAAATAAGCACTATAAATAAGTGTCTTATATTAAACTGAGCAATTCAGCTCAATCCCTTAGGAAACTTACTATCAAACTGAAGAGGATGTGCAGACAAGAGATTGACGGGCATTTCCTGGTATTTCTTCAACCAGTTCTCTTTTGCTGCAGCCAATGCATTTTACCCACTCTTTCTTCACCCATAAAAAAGTCCTAACTCCTAGAAATGTTCTGATATCCATAGTCGTTAGAAGTTTCCTTAAAGTTGGAATGAGTCACCAAAAAAAGTCAAAACAGCAAGCTGACACACTGCATCTGATATCTGAATTTTGGCAACTTTTAAAAGCATTCCTTATGCAAAGCATACTGTTTATAAACAAGAGTACAACAGAAACCCAATACTTAGCTGTATTACCTACAGTCCCACAGTAAAGAACTTGATGACCTCTTACCTAGATAATCCCCTTTCCATACCACCAAATTATAAAAAGAATATAACTGTGTATAAATTTTTTTTGTGTGTATGTGTGTGTGGAGATGACAAGGTCTCACTATGTTGCCCAGGCTGGTCTCAAACTCCTGAGCCCAAGCAGTCCTCCTGCCTTGGCCTCCAAAAGTGTTGGGATTATAGGCATGAGCCACCACACCAGGCCAATACAATTTACATTCACTTAATATGTTATTTTAATATAGTATTATGCCTGTATAATATCAATCAGTGCTTCTGCCAGTGCATTTCTGATGATGCCTTGTAACTCTGAGGAACTTCACTGTCTGAAAACTTAAGTAATAATTCATTTTATATGGCTTGAATAATGAGTATTCAATTTATCCAACAATTCCTGATTGCCTGCTACAGACTAGGCACTCTACTAGGCACCAGGGTGAACACAAGATAGTAATTTCACTGAGTATGTGAGAAAAGTAGTAAGTAGGGGAAACAATTCATCAAAACTGTCACCACCAACTAGATTGTCTATGGCTTAAGAACTGGGCTGTCAGAGGTGAAGTACTGCTAATTCTGTGCATTTCATCCCTTCCAAGGACATATTTAAAATGTGGTCTTATCTCGTCACCCAAATTTAGGGATGTTCTCAGTAGATGCCAAGGCTAACAAGTCTCTCTTTACAAAAAGGATTCTTTGCACTCATAAAATGTTTTGTTCCAAGGCCAAAGGTATCACAATGTACAAAAACAAAACAAAACAAAAAGTTGACCTTTCCTACATTAAATCCAGTTTAATGTAAAAAGGCTAAAACTACCCAAAACATTTCTAAGATACAAGATCCCACACAACCGTCTTCAATTGGAAAAAACCACCAGTCCCAGTACAACATTTTAATAAACTTGAAAAGCAGTTAACTACAGTATACTTATCTGTGTAAATTACAGGGTTGGTAACAGAGATTCTCCATTATCAACCCCAAAGGACTGAAGTCATTTGAGTAACAAGAAACTCAGATCCACTAAATTAGGAATGTGTTGGCTTTGGTTTCTTTTTATCTTCCTAAAATTGGCTGAGCCTTTGTTCAAATCCTCTCTCACTCCTCTGACTACATCTTTCCCCTTTCCTCGTTCTTCTCCAGAGAGAGCCAGGGCTGTATTCTGCACAAGGGGCATGCCTTTCCTTAACTATGCTCCCTCTAGTGAAGTACCTTACAGCTTGTCATGAATATCAGTATTCCAGTAGAGGGAGAACAGTGGAAAGAGTAAATTGAATTCATCAGCTTAGTGGCTGGAATTCATAGCAATCAAGTGCAAAATTAGGAATAATAAGGAAAGTTGCAAGAGTGAGGACTTAAAAGATAAGACATAAATAGCTTTTTGAAAACTCAACCTGTACACATACTCATTCTATAGTAAAATGCATCATTTGCTAAACATCTCAAACCCTTAAATTTTTGGATTGTTTTCTTAATCATATGTTTGCATGTACATATGAACTCTCCCAAAGAAACATTCACCAGTAATAGCAAATTGCTTGAAAAGAGAAGAAAATTTGAAAATACACATATAAAAGGTAATAATAAATTATAATATAAAAGGTAATTAGTAATGCCCAGTGTTTCTAGGGATTTAAAACTGGCTTGTAATTTTATGACGAACTTGATTTGAAATGTTGATTTAAAGTCTTTCGGCTGAGGAATTTTTTACAAATAGAAAGTTTCAAGTTATAGAAAAGGAATGGAGGCCAGGCGTGATGGTCTGATGCCTGTAATCCCAGCACTTTGGGGGACCAAGGCTCAGGTGTTGGAGACCAGTCTGGGCAACACAGTGAGGCATAGTCTCTACTGAAAAAAAAAAAAAAAATACAGCCAGGCATGCAGGCATGTGTCTATAGTCCCAGCTACTCGGGAGGCTGAGGGGGAGGACTGCTTAAGTTTGGGAGATTGAGGCTGCAGTGAACTGAGATCGTGCCACTGTACTCCAGCCTGGATGACAGAACAAGACCCTGTTACAAAAAAAAAAAAAAAAAAAAAGACAAGGAATGGAAAAGTTGGACCAATATTCAGCTATAAAAGGAAGTCGACTGTATAGAGTTCTAGTGTACTGCGTCAGCTACCATAAAATGCAGGTTAAACACATTGTTAAACGTAATTTCCCATGTACCTTTGTACTGACAATGCTGTAAATATCACCATTTTTGGGGGCTCAGCCATTAAGAGCGTGGGTTCTAGGGCCTATCTGCCCAGGCTGAATCCCACTTCTACCACTACGAGCTGTGTAACTCTGGGGAAATCACTTAGCCTCTCTGTGCATATTTCTACATCTATAAAATGAGTAAAACAAGAGTAACTACTTTATGAAGAACATTAAGAAATTTACAGTGCAAAAAAGCACACTGTGTCAGCTATTACTATTAGCACCATGCTTGTCACATAGTAAGCCCTAATTCTAATCTATGTACGCTATACTATCAGACCAATCTTGCTGAATTATGGCTTTAGCCATGTTAGTGATTGCTCTAACATTTTTAGGGGCTCCCCACTGACGGATAAAATAAATAAAAACTTCTCTCCTAGCATTCAAGGTCCTCTACAGTTTGCCCTTGCCTCAGCTCCACCACTTCTACACTGTTCAGTTGCCTCCTGCAGGTAGTCTATGGTCTAGCCCAAATGACAAATTCAGAACTTCAAACATGCCCCCACCCCAACCCCATCCAACTCCCAGTTCCCAAGCCTTTGCTCATATAGGACACTCCATCTTTAACAGTTTCCCTCCCTTGGCAGAAATCCTGCTGTTCAATCAAAGTTCTTCCACAAATTCCATTTCTTTAACAAACTCTTTCCTGAACCCTCTCACTAAGCACATACATGGGAACTCATCCCCACCTCTATATCACAGGACTTCATGGATTCAGAGTTAAGAGTATATGCTCTGAAATCAAGGTGACAATGAGACATACATTTAGTCTCCCAGAGATCAACAGTTTGCATTCCCAACATAAGGGTGTTATTTAGAACCTGGAACCCACTTTCCCACAAACCATAAGACGAGTTGTAACCATGTCTCCAAATTGGTCAGCAAAATGCCTTTGGGGTGAAACCTAGGACGAACAATGCAGGTGTGTTAGTATAAGAGGGAAGGAACAACACAAATGCTTCTTCCTCCTTTCCTCAGCCAAGGTCCAGCTCTAAGCAAAGCTATAGATCCAGCAAACATGACACCCTTGACTTTCCCACATTCTGTCTTTGCACCGTGATCCAGGAGCCTACCTGGGTTTGTACTGCTTCTCAAAAGACAGACTGTTCCACAAAAACTTGCACTCCCTTTCCACCTCCAAAGTAAAGCTCTCCTTTTCTTGGTAGAGGTAAAGGCCTGCAGATTTAACTATTTTTCACTAATGTGTATGAATGACTATGAATGAATACAGTTACCTGTCCTCCTCTCCTCCCAAGTACACATTCAAAGAAATATAAAGGGTAAGACCTTACCCCAGATGACTTCTAGGTGTACTGGTTCATAAACCTTTCTTCCTAGAAACACACAATTACTAACCACACTCTTATGGCCATTCTGATTTTAAATGACATCATCTATGGCTCAAGACAAATATTTATTTTCACCAATTTAATCTTTTATTTTAACCAATATTCTCTTTTGATAAACATAAAATTTTCAAGACCTGGAGACCTTGATCCTCTGTCCACTTCCTACTATGCCCCCACGTCTACATCAAGGTGTTCTAAGTGAAGGAACTTCAGGAGTAGAAAAGGGGAACCAAAACAAAATTGCTCCTGGTGAGAAATCTGCCTTTCCTGCCTTCCAGAGCTTGCTCCATCTCTTCAGAAAACCGGTATTTTCAAAAAGCATGAGGATTTTTCCAAATGGTTTCTGGGGCAGTGGCAGCAAAGCAGCAATCACAAGCGGGCAATTAGTGGGTTGGAATCTGACTTACCAGGTATTTCTTTTTAAAAACAGAGCCAAGGCCGGGTGCGGTGGCTCACACTTGTAATCCCAGCACTTTGGGAGGCCGAGGCAGGCAGATCACGAGGTCAGGAGATCGAGACCATCCTGGCCAACATGGTGAAACCCCGTCTTTACTGTAAATACAATAATTAGCTGGGCGTGGTGGCACGTGCCTGTAATCCCAGCTACTCAGGCGGCTGAGGCAGGAGAATCTCTTGAACTAGGGAGTCAGAGGTTGCAGTGAGCCCAGATTGTGCCACTGCACTCCAGTCTGGCGACAGAATAAGACTCCGTCTCAAAAAAAAATTAAATTAAATTAAATTAAAAAAGAATGAAAACAGAGCCAAATGGGTAAATTGAACTTCATCAAAATTAAACTTCTGTGCTTCAAAGGATGCCATCAAGAAAATGAAAACCCACAGAACCTACACATTTTTGCAAATCATTTATCTGATAAGGGACTTGAACTAGAATGTAGAAAAGAAAGAACGCAGCCCAGTAAATTAACAACAACAACAAAAAAAGAAGGTCAATATCATTAGTCATTAGGGAAATGCAAATCTAAATCAGAGATACCACCTCTCACCCACTAGGATGGCTGTAATAAACAACAACAAAAGAACAGAAAATGAAGAGTGTTAGCAAGGATATGAAAAAACTGGAATCCTCATACATTGCTGGCAGGAATGTAAAACAGTGCAGCCATTGTGGAAAACAGTGGTAGTTACTTAAAAGGTTAAACACAGAATTAGCATATGATCCAGCAATTCCACTTCTAGGTATACACTCAAAAGAACTGAAAGCAGAGACTCAGATACCTGAGCACTAATATTCATTAGCAGTGTAATTCCTAAAAGCCAAAAGGTGGAAACAACCCATATGTACATCAACAAATGAATAAACAAATTGTGATATATCTCTACAAAGAATATTATTGCCAGGTGCAGTGGCTCACACCTATAATCCCAGCACTTTGGGAGGCCAAGCCAGGCAAATCACGAGGTCAGGAGTTCAAGACCAGCCTGGCCAAGATAGTGAAACCCATCTCTCCTGAAAACACAAAAAAATTAGCTGGGCATGGTGGTGCACGCCTATAATCCCAGCTGCCTGGGAGGCTGAGGCAGGAGAATCGCTTGAACCTGGCGGGGGAGTGGGGGGGGCTTGTGGTGAGCCAAGATTGTGCCACTGCACTCCAGCCTGGGCAACAGAGTGAGACTCCATCTCAAAAAAAAAAAAAAAAATTATTCAGCCATAAAATGAAGCACTGATACATGCTCCAACATGAATAAATCTTAAAAACATTATGCTAAATGAAAGAAGACAAATAGGTCACATATTATTTGATTTCATTTAGGTGAATTAGCCAGAATAGGCAAATCCATACAGACAGAGAGCAGATTAGTGGTTTCCAGAGGCTGAAGGAAGAGAAGATGGAGAGTGACTGCTTAGGAATGCGATGGGGTCTCCAATGTGGGTGCTAAAAATGTTTTTGACCTAGATAGAAGAAACAGTTATACAATCAATACTGTGAATACACTAAAAACCATTAAATGTACAGTTTAAAGGGGTAAATTTATGGCATTTGAATTACATCTCAATAAAGCTATTTTTTAAGCCAACATTAAAACTTGGAAAATTTCACAAAAAATTCCAGATTGACTTATCTTGAAAAAATCCTAAGTAAAATCTGACACCACCAGCCACAGCATTCCTCATAGGAACATGAGTTGGAGATGAAGCTGGTCCTGGAACCCATCTCTGCCACCACCTAACTCTGGACGTTGGCAGGATAATTTTTTCATCTGTACCTCAGTTAGCTCCTCTGCAAAAGGAAGATAACAATAATATCTACCTCATCAGCTTATGAAGAGTCAATAAATTAATATGTTCAGAATAGTGCCTGGCACATATTAAGTGCTCAGTGTGTTAGCTACTTTCACATTTTATAACAATTCATTCTCTAATAGAGGTATGTGGCCGTTACTTTTCAACTTTTTGTTTGTTTTTACAAATAAAATAGCATATAATGTAATGGTCCAAACGAAAGAAGTGCAATGACAGCCAAGATAAACATTTTCTAAAGAAACATGCAAAAAATACTATGAATCATATGTGCCTTTTTTTTTTTTTTTTTTTTTTTGAGACGGAGTCTTGCTCTGTTGCCCAGGCTGGAGTGCAGTGGCGCAATCTTGGCTCACTGCAAGCTCCACCTCCTGAGTTCACGCCATTCTCCTGCCTCAGCCTCCGGGGTAGGTGGGACTACAGGCCCAAGCTCGGCTAATTTTTTTGTATTTTTAATAGAGACGGGGTTTCACCATGTTAGCCAGGATAGTCTCAATCTCCTGACCTCGTGATCCTCCCGCCTCGGCCTCCCAAAGTGCCGGAATTACAGGCGTGAGCCACCGTGCCCGGCCCACATGTGCCTATTTTTGTGAAAAAGTGGTGATGATGATGATGATGATGATGATGATAAGTCTATGCAAAAAACAATCTAGATAACTCTAGATTTACCATATGAGAAGCAAGGAGTTAAAGAATTAAAGATGCTTTAATTCTTTAAACTTAAAGGAACTTTTTATTAGCATATATATTTATATAATGTTTAGATTTTTTATCAACATAGTTTTATATTCAGGATGATTATTTTAAAAGATGATTATCCTTTTATAAAGATTTTTTTTTGAAGAAGAAACTCTAAACTAATATTGAAACTTTTGTGAGATTGTCACAAAACTCTGTTAGGTGAGTGGCAACGGCATGGACTGATAAAACTACAAGTCACTTCCTTTGCTTGAAACTTCATCTTTAGCTGGGATTCCCAGAGCACCAACCTCTCTTGAGTTTCCTTCTTCCTCATGGAGTATATGGTGCTATATTTATAGCTGCTAAACTCCTTAGCCAGTCAATATCTTTCAATATCTAGCCAAACCTTTTCCCACCCTTAGCATCCACCGCTCCCCCTTACAAAGACTCCACTCTAGCTAAACCACCTTCTCATGTCCAAGACATAAAGTACACATTTCTGAAAGTCTTTCTAAATGCCATTATTTTTTAAATACAACTCACATAACTGAAATTCACCATTTTCACCATTTTATTATTTATTTACTTTGAGACAGGGTCTCGCTCTGTTGCCCAGGCTCAAGTGCAATCCAGCTGGTGCAATCACGGCTCACTGCACCCTCAACCTCCAAGACTCCAGTGATCCTCTCACCTCAGCTCCCAAGTAGCTGAGACTACAAGCGCATGCCACCACGGCTAGCTAATTTTTGTACTTTTTTTATAGAGACGGGGTTTCAAATGTTGCCCAGGCTGGTCTCAAACTCCTGGACTCAAGTAGTCTTTCTGCTTCGCCCTCCCTAAGTGCTGGATTTACAGGTATGAGCCACTGCAACTGGCCTTTAACCATTTTAAGTGTGCAATTTGATGACATTTAGTACATTCACAGTGTAGTACAACCAACATTACTATCTAGTTCCAGAACATTTTCATCACTCCAAAAGGAAACCCTGTATTCATCAAGCAATCACTGCCCACATTCCCTCCCCAACCCCCGAAAACCACATCTGCTTTCTGTCTCTATGGATTTGCCTATTCTGAATATTAAATGAAACCACATAATATGTGGTCTTTGTGTTTGGTTTCCTTCATTTAATAAAACATTTTCAAGGTTTATCCATGTTGGAACATGTTATCAATACTTCCTTCTTTTTTATGGCTAAATAATATTCCACTGTGTTATACACACACACAATGGAATACTATTCAATCTTTAAAAAGAAGGCAATCCAGCCAGATATGGTAGCTCACAACTGTAATCCAAGCACTCTGGAGGGAAGGCCAAGGTGGGAGAAACACTTGAGGCCAGGGTTCAGGAGTTCCAGACTAGCCTAGGACACATAGCGAGACCCCTATCTCTATTTTTGTTTTTTTTTAAAGAGAACTCCTGTCATTTGCAGCAACATAGATGAACCTGGAGGATATTATGTTAAGTGAAATCAGCCAGGCCCAGAAAGACAAACAGCACACAATCTCACTTATATGTGGAATCTTAAAAAGTTGAATTCATAGAAGTAGAGAATAGAATGGTGGTTACCAGAGGATAGAGGTGAGGGGTTTAGGGAAAGTTAGTCAAAAGGTACAAAATTTCAGTTAGGAAGAATGAGTTCAAGAACTCAGCTGCAAAACATGCTTACTATAGTTAATAACAATGTATTGTATTCTTGCAAATTGCAAAGAGACTAGATAAAGGTTCTCACAACCAAAACATAAGTATGAGAAGTAATGCCTACGTTAATTAGCTATTAAATTAGTTAATTTAAGCCATTCCACAATGAATACATATTTTAAAAGAATACATTGTACATGATAAACATATCCAATTTTTACTTGTTAATTAAGAAAAAAAGGTAAGTGCCAATTCAATGGCAGGGATATTTGTCCTTTCGATTTACTAATTTATCCCCAGTGACCATAAGAGAACATAGCACATAGGTTGGCACCCAATAAATGTTTGTTGAATGAACAGATATCGGGCCTACAATCTGCTGCTGAGAAGGGATTGCCACATTAGATGGATCATGGACCGGATGGTTTCTCACAGTTCCACCTGGCTCACTTTATTCCCCTCTCTGGTCTCTCTGGCCTCTACAGACTTTTGAACTTGTGCCTCCTCTTCTTTCTCTGCTTCTTGGTCACTTACTTCCTGGCATCATATTAATCTTTTCATTGGTATAATATTCAAAAAAGCATTAGGTCATCACTGCAGTCCATGTAAATCACCTCCTATTCTTCTCCTTTTCCTCCCAGGGACAATCCCCATGCACACAGTAGAAACTCCATAAACAGGCACTAAAGAGCTCCTCTGGCATTCTGCCAAACATGTTTCCTCTTAACTTCTCCCCATACCCCTCCATTGTCAGTGATTGGACACCACACAGGAAAGCCTGTTTCTCTCTTCTCTGGCACCTTGCAGACATGATACAATGAACAACATTCAACGTGATGACTTCAACGATCACTGAAAGACATCTCTGCATTATGGCCCTTCAGCTTTAGTCCAGAACATTTTAAGAGGCTGTTTTTAAGGTGGAGACTTCATAGCTCCCCAAACTCTTGTTCTTTCAAACATCTCAACAGTACTAAAACACTTTTTGTGAAGTTGTTTCAGATTGGTAATGGTAAAAATATTATCTTTTACGTGTTGTCTGAAATGCTACCATTTTTGCTACAGTTGCCTAAAACCTGATTGTGGCATCACATTTGTTGCCTAAGTATGTAAGATAGTTGATTCCAGAGGCTGAAACTCCTTTCGTCTTCCTTGTTTCGATTCTGTTGTTTCAGTCTTTAATGACTCATCTTAAACTGCACCTTAACTTAAAGGTTATCTCATTCCTTTCAGAAGTAGGAGAATAATTTTGTTGTTGTTGTTGTTGCTTGTTTTTTAACATGGGGTCTTGCTGCCGCTGGGGCTGGTGTGCAGCAGCATCATCATGGCTAACTGCCGCCTCAAGCTCTTGAGCTCAAACCATCCTCCTGCTGCAGCCTCCTGAGTAGCTGGGACTATACACATGCACCACTGTGCTTGACTAATTTTTTAAATTTTTTTTAGGCCGGGCGCAGTGGCTCACGCGTGTAATCCCAGCACTTTGGGAGGCCGAGGAGGGCAGATCGCGAAGTCAGGAGATCGAGACCATCTTGGCTAACACGGCGAAACCCCGTGTCTACTAAAAATACAAAAACAAAATTAGCCGGGCGTGGCGGCAGGCGCCTGTAGTCCCAGCTAGTCGGGAGGCTGAGGCGGCAGAATTGCGTGAACCCAGGAGGCGGAGCTTGCAGTGAGCCGAGATGGCGCCACTGCACTCCAGCCTGGGCGACAGAGCAAGAAAAGGTCTCAAAAAAAAGAAAAAAAAAATTTCTAGAGTTGGGGGTGTAGCTATGTTGGCCAGACTGGTCTCAAACTCCAGAGCTCAAGCAATCCTTCCACCTCAGCCTCCCAAAGTACTGGGATTACAGGTGTGAGCCACTGTACTCAGCCCTTTTTGTTTTTTTAAATCAAAATTCCTCCAGGAATTTCCTGCTTCATATTATGTGAAACTTCACCACTATCCTCCCAAAACAGTAAATGTACAATGGTGGACATGCAGTGAGAAACAACATTAATGTGCCAGGCGTTGGTGGCTCATGCCTGAAATCCCACCACTTTGGGAGGTCAAGGCGGGTGGATCACTTGAGGTCAGGGGTTCGAGACCAGTCTGGCCAACATAGCAAAACTCCATCTCTACTAAAATACAAAAATTAGCCAGGTGTAGTGGTGCACACCTGTAGTCCCAACTACTCAGGAGGCTGAGGCACAAAAATCACTTGAACCTAGGAGGTGGAGGTTGCAGTGAGCCACGATCATGCCACTACACTCCAGCCTGGGTAACAGAGTGAGACTCTGTCTCAAAAAAAGAAAAAAAAAAAGACACTCCATTAATGATGGCTGCTATTTTTGTAATGATCAGAGACTACTCATTACCACAGAGCTGTCTGTCAGCCTGGGCAAAGGCAATGGGCCCAGAAAGTGTTCCTGAAGAACGCTTGCCTGTTTTACAGTCTTGCTGATGATCTTCCCTGCCCTAAGCAGCTGGGTCTACATTACATGGAAAGACAAGAAAACAGGAGCTGGGGGAATGGTGCTGGAAAGAAACAAGAGCACACTTTTGGATAACTTCCAGAAAAAAGTGGGTATAGACTGGGAAAGAAGGAGGATTCTATAACTAAAGTCTTCCTGCAATTTTAACAAATTTGGAGGGGATGTTATTTAGTAGTTTTTGTGTTGAGAAACAAATACCTAATAATATCATACTCCTAAACTCATTGTCATTTTATTTTTCTAAGATCATATTCAGGATTACATTTAACATTTGAGATCTTACACAGATGCCTTAAAATAAACTATCATCCTTTGGTAAAACTCAAACTCTATTATAACTGGAAGCATTATATTTATTCAACTGTGTTTGCGATATCAGAACAGCCAGTTACCTTTTCTTTGGAGGGTAGGCCAAAAATCCTGATCAATTTACCAATGGATCTTCATCTGCTGCAATTGTGAAAGCTCGTTCGTCTTAATTCTGTTCAGATCTGCAAAAACAGAAAAAAGGCAAATGGATGAAACAGTGGATGGACAAAGCTAATCAGAAACATACAATCTCATTGGTTGCCAGATATTCCAAAATTATATGTGCTTTGAGATGTCAAACTGTTAAATTTCAAGACATTTTACCAATTTTACTACAAATGTGATTTTTTTTTTTTTTTACAATGAACTTAATTGGCTATAGTTACAATAAACCAAGAACAAATGACTATTCAATATGTACACAGAGTTAGCCTCCTGGGGCTTAAAATCATTGTATATAATTTGCACTAATGAGTTTCCACTTAATTTTTAAAATGGCGATTCAGAAAGCCTGCTCCTATGAAACTTGTCAAATCACAGATTTTAAAAACACAGATTGAATGAGATTATTATCTGGAGAGCTCAAGCTGTCGTTCTTTATCATTTCAGCAGTTTATAAAAGCAATTTTTAATACTTCAACAGGTAACAATTCAATTAAACCATCTTATTAAAAAGCACAAGGAAACTATGTGCTCCATTATCTTCATAGTTGTGTGCATATATTTCAGGTAAAATGTGGTAACTTTTTAATTAATTTGTGGAGGAGCAATGAGTTAAGGAGTCAATAAATTACAGATTAACAAACCAAAGTTAGAAAATAAGCTGGTCTTCAAATCTCACATGCAGCAGAAGAGAAAAAGCGACAAATATGGGCAATGACACAGCTATCGGGCAGATGTTGTCAAGGTATAAAGCACAAGACAGGCTGAGCTCACATGAAAAATTCACTACTCATATACTTCTCTCCCTATAATTCTCACTGGCTATAAAGCAAGATGTGGAGGAGGTAATAGTGCTTTGCTCAACTTTTATTTATTTTCATGTACTCTAAGATGGTAACCAAATATTCCTATGGCCTGAGATCCTAAGATACAAATAAAGCATCTCTGAAAATCAGTGGCTGAAATTATATGCCATGTTTTGAACATTTACTCATAATTATCTTTATTAGGTTTTAAGTTATTCCCAGGTCATACTGCTTCCCTCTCCCTTTTTAAAAGTGTCAATTTTATTCACTCAAAATGCTATTCAGTAATGCTTAAAATCATTCTCACAATCTTTATAAACCAGATGTTTCTCTTCAGATTTCTAATTCCTTCCCAGTCTCCTTTCTTTTAAAAAATTTCTCTGATTTCCATTTTAGTGCTCCTTTTCTGCCTTACTTCCAATAAAAGCTGTTTTCTTGTTCAACATGTCTGTCCTGAGCCAAAATGCATTTCTTTGAATCCTAAATACTTTATAGCTGTGCAAAAATCATTCAAAGCTAATTACAAATTGTCATGATAGAGACAGTCAATAAAGATGTTATGTTCATGATAAGCATTCACCACCCTGATGGTGATTCCTTCAGAGTAGACAGAAGGTGAAGGCAGAACAACACCAGCATCAGATTAGACTCTGCACTTGATCTTATTTCACTAGGTCAAGCCATTTTTCAATTTTCCATCTGGACACTGCTGCTATTTCTCCAAAGTATCCAAGGAAGTCATCAGATTCAGAATACTATGAAATCTCCTTCAGGATAGTTTTGGTTTTAAAAGAATTCATCACTTACTAGTCACATACTGTAAAAATGCTTTATAGGAAATCCAATTCTTAGAGAAAAATGATAGTTGCAGTTACTAAAAATAAACATTTAAAAACAGAAACTTCTCTACTTAGAATAGGGGTCAAGAGCCTTTCTTTAGTATGGGAAAAAACCTATTACATGCTTGTATGTTTTCTCTCATTTGATCTTCCAATAACCCTGTGTTCAAAAGAGCTGTTACTATGATCTCCATTTTACTACTGAAGAAACAGATTGAGGAAGGTCATAATTTGCTCAAGATTACCTAGCCAACAAGTGGTGTGAAACTGTAACTAGAATCCGGGCCTTTGGTGATATTTAGTTCCCTTTCCAGTACACCAAACTGCCTCAATGGCAACTTAATTTTGTTTTGCAAAGAGAAATAGTTAAAAAGAAATCATTTTAAATAGACTTGGAAAATTTTCTTAGAATCATTAAACTTGATACCTTTTATTCATGCAACAACTACTTTGTAATAAGCATTCAATAAATATAATTTTAAAAAAGATGTATTTAAATGATGGCCAGTTAGCAGTGGGAGAGAAAGAAAGAAGACCTAACTTGAAGCATAAATTTATTTACTTTTTTTTTTAAGGGGGAGGGAGATTATAGAAGATATCTTTATCCTACAGGAGCTCCCTAGCCTATGTTGACCCTTTTTTCTAAGCACTAAGTAATTCTCAACTCCATGCCAAGTCATACTTGTACTATGGGGCTACAAACTACTTACTCCCATCTTTGTCAAAGCTGGACACACGACACAAACTGAGACAGTCAATGTGTTCTTCTTAGAACGAGAAATTGAGATGAAGAGGGTCTAGTTTGGTGGAGGCTGCAAGCTACCTCTAAGTGCTCTCTCAGTCTATAGGAAAAAGACAGTCAGCAAAGAGAGAATGAAAGAATGAATGTGCTGCTCAGAGTGAATCTGACCCAAGAGGCCACTTATCTCCCGTTTCCCCCAGGAGAAAAAACAAGAAAGAGAGAGAGAGACACAGAGAGAGAGAGAGAGACAGAGAAACAAGAGAGAGACAGAAAAGAGAGAAAGAGAGAGAGAGAGAAAAGGAGAAAGGAAGAAAGGAAGGAAGAAAGAAAGAAAGAGAGAGAGAATCTCTGCCTGGGAGTGTTCTTGGGCTTTCCTGTTACTGCCATAGCCCCTGAGTGGCCCAAAGCACTTCCTTCCCTAGGTTCCCTAGGGTTCTAAGAATCCCCTGGCATCTAGGGTAAGTGCCCCCGCCCCCACCTTTTAATGAGCTTATTTTTTGGAACTGATTTGTGATAACTGCAACAAAAAATGATCTTGTCCAAGATAGTAAAAAAACGTATTTTAAAAGTAGAGCTATCACCAGAATGTGTTATAAAAGAATATACTGCAGAAGGCCGAAGGGTTCAGAAACACCCCATCATTCCTTTTAAACAGAGAAAAGCCTACAATGCTACATGGGCAGTGTTATATTGGCTTTTACAGGGAAAATGGCTTATTTTCTAGGAGTAACATTTCTGTGTTCTGTTAAGATTCAGAACTTTGTTGCAATTTAAGGCATAATCTGAATCACCTCGTTATGTCATCCAGTGTGTCAAAATTAAGCACAAACCTACTAATCACAATAAACGAAAGAAAAAAGGCTAAACCAAGTCAGTCTTGTTTTTAACAGTATAAACTTAAATTCTTAACTTCTAGGCAAAATCGCCAAGCTTTAACGTGAGACTGCCACCCTAGGTTCTTGGAGAGGGCATAACAGGGAAGAAAAGGAGCCAGAGAAATTAGTCCTACAAGGAAAGCACAAAGAGTTGTGATCTTATAAATTCAGAGCTTGTTGGGGGAGGAGGAGGAGGGAGAGAAAACAACAACAAAAAAAACAACCTGAAACCTTGAAGGCTGACTCCAATCTCTCCATTCTAGATATGTAAAGACTGAAAACCAAGAGAGATTTATCTCAGCTGGTTTATTTATTCAATAAAAATATGTTGAGGCTGGGGCACAGTGGCTCATGCTTGTAATCCTAGCACTTTGGGAGGCCAAAGCAGGAGGACTGCTTAAGTCCAGGAGTTCAAGACTGCTTGAGGAAGGGTGAGACGCCGTCTCTACAGAAAATTTTTAAAAACTAGCCAGGCATGGTGGTGCATGCCTGTAGTCCCAGTTCCTCAGGAGGCTTAGGCAGGAGGATCACTTGAGCCTGGGAAGCTGAGGCTGCAGTGAACCATGATCATGCAACTGTACTCCAGCCTGGGGCAAAAGAATGAGACTCTAACTCAAAAACAAAACAAAACACATTGAGAATGTGCTCCATGCCAAGTACTGTGTCTGGCACTAGAATTGGCAGTGTTATTCAGCTGAGCCACCTAACTCCTAGGCTGTGCATTTTTCTCTCCATCTTGATACTCACTGCAAATGGAAAAGTCCACAGGCCTAAAATAGCCCACTTTTTTGTTTTCCATGGTGATCTTGGGGAAAACAATATGACTTTGTTGTTAATATTTAAAAGGCTGGAAGATTCATATAAAATTCCAAACTCCTGGTTTCTCTGGGAAAAATCTAAAAATCTGGCCACAGGGGCCAACTTTCCTGGAGGGGGATAACTGAATGAAGCTGTGTTGGGAGCTGCCCTTTGTCATTTGGCATGTAATTTCCAAAGTACTCAGCTGGCTGCATCACTTATTTTCCTTTCAGACCTGTCTCCTGTAGGTAGCCATGCTTGTGTCCCCAAAACTATACTGTCTTCCTAATCTTTTCTTCCAAATGAAAATCGACCACCCAAACCCAAATTTCTTAAGCAGGTTACAAAAATGTTTAAACCAAGTTATATATAAACTGCAGTCATATTCTCCAGAAATACAAATTAATATGGCATCTAGTTTACTCCCTCTCTTTGGACCCCAGTTCCACCTTGCTTTCACTCTCACAGGCTTTCTCCTTGGCAAAGCAAATTTAAGAATGAAACTCTATACACAACCTCTTTTTTCAATGGTGCTACTGTATTCCCCTCTTCAAGGGTTAGAGAGTTTTTCTACCTGCTGAGCTACAGCCACTGCTCAGAGTTACTCCACTGAAGATCAAGTCAATGTGAAAACACACAAGTGGAGAGGGAGCCAAGGCCAATTGTGAGGAAGGGCTCCAGTAACTCTGGCCTGGGTTTCTTGAGTACATTTCAGCCACTGCAGTCAGTCCTAGGGCTTTCTCAACACTTCGTAGAACGCCTCATGTGGAGTCTTATTTTTAAAGGAGCCTCCATTTTCTAACAGCTTCTATTAGTATATACCTACACAATGTTCAGTCCCTCTGCTCTCTCCAAATATGTTCAATATAGCCATCCTTCACTCTTTTGCCATTTCAGGACACACAGTTCTCCCATCTTGAGCCTATCTCTCCCAGGCTTCACTGAGGTTAACTAGGTTCCCTCTTCTTTTAGCAAAGAAAGGTCAGCAAGGCATTTTTCTATCCATTATTTGTGACTACAGGGCACCATTTCACCATTAGCTAAAAGTAAAATATAAAATTCCCAGTAATTCTCCAATTTGTCATTGTGCAAAACCCTGATCAAGTCAGTAGATTTGAAAGTCAATTTATAAAAGCACATGACAATAATAATAGTAGTAGTAGCTGACATTTACTGAACACTTACCATGCGCCCAGTAATAAAAAGTAAGCCTTTTACATGCATCATTTCACTTAGACCTCCCATCTATAACACAGGAACTCTTTCTGTGCTCCTTTATCAGAAAATTGAGGCTTGTGAGATGAGGCCAATAAAAGCTGAGGTAGTGCATGTTAGAGTTGAGCTTAAAACCATTCCCTCCACTGCAATACACCACAATTCCCACCTGTTTCTCCACACCTGTTGTTCATGCCTCCTTGAACTCCTTTCTTACTTTCCAAGTAACTCACATCTAGACTTCAAAACCCAGCTCAGATGAAACCTCATCAGGTCATCATGCCTACTGCCCTAGGTGGGCTTCCTGGAGGCTGGGTCTGCAACATTTCATTCTTGTATCCCTAGGGCCCAATGTTGTTAAGTGTTAATAAATGCCTGATGAATTGAATTGGATAAAATGGAACCACAGGTCCTGACGGCTACCCAGCCACTCAGGTTAATATGTGCCTGGAGTGGGATGCTATTGCCTTGCTAAGAACCCGCAATTAGGCCAGTGGAATAAAGAGCTGCTCTGGCATTTACCTTCACTCTCACCAGGCAAACTCACCTATAGACATCAATGCTAAGGAAGGGAGAAGGAGGGATAAGAGGCAAATTAAAGTCCAGTACTCCGGTTGACAGGAGTTGGGGTGTGTGTGTGTGTGTGTGGGTGTGTGTGTGTGTGTGTGTGTGTGTGAAGGAGCGATAAGAGGCAAATTAAAGTCCAGTACTCCTGTTGACAGGAGTTGGCGGGTGTGTGTGTGTGTGTGTGTGTGTGTGTGTGTGTGTGGTAGAGGTGTCTTTAAAGTTGACTGGGAGGAGGAAAGCCTGGGGAACAGAGAGAGTTTGTTCCCCAATAGTCTACCAGGGGAACGTTAATCTCCTATGACTGGCCTGGGGTTACAAAATTCTAAAATTCATATATGTGTCCTCAGTCAAGTCATTCTTTGCTAGTCTAGCATGGTCCCTTAGGATAGATGTTAAATAAATGAACAGCTAGCACGCGTTTTACTCTGAGGCCATACTTATCAACACTACCAATAAGAACAATTTTCGCTGAGTGCTTAACTTGGATCAGACCCTCTGCTAAACTCTGTACATGCACTGTCTTGTTTAATCTTCACCACAGCCCTACAAAGAATACTTGTAAGTGAGGAAATGCAGGTCTGTAACAGATAAATGGCTTCCCAAAGGTCACTTACCAAATGACTGACAGTAAGGGCAGTGGCTAGTGGGATAAATGTAGTTTTCATTAATAATGCTCGTACAGTTTTTAATTATTCTACCCACCTCTTTAAATATTACCTCCTAAATACAGGCTGAGCAGCACACAACAAATTTCACTCTTCTCTAAAAGATCCAGGGAAAATGCTTCCACTTCTACTAAGCCTTTGTAAATACTATTTGTGATAGAGATCGCCAATAGTCACCTATATTTACATTCTCTGCCTGAGCACATAGTTTGCCTAAATTTCCCAATATTCATTGCAGTAAGGTAGAGACATGTGACTGAATCCAAAATGTGAACAAAAATGTTGTGTAAGCCAGGTGTGATGGCTCACGCCTGTAATCCCAGCACCTTGGGAGGCTGAGGAGGGAGGATCCCTTGAGGCCAGGAGTTCGAGATCAGCCTAGGCAACACAGCGAGACTCCATCTCTATGAAAATTAAAATAAATAATTAGCCAGGTGTGGTGTCTCACACCTGTAGTCCCAGCTACTTGGGAGGCTGAGGCAGGAGGATCACTTGAGCCCAGGAGTTCAAGGCTGCAGTGAGCTATGACTGTGCCACTGTACTTCAGCTAGTGCAAAAGAGCAAGACCCCATCTCTTAAAAAAAAAAAAGTGCTGGGGCCAGGTGCAGTCGCTCGTCGCTCACGCCTGTAATCCCAGCACTTTGGGAGGCTGAAGTGGGCAGATCACTGAGATCAGGAGTTCCAGACCAGCCTGGCCAACAAGGTGAAACCCCATCTCTACTCAAAATACAAAAATTAGCCAGGCGTGGTGCTGCGTGCCTGTAGTCCCAGCTTCTCAGGAGGCTGAGGCACAAGAATCACTTGAACCCGGGAGGTGGAGGTTGCAGTGAGCCGAGATGGTGCCACTGCACTCCAGCCTGGGTGACAGAGCAAGACTCTGTCTCAAAATAAACAAATAAATAAAATAAAATAAAATAAAATAAAAAAAGAAATGTTGGGTGCCACACTTCTGGGCTAGGCCCATACAAACCTCTCTGGCTTGAGCTTCAGTCTCTCCTACCCTCTGTTGGTCAAATGGAAAGGGCTCCAAGTACTTACAGGAGGGCAGAGCCACACAATTTCACTCCTGAATGACTGGGGGAATCAACACACTCTGAGCCTCCTTGCCAACACACTCTGAGCTTAAACAAGAAATAAACATTATATTGTGTTAAGGCACTGGGGTTTTGGGTCATTATAGCAGTTAGCCTACTCTTATAAAGTATTCTTACTATCGTCATAATTTTCATTACCAACAGCAACCGCTACAATTTATTGAAGGTATACTAAGTAGTAGGCATTATATTAAGTCTTTTATATACATTATTTTATTTACTTCTACGAGGTAGCAAAATCATACAGATAACAAAATCAAGGGTCAGAGATCAGTAATCATTTCCTCTTCTGAATATTAAAGCATTTACAATCTGAAAGATTTCAAAAATAATTATGTAATGCCCTGTTATACATGTTACATTGATGGGTTAAGCAGTTTAAGTCCTGTAGTTAGTTGATATTTTCCTTTAACTCAAAACTTGTTTCCCTCATTTGGATAAACAGCTAAGAGGAGAGGGGCTGGGTCTTACATGTCTAAATTCTGTATCATTTTACACACTGTCTCATGAATATACAAATTAATAGATATAATTATATTCTTTAAACCATTTCTCACAGGCATATATGCACTATGTCTCACTCTTTCTCTACTGTGTTTTGGTCAACAAACCCCTTGAGTAAATCTGACCAAGAAAATTGGCTTGCTACAAACAGTTGCTTAGGATGCTGTTTATTTCAGATCCATAACTTAATGAGTATCATTAATGAAATTTTTCAATACTGCAGTTACATGCATGAATGAACATAAACACTTAGCAAAGTGGCTGGCATATAGCTGATGGTCAATAAATGATTGTTTCCCTTCTCCTCTATCCCAATAGCTACTTTAAGTACAATCATATGCTGCTTAAAGAAAACAAATGTGATCAAGGGAAAAATGTTAAGCTGGTAAGTAGAGGATGATTTTAATTACCAGGAATATTTTCCCAACTGGGAGGAAGACTATCTAAAATGTTAGGAGCTAGGGCCAAACAAAAATCATTTGCTAGTTGCAAGATTACCCTATTCATAAAAATCTGTCCTGACACAACCTCAGGAACATGAATTCTGGAGAAGCTGAGGAGCCAGTGCTTATTCACTGCCATGTGCTGCAGAATGGTATCCTGGGATTCACTTTCTATTTGCTCAGTGCTATAGGTTTGACCATGTGGCATTCCCTAGAGCCATGGTATCATTATTTGCAGCCAAACACTAACATGCCCTCCTATAGATCCTAGAATATTCTCCGTATTTTGTCAGAAAATAGTATACCAGCATCTGAAGATTTGATTTTTCTGAGGCTATTTCTAGCCCTTGCCTATCCATAGAACTCCATTTCCTACTTAAGACATTCAAAGAAGCTTAACATGATGCAGACACTTGATTTCGTATGGTGACATTCCACAATTCTGTGACATAAGCTTTGCATTAGTTAATTAATGTAAATATTTCAACTGCTGTTCATTTAAATATCATGTTCCAAAAAGTCTCTCTCCTTTGAAGATTTCAAGATGAAATGGAGTACAAATATGGTCAGTTACTTTATTTGGTATAAACATTGGGACTTCTTATTCCTGCTCTTCATCAATTGTAATATCTACTTTGTTGATAGGATGGACTTTTCCCAGGGTAATTTTCCCTTTAACATCAAGGTATCATCCTTAACAGCAGGCAATAAGGTTAATGCTATAATCAGCTATTACGTCGGCATATTCGACTTTAGCTGCTGTTCAAATATAGCAACACAGAGTATGGAACACCCAAGCTAGAAATATATGGTCTTAAAATTAGTGAATCAAACTCTGGGTAACAACTTTAAAAAAATAAATATTCGTTTAAAAATTTTATCATATTCTTTTAAAAATAAAATTCTTTTTAAAATGCTAAGTGAAAAAAGCCAATTTTAAAAGATCATATTTATGTAACATTCCCAAAATGACAAATTTAGAGTTGGAGAACCGATTAGCAGCTGCCAGGAGTTAGGGACTGTGAGGATAATAGGAATGAATGTGGCTATAAAGGGGTAGCACAAGGGAGATCTGTTTTTTTTAATTTTTATTTTTGATACGGAGTCTCGCTCTGTCGCCAGGCTGGAGTGCACTGGCACGATCTCGACTCACTGCAACCTCTGCCTCCCAGGTTCAAGCGATTCTCCTGCCTCAGCCTCCCGAGTAACTGGGATTATAGGCACTTGACACCACCCCCAGCTATTTTTGTATTTTTAGTAGAGACAGGGTTTCACCATGTTGGCCAGGATGGTCTCGATCTCTTGACCTCAAGATCCACCTGCCTCAGCCTTCCAAAGTGCTGGGATTATAGGCATGAGCCACTGCGCCCGACCAAGATCTTTTTAGTGATAGAATAGTTCTATATCTTGATTGTGGTAGTGATTACATGAAAATACACATGATAAGATGACACAGAACCATATATGTACTTTAAGCCAATGTCAATGTCCTGGTTTTAATACTGCACTATAGTTAAGACATAATAAATGGGAGAAACTGGGTGAAGAATAACCGAGACCTCTCTGGACCATCTTTGCAAATTCCTATAAATTTATAATTATCTCAAAATAAAAAGTTAAAAAATAGCCAAAACCATGTTGAATTATAAACATATTCCACAGAATAATCTATTCAATTCATATTATTAAATAATATCCAAGCCTCTGTAAAAATCTCTTATCATCTGACTTTCCATTTTGTACATAAAGCAACTACTGATTATCTTGATGGGAGAAGAAGGGAGTGAAAATAGAGGTTTTAGACTTGGTTTTGCTATCAGGATGCTTACTGTTCATAACACTGTCAGTAACAGAATATTCTGGCAGTCAATATCTGGGTATCTTACAAAGGAGTAGGTAGCACACAATATGTAAAAAATAAAAACACGTATTTAAAGTTTCCTTATATCCTAAAATCTGTAAGATTTTTCCATTAAAAAAAAAAAAAAAGAAGACAGAGGCTGAGGACAGCGATACACATCTGTAATCCCAGCACTTCGGGAAGCTGAGGCAGGTGGATCGTTTGAGACCTGCCTGGGCAACATGGTGAAACTCTGTCTCTACAAAAAAATACAAAAATTAGCTGGGTGTGGTGACACATGCCTGTAGTCCCTGCTACTTGGGAGACTGAGGTGGGAGGATCACTTGAGCCTGGGAGGTTGAGGCTGCAGTGAGCTGAGATAGTGCTACCATACTCCAGCCTGGGTGGCAGAGTGAGACCCTGTCTAGAAAAAATAATAAAATAAAATAAATAATAAAACAGAGATCCATCTAACAGATACTTTAAACATAATTTAAAAATGAAAAAATATTTTGAGGTTTCTATGTGCTAATCAAGATGTCACTGTGCTTATGTTTATACGTAATTTCCAAAATATATTATTAGACTTATGTGACTACGAAACAATAGACTTCTTAAAATGTATACATGGCAATAGTTTCTACACTTCAAACATCTCTCTGGCTAAATTAATACAAATTTTTGCAATGTGCCAATAATAAATAAGAGACAAAAAGAATTCCAGAAGCTGGGAGATGCAAATTAAACAAAGCCAGTGTAAGTCATTTCCACTAGGTTTCAGACAGAGATCTTTTATCACTGGTTGAAATATAACATTCTGGCACTACATCACAAACATGCCCCCTGATTCCCTGTATCTCACACCTAACGGGCTCAATACCAGTTCGTCATGACTCTGAATCTAAAGAGACATTGGCAGCACTTCATAAATACCTTCCTGTTCGCTCCTTTCTATGGTGATGCAATTTGACCTACATTTCCAGTGCCCATTGAAACTTCATGGGAGTGGGAAGATGAGAGTTTTTCATTTCTCCTACCCTCTGATTAACTAGGACAGCAAATGCCACTCAAGGGACTGCTACTGGGCAGAAGCAAAGGGGAAAAAAGTCATGCCAGTAGGAAATTCCACAGGAGGACATTTAGAAATACTGCATTCTCTGATTCTGCAAACAAACTGTCATGGCTTTATAAGACAACAGCAAGGAAGAACTGCCCCACTTTACACCATAATAAGACCAGAACACTAAGGACTATTTTATTTACCTCAGGCTCCCTACGGGATGAAAATTAAACTTGAACTATAGACTATTGTCCTTGCCATAGTCTTTTTTAAAAATAAACTTTCAATTTTGGGATGACTTTGAATTTACAGAAAAGTTGCAAAGATTATACAGAGAGTTCCTGTAAACCTGACACCTGGTTTTCCCTATTGTTAACCTCTTATGTAAGTATAGTATCTTTGTCACAGCTAATGAACCAATACCAACATGTGATTATTTATTTTCCTCCAGCTTTAAGGCATGAGTGACAAAATTGTACAGTGTAAATATGATCTTTTATGTATATATTATAAAATAATTAAATCAAGCTAATGAGCATATCTGTCACCTCATCTTTTGGGGGGTGAGAACATTTAAGATCTACTCTCAGCAATTTTCAAGTATACAGTATTATTAACTATAGTCACCATTACTGTGTAACAGATTCCTAGAACTCATTCATCCTAACTGAAACTTGTACTCTTTGATCAACATCTCCCCATTTCCCTCACCACTCCCCCAACTCCCAGCCTCTGGCAACCATTATTCTACTCTCTGCTTCTGTGGTTCAATGTTTTTAGATTCCACATGTAAGTGAGATTCCTGCAGTATTTGTCTTTCTGTGTCTGGCTTATTTCACTTAATATCCTCCAGGTTCACCCATGTTGTCAAAAATGAAAGGATTTCCTTCTTTTTTAAAGCTGAACAGTCTTACATTATTTGCATATATACACTGGATATCACATTTTCTTTTCCTTTTTTTGTTTGAGACCCAGTCTCGCTCTGGAGTATAGTGGCGTGATCCCAGCTCACTGCAAACTTCACCTCCCAGGTTGAAGCGATTCTCCTGGCTCAGCCTCTCAAGTAGCTGGGACTACAGGTGCATGCTACCATGCCCTGCTAATTTTTTGTATTTTTAGTAGAAATGGGGTTGCACCATGTTGGCCCGGCTAGGTTGAACTCCTGGTCTCAAATGATTCACCTACCTTGGCCTCCCAAAGTGCTGGGATTACAGGCATGAGCCACTGTGCCTGGCCTAAATATCACATTTTCTGTATCCATTCATCCATTGATGGATACCAAGATTGACTCCATATCTTGGCTATTGTGAATAATGCTGCAATGAACATGGGAGTGCAGATACCTCTGTGACATACTGATTTCCTTTGGATATATATGCAGAAGTAGGACTGATGGGTCATATAGTTCTTTTCTATTTTTAATTTTTTGAGAAACCTCCATACTGTTTTTCTTAATGGCTGTACTATAATTTACATCCCCACTACCAATGTACAAAGATTCCCTTTTCTCCACATACTAACCAATACTTGTTATCTTCTGTCTTTTTGAATAGCCATTCTAACAGGAGTGAGGTGATATCTCACTGTGGTTTTAACTTGCATGTCCCTGATGATTAGTGATATTGAGCATCTTTTCATATACCTGTTGGCCATCTGTACGTCTTGTCAATTCAGTTTCTTTCTCCTTTTTTAATTGGGTTATCTGTTTTGTTATTGAGTTCCTTATATATTTTAGATATCAACCCCTTATCAGATATATGGTTTGCAAATATTTTCTCCCATAGTGTTGATTGTCTTTTCACTCTGTTGACTATTTCCTTTGTTATACAGAAGCTGTTTTAGTTTGATGCAACCCCATTTTTCTATTTTTTGGTTACCTGTGCTTTTGGGGTGATATCCAAAAAGTCACTGCCCAGGCCAATGTCAGGAAGCTGTCTCTTTCCTCCCTTTTCATATTGCACTCTTTGGAAGGAAGTCACTAGGCACAGCTCAGACTTAAAAGATGGGCAGTGGGCTGGGCGTGGTGGCTCACAACTGTAATCCCAGCATTTTGGGAGGCTGAGGCAGGTGAATCGCTTGAGCCCAGGAGTTCAAGACCAGCTTGGGCAACATGGCAAAATCCCATCTCTATAAAAAATACAAAAAAAAAAAAAATTAGCTGGGCATGGTGGCACACACCTGTAGTTCCAGCTACTCGGAGGCTGAGGTGGGAAGACACCCTTGAGCCCAAGAGACAGAGGTTGCAGTGAGCTAAGATTGTGCCACTGCACTCCAGCCTGGGTGACAGATGGAGAACCTGATCCCCCCCAAAAAAATAAGAAAGAAAAAAAAAAAGATTGGCAGTGATGTTCCATCTCCTTGAGAGATGATTATCTGCATAAATCATTTGGAGTTCTTTTATATTAAAGATTTATCTATTCTCTCCCATTTGCTTATTTATCCAACCATTTATTTATACCAGTATGGCCTCATGGATATTTATGATTTTATATCACATATTATTTGTTTATATGTTTATATGAGCCTTTAAAAATATATATACTGTATATTTTATTTACATTTATTTTATATATTGGGTTACAATCTAATACTATGTTTTTTAGCTGCTCAAATTGTTCTAGGTTTGACCTTTGGGAGCTCTTTCAGTTGTCTCTTTGGTCCCTCTGACACACCCCATCATTGTGTGTGGAGAGAGAGAGAGTGAATGAGTGTGTGTGTGTGTGAGAGTATGTGTGTGTGTGTGTGTGTGTGTGTGTGTGTGTGTGTGCGCATGTTATTTTCTTACTTTCTGGAGCTAGAAGATACTACAGGCTCATATTGTTTATTCCCTGTCTCAGGCACAGAATCTCCTTTTAATGGAGAATGGTATTAGAAACCAAGATCTGGACACTGGGTCTTAATGTTTGACACTTTAAAATTTCTACATGAACTACTTCTATAGTAAATGAACAAAATTATCTCTTCAAGTATCTTCCTTTTGTGGCATAAAATAATAAATCACAAAAAGGATGCTTGGTAATCAATCAAGCTTGGTAATCAGGCTACCATCTGACTTTCAGGTTTGACAGGGTAAATAAATATCCTAATCAACCTCCCCCAGGAGAAAAAAATATTTTTTTTTCTGTTGTTGGGGGAAACAAGAAGAAATCTAGAATTAAATGCTACTTGTTTGCTATTCTATGCAATAAGGTATCCTATTTTCTCCCCTTAATACTAAATGATACTTCCTTGGTGTCAACTCTTAATTACCTGAGCTAAGGGTAAACAGAAATATCAATCAGATCTGGCTTTGAAATACACTCGTGATGACTTATGGCAGTTATACCTTCCTATTTATGTTTAAATAGAATAGTTACATAGGATTATTTAGGATAGTCACACCTATCTTATTTGCATATTTTAATGTTACAACTAGTTTGTTTTTTTTTTTAATTGGGAATAAATGAATCAGCTGAACACAAACACAGAGCCTGGAGCTTCTTGAGCAGCAGGGGTACCTAGTGGGAAGTGAACAGATTTCTAGAGATAACTAAATTGCCCAGACTGGAGTTAATCCCATGCAACACACACTGGACAATTCTTCACCTCAGCCTTCAACCAACCATTAACCTGCAATATTAACAAATGGACTATGCTAATAAAATCTCTGGTGACCTCAGACTTTTTTAAAGTCTGGGGCCAGGATCTAATACTGCTTTTCTCTATCTTTTTTTCACTTGGTCTGATTCAGATTTATATTCAATAAACATTTACTGAGCCTCTACTATCCACCAGGCAGCACACCATGCCTAGTGCTTCCAATTAATCCAATAATGAGAAAAAATTAAGGGCCCTGTTTCCATTTTTCCCTTCCAGCAGAACTGCTGAGGTTGATGGAAGGTAAGCCAAGCCTTTACAATGCTGAAGGCTCAACAAGTTTTGGTGTCCATGTCTATAGCTGTCTAATAACACCTTAGAAAGAAAAGACCTCAACCTTTATCTGTAAAATAGATACTGTATAATCAAACCTACTTCTCAGGAAGAATGCATGGAAAACACACTCCTGGCACACACCACGAGCTCTTTAAGTACTGGCTCATGTTCATATTATGCATTTCATCTATGTGTTCATCCTAAACACATCTAGGAAACACCAAAACTGCCTCACTAAGGTGTTCGTTGCCTTTTTTAATTGCCAGTTTTACTTTCTAAGATCCTAAAATCATGATCTTTAAAAATGTCAGCACCTATGTCCCAATCAACCTGTCTGATAAATAAACAACACATATTCATTTAAGAGGCCAGAGGTCAAGTTTGGTGGCTCACACCTGTAATCCCAGCACTTTGGGAGGCCAAGGCAGGTGAATTACCTTAAGACAGCCATTCAAGATCAGCCCGGCCAACATGGTGAAATCGGTCTCTACTAAAAATAAAAAAAAATTAGCTGGGCATGGTGGCACATGTCTACATTCCCAACTACTTGCGAGACTGAGACACGAGAATTGCTTGAACCTGTGAGGCGGAGGTTGCAGTGAGCCAAGATTGTGCCACTGCACTCCAGCCTGGGTGACAGAGAAGACTCCGACCCAAAAAAAAAAAAAAAAAAGAATCAAAGGCCAGAATGGATAGGTCATATTAAAAACAATAACCGTTAATGTTGCCTAAAAGTTCATTTTATACCATGCACTGTGTAAATGTTGCACGACAAGCTGACAAGATAGATATTTTAACTATCTCTAATTTCCAGATGAGAAACAGGCTAGAGAGGTGAAGTAACTTGTGTAAGGTTGCCATCCATCTGGGTTAGGGAATCTGTCCCCAAAGGAAAACAGTAACAGCAGCAGCAAAATTATACTGCTGCAACTAAACATAAAAATCCATTCCTCACCTCACAATGCTGGTTCCTTTTCAAACACTGTCACACTGGGTGCAGCAGAATGAAATTATTAGTTAAAATGTGTTCTTTGCTAGAGATGCAAACTGAGAGAAGGGCTTTGGATACTTCTGCCCCCAAGATGGACTCCAAATTGGGACTTCCTGCTTCCAAAGTATTTTCAACAAATAAAATCCATCAAGGACTCCCCACAGTGTTTAGCAGAAAGTAACTCCCTGGCCTAGCCTGGCCCAGCAGCCGGTAAGCCCCTTTACTTTACTCTCTGGCCCAACCTTATAGTTCTTAGCCCTGTAGAATGCTCCAATCAAGCGGCTGGGTGCAGTGGCTCACGCCTGTAATCCCAACACTCTGGGACGCCAAGGCGGGCAAATCACGAAGTCAGGAGTTCAAGACCAGCCCGACCAACATGGTGAAACCCTGTCTCTACTAAAAATACAAAAAATTAGCTGGGCATAGTGGTGGGCACCTATAATCCCAGCTTCTCAGGAGGCTGAGGCAGGAGAATCATTTGAACCCAGGAGGCAGAGGTCGCAGTGAGCTGAGATTGCACCACTGCACACCAGCCCAGGCGACAGAGCGAGACTCCGTCTCAAAAAAAAAAAAAAAAAAAAAATGCTCCAACCACAATGAACAAGGCCAGTTTCCAGCACACTGAAAAGTTCTCTTAGAGTATTTGCACTTCTGGCTGCTTCTAGACCCAACTAACTTCTTCAGAAATCAGTTTAGAGGTCACTTATCTCTTCAAATAGGCAGAGTTAATCCCATACCGATTCCCTAAAATGGTTTAGGAGATTCCAAACCTACTCCCTCCTCAACCTCAGCATTCTCAGCATTGGTACTACTCAATCACAAAAAGGCATGGCTAAGAGTAATCCATTTTTTTGAATTAAACAGACCAGAGTTTAAATCCTGTTTTCTATTTTCAAACTATGTGACCTCAAGCAAATCTTTTCACTTCTCTGATGGGGTTTAACTGAAAAGATAATGCAAGTAAAGCACAGTCTGGCACATACTAACTGCTCAATAAATGATAGCCATTATCATCATTATTCCCATTCTACAGATAACAAATTGCGACTCCAAGAAGCAAACCACTAAAGGTCACACAACTGGTGAGTAGTAGGGGTTGGGTTGAAAGCAGTTCTTTTTCCCTTTTTTGCAAGTATCTATTGAGCGCCATGCTCAGCACTGAGGAGACAGCTGTGAAACAGACAGCAATGAACGCTGTTCTCATGGTGTTTACTTCTAGTAGGAAAGAAAGCCATAAAACCTTTACACAAATAAATTGAAAGAGTGCTTTGAATGAGAAGGGCGGCGTGTCTGAATACACAGGGTTTTAAAGCAAGTAACAAAGTCACTGAATTTTGTCTAGAAGGTCAGGGAAGGCTTCTGTGAAGAGGTGGCATTTAAAGGAGGCAAAAAGGTATGAGGGAGATGAGGGTGGCAGCAAGCACCCCAGACAAATGAAATCTCAGTAGAAAAGACATTGAGGAAGAACAGCAAGTTCAAGGAACTAAAAAGCCAGAGCACTTGGTGAGACAGAAGATGCAGGCAGGGCCAGATCAGAGGACCACTGAAAGATCTGTTCAAAGTTTTGGATATCATCCTTCCTCTAGGCAATGGAAAGGCACCAAAAGACTGGCTGCCCTTAAGGAAACAGCAATGAAAGGCTCACTCTGACACCAACTCCTTGAGTCAGGGCTATCTGGCACTTTTTTCATCTGTACTTCTAGGACACGGCAACTGTAGACTTTTGATAAATATTTGTGACCTGTCTAAAAGAATCTCTGATAAAGACAGACTACATCACTTTTCCCTCTTTTTTAGTCCCACAGCTGATGCTTTTATTAAAGCACCAATTATTATAGGTAAGTGTGGACCTCTTTTCACCATTCATATTTACAGAGTAAATATTCATCTTCCCATTTCTCAAACCTCAAAACTCAATAAAGTTATGGACTAAAACAGACTCTCTTTTGATAAGCTAAAAATCTGTTCTTTTTTTCTTTTTTGATACGGAGTCTTGCTCTGTTGCCCAGGATAGAGTGCAGTGGCGCGATCTCAGCTCACCGCAACCTTTGCTTCCCGGGTTCAAGCAATTCTCTTGCCTCAGCCTCCCGAGTAGCAGGGATTACAGGCACGTGCCACCACACCCGGCTAATTTTTTGTATTTTTTTTAGTAGAGATGGGGTTTCACCATGTTATCCAGGATGGTCTTGATCTCCTGACCTCGTGATCCACCTGCCTCGGCCTCCCAAAGTGCTAGGATTACAGACATGAGCCACCGCGACTGGCCACATCTGTTCTTGTATTTCTAGATCGGTGGAATAAGAATCTTTTTGCTAATTCACTCTGCCTTATAAAGATCACCTGAGGTCCGGAGTTCGAGACTAGCTTGGCCAACATAGTGAAACCCCGTCTCTACTAAAAATACAAACATTAGCTGGGTATGGTGGCACACGCCTGTAATCCCAGCTACTCGGGAGGCTGAGGCAGGAGAATCGCTTGAACCCAGGAGGCAGAGGTTGCAGTGAGCCGAGATCGCGCCACTGTACTTCATTTAGCCTGGGTGACAGAGCAAGACTCTATTTAAAAAAAAAAAAAAAAAAACTGAAGAGATAATCCATAAGGACTTAAGTTGCACTTTCCTTTTGCACCTTAACCTTAATAATAAAAAACACATTTCAGCAATGTGTCATTAAAAGTACAAGTTTTATATTTTAAGATAAATCACTTGTACAGTTCATATGCATATTTTTTAAATGTTAGTTTAATTTTAACCAAGAACAAAATGCCCCAACAGAAGGTCTTTCAGTGATTTTCCAATTCTTCTGAGAACTGTTCAGATTCTCTCTTTGAATATTTAATTTCTCTGATAAGAGTAGGGTAACTCTTTGGGCTATTTATATTAAAAGATAGAACTGAGTCATAATCAATAGTTCACATGCTTTAAGGTTTATTTTGGGATTTCAGGAGATGAGGATGATGAGATAAAATGATGAAAGTGAAATTAAGAATATGCTATAGGGTATGGTATAATTTTGTCTGATCCACTTTCCACCCCCAGACCAACTTTCCACCATACTGGGCCCTGCTGAGTCCCAAGAGGCTGACCTCTATGGGCAGCATCATAGATTCACCTGCTGGCCAGCTTCCAGGTGAGTCTGGCCAATAGAAGGCACTGGAAAAAGATCAAAGAGCAAAGAAAAAAGTCAGAGAGGAGAATATTCCCTCCTTGTTCCCTCCCTGCTCTGGGCTCCCTTTTCTGGCAGTGGCTGAATGCCTCTAGTACTATAGCTCCTGTCTTAACAGCCCATCCACTATGGCACCAGCTCTCACTAGACTCCAGTAACACTATTTCTTCTCTTTGCTCCCTCAGATCTAGCAGTGATAACAGCTTGCCATTCCTATTAGTTTCTAGGTGACAGAAACCCATGTCATCCTGAACTCTGCCCGTCCTTCTGAAAATAATTCTTTCATTTAAAGTCTCTTAAACCATCTGAGTTGGACTCTGTTTCCTGCCAGATCTAAGAAAGCAAACCACACACCTGTAAAATCAGCAATCTCTCTCCTTTGCATGTGAGCAGTTATCACAATGGTTATTCATCTTGCAAATTAATTCCTTCACACCAAGCACTGCATGGGAGCAGAAACGACACCTTTTAAACTGGTCAGTGCAGGAGAATACTGAGAGTGCTCTTGAAAGACAGCTGGCAGAATGGAGGGGCCAACGCTTACAATTCTCTAGGTAGGAGTCTGTTACTTGTCAAGAATAAAATGTTTACAAAGAGATGCCACTGCCTCCTACTTCTCCAGGGTTTCCTCTGGCTGATGGCAAGGAATCAAAGTCAGCTTTGTATTTTCACACTGAATACCAACAAGTTGTATCACTGCCTGGGGAAGCTGCCCTGTGTGTCACTTCACTTTTACTAGTTTTTCAGACCTGAGGACCTGCTTACCACTAGCCCAGGCAGAGAGGAAGAGAACCAACCATCTCCTATTACTAGCCACCTGCCTGCCATCCTTCCTTCTTTCTTTCATCCTGAGATAAATCTTTTTTCTGCACTAATGCAAAAGATGAACAGGATGAGAGAATTCTGCTGTGCTCAGCCTTGCCTGTCTCTTTAACAGTTCTGACCAGATTAGCACTTTTCTTTTTCCACAGGAGAGGACTGGCATATGCTTATACCATAATCTGCTTTGAGCTCCTTCTCTGGATTTTTCTCTTACCAAGGAGACCGGATTTGAGGTTAGATGTTAATTGAAATCACCTGGGAGTCTCTAAATACCTTGCTGTTACTTGGTGCAAGTAATCTGAAGGATACTATATTTGTGAATATTCGGGCATTCTTTTGAATAAGAGCTGATTTAAAGAATTTTTCCACGGGGTTGATAAGAACTTATGGCTCATATCAATAAGCCACTCCAACAAGGACCCCAAATGTCTCTCTCTGCAACCAGCAGGCATTTGGAGCTGACAAGAAACAGTTGCTAAGATAAAGACACAGACAGATATAGACAGTTGTCTAAGAAAAGATGCTCTGCTGCAAATCAGCCAAAGCTGGCCAAAGGGCCAGGCAGCTCTCATCAGCCTGAAGGCAACACCTGGCGGGCAGTCTGACAAGCAGTAGGATTAACAAAATTTGGTTCACACTATGTACCCATTTCTACCACTCTTCTACCCTTACTTCTAAGCATGCATTTCAAAGTATATTTTATTGGAGAACTCTATAAGCAGCTGGGGGGATATACATAAAATGTTAATAGTGATATCTCTGGGTAGAAGTATGAGTAACTTTTATTTCCTTCTATCTGTGGAATTTTCTGAGTTTTCTACAAACACTTATGATTTCTGTAATCACGAAAAAAAATTAAACAAAAACCTCTGTAAGCATTCAGGAATTTCAGTTTTTCCTTAAGACCCAAATTTATGTAATTCTTGAAACTTAAAATCTAAATTACCTTTCTTAGCTTTTGAGATTTAAGATTTTTCAATAGTACAATCATTCTATGGACTTTGCTCTTAAATTAAAAAAACCATTCAAAATGTGCAAAACAAGAATGCTAAATTGAATTTAAGGTGTAAATTTTTTCTGGTATACATCACAATCTTAACTGAGACAATTTAGATGCTTCAAGGTCAAAGTTCACTATTTTAATATTCTGAAGTACTCCGACTACAAATGAAAAAGAATACAACTATTTCTCTCTGTAAGAACGCCATGCAGATGATATCATATGCAGTTATATGGCTAAGAGACAGATAAAACAGACTGGTGTTTCCTCCACTACAAATGCTAGCAAATAAAAACTTTCCAGTCTACAGCTGATTAATACTTGATACCAGATTTATGGAAAAGAGAGCTACTCATTGCTGGCCATTAGCTAAAAGCACAGACACACCAAGAAACCTGCCTACTCTCAGATCAGGACCGCTGTTTATTATGACAACTGATTTTTCAGTTTAGTGCCATTTATAGTACTGAAAAATCTTTTCTAGGAGCTAGCTTTCCTCATAATCTATAATAGCTGAACATGTGTTATTCACTGTCTTGTAGTGTTGAAATATATTAACAGGGAATCTTGGAAACCATAAACATCTTTACTAGCTTCAGGAAGCTAGTAAATTTGAACAAGCGATTCCTTTAAACTGTCTTAATGTAATGACAAATGGTCTCTTTTCTAACTTCGATCTGCAAATGATTTATAGTTATAACTACCACAATAATAATAAACAGGGTACGGAGTGGAGGACACAGAGAATTGAGCCTTAAATATCTCCTCTTAGAGCAGCTAAGAGGAGCTATGAGCCAGAACACTAAAAATGCCTTTCTGTTCAGTATGCTAAAACTTAAAAATGCCAGTGAAAAAAGTATAAGGAAATGAAAAATACTTATTTTTCAATGTAGAACTTTACTCGCATTCTTTTCAGAATTAAGTTGAAGGATTCCAAAGGCTCACAGTATCTACAAAAACCATAAGACAAAAAACAAACAAACTAAAAATGCAAGAGGAAAAAATAGTTTTTTGACTAGTGCTTATCAAAACATGGTTAGAAGCTGTAGAAATCAGTGCCTGAAACAAATTAGAAAAAGACAACTTTAAAACTAGTGTTAAATGTCAGAACAAGGTTCCAAAAGCTACAGAAGTCTTGGGATGTGTGTATTTACAAAAAGGTCTGGCCAAACAAGAACCACCATATTACCACCACAGACAAGTTTATGATCCAGACTACAATGAAACTTTAAAAGTAATGGGGGGAAAGAGCCTAACATACAACCCTGCTATTAACAGAAAACTGTCTGGAGACCTTAATTAAACAAAAGTGTCAAGTGCTCCTCTCAAAACCTCTTGTAGTGATAGACCTGTCAGCAGAAAACAGCCAGGACCATATAAAAGAAGAGTCCAGGGGCTGAAAGGACGAGTGACTACATCACAAAGTGGTAATTACAGGGAAAAGAAATAAAAAAGGCCAGATCGAAGGGCTCCAAGAGGTACTTCAAACCCAGCTAATTGTGGCAAGAAGAGATGGGGTAAATCAGCTCCTCACCTGGCTATCTGTGGGGAAATAAAAAGATGCTGGGCCTCCAAGGCAAGAATAAACAGCAGCAGCTACTAATTACCAAGGTGACTACTAGACACCACCATTACACACTGTCATGGTCGGAATGTTTATGTCCTCCCAAATTCACATGTTGAAATCCTAGGCTGGGCACAGTGGCTCACACCTGTAATCCCAGCACTTTGGGAGGCTGAGGCAGGAGGATTACTTGAGCTCAGGAGTTCAAGACCAGCATGGGCAACATAGCAAGACCCTGTCTATTCAAAAAACACAAAAAATTAGCTAAGTGTAATGGCATGCACCTGCAGTCCCAGCTACTCAGGAGGCTGAGGTGGGAGAATCACTTGCCACTCAGGAGTTCAAGACCGGCCTGGACAACATGGCAAAACCCTATCTCTACAAAAAATAAAAATAAAATAAATAAAATAAAATCCTAACCCTCCAAGTTATGGTAATAGGATGTGGGACCTTCTGCAGGGTGATTAGGTCATGAGGGCAGAACCTTCATGAATAGGATTAGTGCCATTACGAAAGAGGTCCAGGAGCTTGTTTGCCCCTTCCACCATGTGACACCTTCTATGAAACAGGAAACAAGCCCTCATCAGACACACAATCTGCTGGCACCCTGATCATGGACTTCTCGGCCTTCAGAACTGTCACAAACAAAGGTATGTTGTTTACAAACTACCCAGTTTATGGTATCTTGTTAGAGTAGCCTGAACAGACTAAGACACACACCAACGTCACTACAATTAGGGAACATTACTCAAATGAGGCCAAACATTAGTTTACCCATCTCCAGTTCAGCCTGGAAACTTCAGAATCCAGAAAAGGAGCTTCTGCAGTTAGTAAACCACTGTTCTAGAACCACCCTCAATAAGGCATGGGCAATCAGAACACCTGAATTCTGCAGTAGTCTTAGGTTGGAGGGGAAATCACCCTTTCTAAACCTTATCCTCAGCTGAAAAATAGAGAAAATATCTCCTCTTCCCTGACTTCAAAGGATTGGAATATACAATGAAACAGGAGAACATACGTGCAAATGCTCTGTATAAAATCACACTGTATATGCACAGCATTTTATCATTTGAAGTGTGGTTTAACTCATACTTACAAAGGCCAAATAAATGTAAGTTGCCCCTTCAGCCTATAAGCTTTTATAAAGTCTAACATGCGTATTTTAAAGTATTAGCAAAGTTACAGTGAAAGCACTTAGACACAAGAAGACCGAAAAATAAATGCAGAGAAATTTGAGAAAATTTAGTGCAGAGACCATAAACTTTATCTCACTGGGTTCTAAGGGGATCACTATGCACTGGATAAAAATGTTTATAGTGACTCTGTTACCAACAAATGGTTAGAGTCTATATGCTTTTCTTTAAAAATGAGGAAAATGCATATTTTAGGAAAGATTATCATGTAAAAAACACATGTAGTATTGCATTTAGAGTGGTAAGTACCAGTAAGGTTAAATGGAAATAGACAGTGTAGAGCCACAAGAATGCTTTTAAAGATGGGAGTTTAAGAATCCTCGGGGCCAGGTGTGGTGGCTGATGCCTATAATCCTAGCATTTTGGGAGGCCAAGGTGGGAGGATGGCTTGAGCCCAGAAATGGGAGACCAGTCTAGATAACACAGTCTCTACAAAAAAGAAAAAAAAAATGTATTAGCCAGGTTTGGTGGCACACACCTGTATCCCCGGCTTCTTGAGAAGCTGCAGTGGGAGGACTGCTTGAGGCCAGGAGGTCAACGCTGCAGTAAGCCACGATTGTGCCACTGCGCTCCAGCCTAGGTGACAGAAGGACAGCTTGTTTCAAACACAAAACAAAACAAAACCCTTAGATGTAGGGTTGGGAAGGAGACGGGTGAACCAGGGATCATTATGGTGTCGCTTATATGTGATACAATGTCTAAACCAAGTCCACTCATAGTGGCCCACAAATGTTCAGATAGTAAATATCTGTTGGTTTTACCTGCCCTCCATCAATTCCCACTTCTGGGGAATGACAACTCCCCTAAAGGGTACTGGCTGAGTGAGGCAATAACCAAGGCACCTGCTGGGACCCAGTATGGGCCTGAAAGATATACTCTCAGTAGAAAGTGGGATTAAAAACTGCTGGAGAGGTTGGCCCTCCTGTATCCTGAGAAGACTGTCTACTGAGTCCTGCTACCTGGATCCCTGAAGCTGCTCTAGATCTGGTTCACTCTGAAGCCTGATTCTTTGGCATTGTTGTCACCACATCCCTCCAGTAATCTCTTTATGTTTAAAGTAGTCAGATTTAGTTCTTACTGCTTACAACCAAAGATCTCTGGCTGATTAGCTGTTATACTGTGTCTAGAAGAATTGCATTTTCTTAAAAATTGGGGGGATAAAATTTAATTTGATTGGCAAGTAATTAAACCATGAATTTCACATTGAAAAGGGATATATTATAGAGTAGAATACAAAATTCATGTAAAATTTTAAGATAATGGATTTTGAGATTTTAAAAACTACGCTTCCTCCCACTTCCCACCCTTCCTCTCTCCCTCCCCCATGCAAGTTCTTTAGTGATGGGATTAAGAAACACTGGTATAGACATAAATTTTCCTTAACTTTTAAGATCTGTCCCTAACTAGATAAAAGCTCTAGGGCAGGTTACTTAACCTTTCTAAGGCTCACTTTTCATACCTTTAAAATGGGATAATACTACCTACATGTAGAGCTGTTATCCCAAGAGGTAACACAGGAAACCATTTAGCACTGTTCCTCAGAACAGAGTTTTATCAATCATGGCAAACAAACAGAGTTTAGTTACTATAACAAAAGCAGGTTGGCACATATGTTGATGGCTGCAACAATTCCCTGTAGGCTATCCTGTGCAATATGACTTGGCAGCATTTGCCATCAAGAGGGGGTATCTTTGTCCAACTCCTAAAATTTGAGTTGGCCTTGTGACTTGCTTTGACTAGCAGAATATGGCAGAGTGGTACTGTGTGACTCTTAAGCTTAAGCCTCCAGAAACCTTGCAGTTCTCACCCTCCTGGAACAAAGTGCCTCCACCTGAGGAAATTTGATCTAGGCTGCTAGAAGATGAGATTATGTGGAGCTCAGAGAGATAGCCCAGCTTGACTAACTAGTTCTGACTCAAGACTTAAGAGGACTGCAGCCACATTAGTGACCTCAGGCCAGGCACTACCAATGGAGAACTGCTCTGCCCTAATTATGAGCAAATAAAATGGTATGTGTTTTAAGCCACAAACTTTTGGAATGGGTTGTTAACAATAGATAACTGACAGACATGCTTCATGAATTATCGTAATATTTCTATATTTTATAGTGTATTCACGTCCTAAAGTTTCCTATAACAAACTCTAAGGCCCAAAGTCCACAAAGAGTCACTATGTCACAGCCAGATGTGGTTACGTTTCTCATTCGTCAAGGCTAGATCAATGTTGCTAATTTCATATAAACAATGAACTGTATCTCCACCAGAATGTGGGGCATAGGAGATAGAACATACTCCAAAGCCAAAATAACTGAAGTGAAAATTTGCTAAAATTATCATAGTTAAACCACAAAGATGCAGGTGCAAATAAAGGTGAGTTGAATTTGAAGGTAACTGGCTAAGGAAAAAAAAGGAACAATTTAATTGATAATTAAAGCATTAAATTATAATCTGTTTTTTTTTTAAATTTAAAAACAAACCAGATTATAATAATGTTTAATAATCAAAATTATAGTTTTAGATTATAATTTAATAATTAAAACAGATTCTCCCCTGTAACAATTCTTGCTCCTGGCATTTTCTTCCATATACTTCAAAGATGACTAAAACCCTATTCTAAAAGTTCCATCTTATACATAGTCTCATTATATACCTTTTTTTCTATGAATAAATATTGACTGCATCATTCTTTTTAAAGATTGCAGCATATTCCACTACATGGATAGGCCCTAATTCACTTAATCCCCTATCCATAGGTATTTAGATCACTTTCTATGTTTTGTTATAAAAAAAGGACAGGTGAGCAATCTGGTACATACATCTGTGCATACTTCACCAACTGTTTCTTTAAATTCCTAGATGTGAATTTACCTTTTTTTCTTTTTTTGTAATGACTTTGGGTTCATATTGCCCAAACTGTTATCCAAAAGATACGTAGCAAATTTACTTTTTTTAACAAGAAGGAAACCCTTAAATGCTAAAAGTAAGAACACATTTTACACCTCTAATATCTATATATAAAATGGCAAACAATTTTTTAAATTGCATTCTATATCTAAAATACTGAGTCATGCCTCTTATACTGTATTTACTGTACATTTGGAGGGGGAAAAATCCTACAATACCCAAATAATCTCTAGTGGTTTTATTTTCAGCACAATGTTGTTTTGAAAAGGTAAACTCCAAAAAGAGTGTACTTGCTGCAAAATAAGCAAATCAGTAGAGAATGTTGAAAAGCAGGAAACGAAGCAAAAAATAAACCAATCAGTTAGAGCAGTTATCAGGTCACCAAATCTGCATCCTTACACAATGGCCAGGAGAGAAAGGTAGAGGGAGTGAAAAGGTGAAACTAAAAGAAGCAGCCCTCAGAGCTTCAGTGATGGCCGGATGAAATTACACACAGACATATATATCTACATGCTCTGTACACACCAATCCTAGAGCTAATCTCCAGGGGTTAGAACACAAGAGGAATTTTTGTGTGCTTTATAAAGCCAAACATATCATGCAGAAAGGGAATAGGGAAGGCCAGGATACAGATTTCCTTTAGGAAAGAATGTCTAGTTAGCAGCTTGAGAGGCCAGTATTAATTACTTCCCTTCCACGGCAAAGAAGGATTAATAGGAACATTAAGCAAAAGACAGCTCCAAAAGCACTGATTCCCTTCAAAAACCATCACATCTGAGAGGGTCCAATCATCAAGCTCTATAAAAAAATGGGCAAGGTGAGAACACTTAACAATAAATAAAATTAATTGGTGACAGAATCATGCATGTGCTAAGGCGGCCACACAATATGACTAATAAAAACTTATTGACTGAAGTTTCATCCTATCCAAAGAGATGAGGCATTAGATCAAACTGCCATACCAAAAGCAGAGTATGCTAAATAAAACAGCAGTGTGTGAGCACACACACACATACGTGTGTGTGCACATGTTGGGGGTGGTTGCTTGGCAATGCCACAAATCTATGCATCTAATATTCTAGGCAAGGATTCTGCAAATTATGGCCCATGGACCAAATCTAGCTAAGATTTGTATATAACAGGAGCTAAGAATGACTTTCACATTTTTAAATGGTTGAAAAAATAAAATATGACGTGACACATAAAAATTGCATGAAATTCAAATGTCAGTGTTCATCAACATTTCTTGGAACACAGTCATACCCATTCATTTATATCTATGAGTGTTTTCCTGCTATCATGGCAGAGCTGAGTAGGTGTAGAGACCTGGATGGCTGGCAAAGTAAACAATATTTACTATATGGTCCTTTACAGAAAATTTGCTGATCTCTGTTCCAGGCTATAAAATCACACAGTTGTTTGATGGATCACAGCTCCAAACCTGTGCAGGCTTGTTGGTTTGGCCCCTGACATATCCAAGATTTTGATATAACCTGCCAGGCCAATAGAGAATGCAACCCCATTGGCTAAGAACAATGGAGAAGTCCAATAGGTCATCAAGATGTTGGGATACCTGCCTATCATAACAAGAAAATGTAAAAGGCTTTTCTGAGTTGAAAGTAAGATGGTTCCAGAAGGTCTAAGTGGGAATAAGGATGAATAAAGGTATTCTCTTTAAAAGGATGTATAGTATCTCTAGCAGGGTGCGGTAGCTCACAGCTGTAATCCCAGCACTTTGGGAGGCCGAGGCAGGTGGATCACCTGAGGTCAGGAGCTCAGGATCAGCCTGGCCAGCATGGCGAAACCCCATCTCTACTAAAAATACAAAAATGAGCTGGGCGTAGTGGCACATGCCTGTAATCCCAGCTACTAGGGAGGCTGAGGCACGAGAATAGCTTGAACCCTGGGAGGCAGGAGTTGCAGTGAGCCAAGATCATGCCACTGCACTCCAGCCTTGGCAACAATGAGCCTCTGTCTCAAAAAAAAACAAAAAGAAAAGAAAAGAAAAAGATGTATGATATCTCCTTCTAAAGATGAGAATGTAACTGTCTTCAAAATGGCTACCACTTTCTGAGTACTTACTAGGAGCCTAGGAGTAAGCAAAACTTTTTTGCATTTATTATCCCATTTAATGGTCATCTCCTCTAGACTCAAAGAAGGAGACTGGACCAAGTTGAACACAACCAGAGAGCTCAGGAAATGAGAATCAAGGCCATATTCAAAGCCTAAAGGCTGTGTTCATAACCATTTCCCAACCCAAGGGCAGAAAGCATAAATGATCACCACGAATAAATGACAGGAAAGGTTAAGACTATAGAAATAGTAGAAGCAAGTTTATTTTTATGGCCATAAGCATTATACAGTATTTTATTTACGTATCTCACACTTTCTTTTGACTCATAATGCCCTCTCTTACTTCAGCATTTAAAGTAAAATATGATTCAGTCCTGCCAGACCCTTTCCTATTGACAAAAATCAACACAGGTACCCAACTGTGAAGGCATTTTAAAGACAGCAGAATTAGACAACTAAAGTTATAAGTGTAACTTCCACCCATGAAGTCCCTGGGTTACCTGTGAAGGTCTCAAAACGAAAGGAGTGCTGAAGCACTTTTAGGGGTGATGGACTATAAAGTACATGTGCAGTATTTTAGTTTTTTAATTCAGATTATAAGTGAAGAGAAAATGTTAAATGGAATCTTGCCCACAGAGAGAAATATAATGCTGGTGGGTGGCTATCATTTCTTCCTGCCCAGCAGCATCCATGTCCTCCCCTCTGCCAAATAAACCATCATTTTCCACTTTCCTCTAAATATCTATATTTGGGGACCACTCAATCCTAACTCATTTTTGAAAATCTTTTTCTTAAAAAACAATGTTTTAAGTGTTAATATCTTCATCACACCAATTTGGAAATAATGTACTTATTATCCTATACCATGAATATACATGTTTCCTCAGATGTTTATTAATGGTTCCCCAAACCTGGCTTGTAAGTCCTTCTTGCGGGCCAAAGAGGAGCTAAGACTTTTATACGGGAAACTTCTAGCTAGCCTCCCAACAACTCTACTAGTTAGCCATATCCAGATGAGTAACTGAAGAGTCAAGCAGGGTAAGTAGCTACAGTGAATAAAGGAAACCAAATTTGAATTTTAAGTCTATTTTGACTCAAACTGTGTTTTTCCCATCATGTTCTACTGTCCTGCCAAGGCACAAACACATTTTCTTACAATGATTCCCTTTGAGTCAAATTTCAAATTTTCTGGAGAGAAGAGAGTGGAGCTGAAAGACCCATTTACTCCAACGGCTGGTGTCAAGATCAAATCTTTGCTTATCTACCATCAAACGATCTGGTCTGAATTTTTAGATATAATTTTTTAAAAACACAGCCACAGTACATGCAGGACTAGCACGTCAGACCAGCTTGGCTTATCAACTGATAGGCAATGCTTTGTTGTGGGAATAAAATGGAAGTGCTTTTACACCTCTAAGTCTGAAGACAACTTTATTTATTTATTTGTTTGTTATTTATTTATTTATTTCAGTGTCTTACTCTGTTGCCCAGGCTAGAGTGTAGTGATCTCGGCTCACTGCAACCTCAGCCTCCTGGGTTCAAGTGATTCTCCTGCCTCAGCCTCCTGAGTAGCTGGGATTACAGGCCACACCACCACGCCTAGATAATTTTTTTTGTATTTTTGGTAGAGATGGGGTTTCACCATGTTGGCCAGGCTGCTCTTGAATTTCTGACCTCAAATGATCCACCCGCCTCGGCCTACCTCAAATGATCCACCCGCCTTGGCCTCTCAAAGTGCTGGGATTACAGGCATAAGCCACTGTGCCCAGCCTGAAGATAACTTTAAAAGGCAAGTAACGAGCACACAGATCTACTTTTCAAAAATGTTTTTTTCTCTTTAGAATGGTCATTCTGTGATGGCTCATGACTGTAATCCCAGCACTCTGGGAGGCTGTGGCAGGAGGATCACTTGAGCCCAGGAGGTCAAGGATGCAGTGAGCCAGTTTCATGCAATTGCATTCCAGACTGGGCAACAAAGTGAGACCCTGTTTCAAAAGAAAAAGGAAAAAAGAAGAAAGAAAAGAAAAGAATTCTAACTTCCATTTTATTCAATAAAAAGATGTGTCTCTAATTTTTTTAAGTCCTGGATCTCTTTTCTAAAACAACTACAGACCCTCTTCCAGAAAAATACACATACACAAAAAGTTCTGGTCACAACTACAGGGAGTTCAGGAATCCCTTGAAACCAACCCTTGGAGGGTCACAGACCCCCAGGATAACTCTTGCTCTAAAAGCATAGTACAAAATTCCTTACATTATTTCACAGACCCAGAATAAAGACCATATATAGCTAGCTCTCTCATAATTTTTTATATTTTCAGAAAGCAAATATCAAATAAACACACAAATTTTCTTAACTAGTCTTTCATATTCTCAAAAAAAAAAAAACCCAGAAATCTTATGACTCAAATAAATCAATAAATATAAGGTCATACAAGTTCAAAGTCTGAATCAGTTTTCTTAAAATCTGCTACTTCCATTTCTGTGTTTCTGCCCATAAAGATCTGTCTTGAAAAGAAGAAACATTAGTATGGTAAGGGCTTGAGTCTTTGCTACTTTAACATTCATCAACATGTTAATATGTAAAAAGAAGACCACTTGTAAAGTTTACTAAAAGATGTTCTCTCATATATATGAGATATACGATATGATGAAAAGACAATTCTTAAATGTTCAATGAATAGATCTGTGTCAATGCAATTGCAAGTAAAATCATGTAGCTGACAAAATAGATTTTAGAGTTCATAAAGGCTCAAATTATGTGTTTCCCACCACTTGAGTCAAGAACTTTCAGGCTGGACACAGTGGCTCAAACCCATAATCCCAGCACTTTGGGAGGCTGAGGCGGGAGGATCGCTTGAGCCCAGCAGTTTGAGACCAGCCTGGGCAACATAGTGAGATCATGTCTCTACAAAAATAAAAATAAAAAACTTAGCCAGGCATCATGGAACATGCCGGTAGTCCCAACTAGTTGGTAGGCTGAGATGGGAGGATCACTTGAGCCCAGGAGTTCCAGGCTGCAGTGAGCCCTGATGATCGTGCCACTGCACTCCAGCCTAGGCAACAGAGGAAGGTCCTGTCTCAAAAAAAAATAAAATAACTTTCAGGAATGTTTATTTTCAGGTACAGCTCAAACTTTAAAGTCTTTCAAATTCCTCTTGGTCTTATTACTCCAGAAAATTTCTAGCATCATCCAACAAAATTATAGGTTATCAAATTAACTTATAGAAATGTTTGAACAGCACTCCATTTATGAATAACTCAGAGAGTATCTCACGAAAATTTAAGTTACAGGGGGCAGTGATACTTTCCCATGAAAATATTACAGATTATTTTAAATCACTGACACTGTTTCAAAATCAGTATTATGATAAGATTAAGAAACACTTAAAAAAAACTTTTCACCACATGACAATTACTTTCTTTTTTTTTTTTTTTTTTTTTTTTTTTTTTTGAGATGGAGTCTCGCTCTGTCGCCCAGGCTGGAGTGCAGTGGCGGGATCTGGGCTCACTGCAAGCTCCGCCTCCCGGGTTCACGCCATTCTCCTGCCTCAGCCTCCCAAGTAGCTGGGACTACAGGCGCCCGCCACTACGCCCGGCTAATTTTTTGTATTTTTTTTTAGTAGAGACGGGGTTTCACCGTTTTAGCCGGGATGGTCTCGATCTCTTGACCTCGTGATCCTCCCGCCTCGGCCTCCCAAAGTGCTGGGATTACAGGCGTGAGCCACCGCGCCCGGCCGACAATTACTTTCTAAACAATAACTATCCCCACCAAAATGCAACTTGGTATTGTGAACCCCAATCAATTGACAATTTCAGTTTACAATCTGTAGTACTTAAGATTTAAAACAATTCTTCTCTTAGAGTGCCCTGTCTCCTAAAACCAAGGAAATGAACAGGGTCTGATGATGCCCACCTACAGCCAGCGTTTAGGTCAGTATTTTTTCAAAGTCGGAAACTTCATACCTTAGGGGAGAGCAAGTCACATCTCAGAATCTTCATGTAAAGTAATTTTTGTCTTTGTGACAAAAGTCAAGTTCTTGAGCACTAATTCTTGAGAGCACTGTAATGGTATTATTGAAGTCACTGGTCTCACATAATATGACTAAAATTGTACATATTTCTTGCTAGAGGTTAAACACACTTCACTTTAATACATTTGCATCTGCAACTTCTCCTCTTTGAAAGAACTGGGGGAAAACAGGGAGAATGTACCTAAATTTAGTAAGGAAAGTGAAACAACCAAGTTTATCCTACACAACTTCTTCATCCCGGATATGAAGATGCAAGATCTACTTGGGGGACAGGAAAATTGGAAAACAACGGTATGGCTGAATAAAATAACAAACCTGGGTTCAAAATGAGACACGATCCTGGTGCTAATCGTATCTATCCCACTGGAGGTCAAATCAGCTGCACTGGTGCCTGTTTCCTCATCCACCTCTCACCACCTAAACGTGCCATTTACGAGAAAGCTATCGAAGTTGAATCAAAGTGACTTTTGGAAAGAGATGCCAATATAATTTGCAGTGTGCTCCAAACAACTACACACAAGGCAACGTTTCTCATTGAGCACCCCCGCCCCCACTTTCAACTTCCCCTTAAGATAGGGACAGTCACATAGACATTTTTTGAAAATCAAAGAGAAAAATAAAAGCACCCCATCACGATCACCGACGAAATCCCGACTCTGTGGTGGAATTGGGTGCCGGGTGAGGACGATGGCAACACGCTCCTGGTCGCTTCGCGAACTCCTCCGGGAGGTCGCCAAGTTTCTCTTTCACCCTTTTTCCCGCACCCGCCGAGCCCAGGAAGGAAGGGGGCGGCCGCAGGGGCCGGAACCGCGCGACCTGGAACCCGGGGCCTTTTTTGATTGCCGGCCGCGCCCCGCGCAAGTGCCGGCGTTCGAGACCCGCCCCAGCGCGCGTGGGCGCCAACTTCGCGGGGACCCCCAGCGACGCGCCCCCCTCGGTACCCCTAGTCCCGCCTCTCCTGGGCTCAGCCGGATCCGGGCGTCCCCGTCACCCTCCCCACCCCCCAGGGAAACGAGCCCACCCCTAGCAGCGTCACCCTGGATGGGGCGGCGGGGCCGCAGTCACCTTCCCGGGGAAGAAGCCGGGACCCCGACTGCGGGCGGCCCGCAGCTCCCGCCGCACCCCCGCAGCCCTGGCGGCGTCCGGGCGAGCTCACCTGGCGGCTGGCTGCGGCCTCCGGGGCGGCCTCTGGGCGTGGGCCGGGCGGGGGCTGCAAGGGGGGCGGCGGGAGCCCGGGCTGCAGCCGGGGCCGCCGCCGGCCGCCAAGCCTCGCCCCAACTCGCGCCGGCCGCGGCCGCCCCCGGGGAGTACCGGGAGCGCGGGGAGCGCGGGTCCCGCGGCGGCGGCGGCGGCGGCGGCGGCGCGGCGCGGCGCGGCTCAGGCGTCGGAGCAGGCGGCCGCGGGCGCCGCCGCCTCCTCCTCCATGGCTGTTTACCCGGCTGCATTGTGGGAGTTTGACCTCCGCCGCCGCCAACCGCCGCCTCAGCTTGCGCCGCCGCCGCCGCCGCCGCCGCCGCGCACGCCATGGGAGCCGTGACTGACGGTGAGGCCCCGCTCGCCGCCACACGCGCCCGCTGCACGGCCCGCTGGGCCTCCCCTGAGACCCCTGGCCTCCCGGCCCGCTTCCGGGAACCCCTCGGCCTCCCCGGCCTCTTCGCCAGAGCGCTTCGGCCTTCCCGACCTCTCCCCGGAGCCCCGGGCCTCCCCGGCTGCTTCCCTGAGTCCTTCCTCCTCTCGCCAGAGCCCGAGCGCCCCTCGGAGACCCTCGGCTTTCCCCGTCCGCTCTCCCGGAGGCAGCGCGGGGCTATAGGGTGTGCCGGGAGCGTGGTCGGTGGGCTGGGAACACACGTGGGTGGCCGAGACGGCTAGAAGCGGTGCAAGGGCGGGTGGGACCAGAGGGAGTCCGGGTTTGTCTAGGGGCGCGGTGAGGACCCAGGAGCCGCGAAGGGTGGACAGTGGTGCCGGGCTTAGGGCTGGGGGCCTGGAAGGTTTGTGGAGGTCTGGGAGGGAGTGGGAGCTCCAGGGACGGGGCGGGAATTTCGGGACTCGTCTACAAGGGGTGTCAGGATACAGAGCGTGACACCAGGAGGGGTCCTGGGGCATATTGGGAAGCACTCACAGACAGTGGAGTCGATGGCAATGAGGCCTTGAACTGCGAGTGGATTGTGGGTGAGAAGGAGGAGCAGGGAATTATTTATAAAAGGAATAGATAGGGATGAGGTATCCGGAGGGTGATCAGGAAGTGTACCTGGGAGATTTACGGGGGTAAGGAGGAGCCAGTATAGTGATGAGACCGTCTAGGGTAGATCAGGACGATAAAAGATGTATGTGTGTGTGTTAGGAAGGGTGGTTGTCAGCTGGGATGAATTTAGAGGGGCAAAGGCTGGGTTTGTGGACAGTCTAAGGGAGATGGTCTATGGACTGAGAGCGGAAATAAGGTGACACTTTGGGGGAAGGGGCATGATTGGCAACTGGAGGGAGAACCTACAAGGTATCTGGTTAGGGAGGAAGGAGGTCCTTTGATATCTGGGAAGGGGATATCTAGGGCTCTTGGGTGTTTTTCAGGAGATGGTGACCGGTAACTGTAAATGCCTGTGGAGAGGCCACTTCTTAAGAGTTGAAGACCACCAGGGTCTCCACATTAAAGGGCCTGGCCATGGGAAGAACAGTGATAGGCCCAAATTTCCAGACTGATAAAGAGTAGTGGAGGTGGGAGGCTACTAAAGACCCAGGAACTTCATGTGGAATTTCAGCTTTGCTTCATTCCAGTTTCATTTATTTAGTGGATATTTATCCTTCCTGGACTAGGCTTTGGGATTACAACCCAGAACTAACAAGCAAGAACTTTTCCCTCTCCAAAATTTTGGTCTGAAGGGAAAGAAACATTGACTAATGAGTTTTAAGAGTGACAAATATTACCACAAGGAAGTACAAGGTTGGGAACTGTAGGAACATGTAACAAAGATTATTTATCCAATCAATGGAAATGAGAAAGCCTCCTCGAAGTTAATCCCATTTTTGAAGAATAAATAGATATTGGACTGGTGTTCTGGGTTGGTAGCCACTTGTATAAAGACCCCAAGATGTTGGAAGAACTCAAAGCTGACAAGTATTGCTAGAATTTAGAAAGTTATGAGCCAGAGATCTCTAAGGGCAATAGGAATCCATTAAAAGTTTTAACACTGGTGTGGTGTTAATCAGATTGGCATTAAAACACACACACATGCCGGGCACAGTGGCTCACGCCTGTAATCCCAACACTTTGGGAGGCCAAGGCAGGCGGACCTCTTGAGCTCAGAAGTTCAAGACCAGCCTGGAAAACATAGTGAGACCCCATGTCTACAAATACAAAAAAATTGGTCTGGCACAGTGGCACACACCTGTAGTCCCAGGACTTGGGAGTCTGAGGAGAAAGGATCACTTGAGCCTGGGAGGTTGAGGCTGCAGTGAGCCAAGATCGCGCCAGTGCACTCCAGTCTGGGTGACAGAGTGAGACCGTGTCTCATTAAAAAAAAAAAAAACACACACACACATACACACTGTCTCTGTTATGTGCAGAATGATTAGAGGAAGAGAAAATGAGGAGCTAAGTTTCCTCGCCACTTACTAACGTTTACGTAGTGCTGTTAGGTATTATTCTAATTGTTATCCCCATTTTACAGATGAAACAGACACAGGTTAGCTTGCCTAAGGTCGCACAGATAGTAGTTATAGAGGGTCAAAGGCAGGGAGACCACCTGCCGAGTTCCTGCTCTTCACTATTATGCGTCCTGTGTCTGCTACTTCTGCAGTGGCCCTGGTGAGAGACAATGAGGACTGTGACCAAGAGGGAATGCAAAGAGGACAGGTGGGAGGGAAATAGGGAAATTTGTGAGGTAGAATGTCAGGACTTCAGGTATTGAATGGATGGTGGGAGAAGGGATTTAGGATGATCCCAGGTTTTTGACTTCACTGTGTGCCTGTTAGTGCTACTTTTCTATTTATTGAGATTGAGATGTCCAAAGGAGCAACAGGCTTTGTCAGATGGGAGATAGGGACAGAAGATGAGTTCTAAAGTAATGACTGCAGTCAAGTGCCCCCCCACATCCTTAAAAGCCACAGGAATCTCTACCCTGCCACTTACAGACTGTCTCAGCTTCAGTCTCTGAACGGAGATAATAATAAAATCCACATCAGCGGATTGTTTTGAGGATTAAACACAAAAAGTTGTAAAGGGCTTTGCATTGAGTCCAACACATAATAATTAATATTCAGTAAATATTAATGTCAGAGTTGTTTTACTAATCTGTCTTCCACTTTCCTTTGATGTGGACTTTGCCTTCTCTCTTAATCTGCACAGGTTGCCTTTTCCTGCCTTTTCTATCAGGTGACACTCCACTTATTCCTCAAGACCCACCTCAAAAATCCCCTCTTTTCTTTCCTAGAAGTAGTTGACCTTCTGCCTACTAGCCATATTATTTTATGCATATTGCTGCTGTCACCCTTAATACGTTATTTATATGCCTTATGCTAGAAAACATTTAAGGCAGTTCACTGTAATGAGAAAATATAAAAATTAAACGGATTAGAAAACAAGACAAAAAGAACATTGAGATTAGGAAAAATAAAGGGAAGTCAGAAGTGGGGTGATCCTCAAAATGCAGGAGGATAAAGTCTAGTACATTAATTAACCAAGCTGTAAGTGACCTGTTTCTCCAGTAGGCCATTCTGAGAGGCAGGACCTCGTCTGCTCTGTGATCTAGTGTTCATGAGAGAAGGCAATCTTAGATGCCCAGGAAAAGCACTTTTTTTTTCTGATTTGAACTAGAGGAAAAGTTTATCATTGAGGTCTTTATAAATGAAAGCCAGTGTCATATCCTTAACCTCTTTTCAGCACTGAAGATCATAGAGCTGTTTTGTAGCACATCCCTTGCTAGGTAAAAGAAGGCTAAATCACAATTTAGAAAGACATTCTAAAGCCAGTAGAGGCTGGGTGTGGTAGCTCACACCTGTAATCAATCTTAGCACTTTGGGATGCTAAGGCAGGAGGATCACGTGAGCCCAGGAGTTTGCGACCATCCTAAGCAACACAGCAAGACATGATCTATACTACAGAATTTTTCAAATTAGCCAGGCGTGTGTGGTGGTGTGCACCTGTAGTCTCAGCTACTCATCTCTACTAAAAATTTTCTTAAATTAGCCAGGTGGAGTGGAACACACCTGTAGGTAGTCCCAGCTACTCAGGAGGCTGAGGCAGGAGGATCACTTGAGCCCAGGAGTTTGAGGTTGCAACGAGCCATGATTGCACCACTGCACTCCAGCCTGTCAACAGTGCTAGACCCTGTCTAAAAATAAATAAATAAAATCAATGGACAATGTGGTTTAGGTGGGTAGTGGGTAGCTCTGCTGATCTGGCTTGATTCAAATCAGGGTTTTTTGATTGAATATCTAGACCATAGAGGAAAGACAAACTACAACTTCTTCAGACAATCCTCTATAAACATGGTTTTTGTCAGCTGAGCTTTTGAAAAAATCAAGCTGAAATGAGTGGTATGTGTGATCCGTCAACAAGTATTTATTGCATACCTTCTAGGCACAATGCGAGGTCCTGGCTACTTTGCAGTGAACTAGACAGAGGAGGGCCCTGGCCCCTGCTTTGGGGAAAGAAGCCATAGTGTGCAATCAAATAAGTAAATAAGATAATTTCTGAAAAGGAATGTAATTAAGTTCTGAGAATGAACTTGATGGAATGAGGACAGAGAGTAATGGGGGAGGGCAGTGATACCTGACAGGTTCAACCACATGAAGAGCCCAGGAAAGTATTCCAGATAGAGACAACAACTAGTGCAAAGGCCCGAGGTGAAAACAAGCTCTGCACCCTTTAGAGGAAATAAGGAAAGCCACTGGGCTGGATCTAGGGACAGGACTGCATCCAGGTGGGCCAAGAGGAGTACGATGCAAAAGGAGGTAAAAGGGAGCTCAGGAGGAGCCTTGCAGGCTTTGGAAAGGAGACTGAATTGTCCTTTGTGGGCATTTAGAAATGATAGGAGGATTGTAAGCAGGAGAGTTAGTGATCCAATTCATCTTTTAGATCATTCTGAGTTGCATAAAAAATGGATTCTAGGAAGGCAAGAATGGAAACAGGGAGTCCAATGCAAAATATTCCAGATGAGAGAAATGTGGGCTTGGATTAGAGCGATGTTAGTGTGGAAGATAGAAGTGGATGCTCTTGATATCTCATTCATCCTCCTGGAAAGCTCTTGGAGGAGTACCAGTACCTGTCCATGGAGCTTACATAAGAGCCAATGTCTTTTACAAATTTGATGTGCCTGTATCACTGTCCCTTCATGTAATCCATTCCTCTGGGTCTGCGTATCCAGTTGGACTGGGAGCTCTTGAAGAAGCAGCCCTTTATTTCCTGCACTCAGTTTGAGGAACTGCCCTGCTTTAGAGTAGCTATAGCTACTAGACTGGATATTTTCACCACTACTGTCATGTTATAAGTGAAAAAGTAGAGGTCTTTGGAAGTTAGTGACTTGCAGTCACACAGGTAGTTTGTGACAAAGCCATTTTCTCTCCTTCCCTTGTTGCCAACTCTAGCAGTCTGGCTAGCTGAAAAACAGTGTGGATGTTGTCACTGTTAATTTAAACTATGTTAACTGTATTTTGTATGTGTTAATTTAAAGGATGCTAAATATTGTTAGTACCCTGATAGAAATCATTTCAGAAGCACTTTTTGCACTACAGAGAACATTAGGTGATATATTGATATGCCAGAGCAACAGATGAGAGATGGAGAAAGGGGTTGGGGTGGAATGTGGCTCTACATTCTATTTAATAAAGCTTGCTGGTTTTGACGGTAGCTTTTTTTTTTAACTTAGAAAAATGTAATGCATGAATATGTACTTGTTGCAATGTGAAATAATGGTTTTTAATATGCCTACGAATAATATGACAGAATAATGGAGCTGCATTATGACTTTCTAATAATGTAATTGTATATATTTTTCTGTGAATGCAGAGGTGAGTAGTAACTCATCTGTGAAAGGAAGATAATAGTACACACTTTGTAGAGTTGTTTCAAGGATGAAACATGATAATATATGTAAAGCACTTTGAAGTTGAGTGACCATTTAATTTATTGTGTAAACCAGGACACTTTTCAGAGTGAAAAGAAACAAATGGGTTGTGTGGTCACCAACTAGGGTGGTATAAATGCTGTGCAAGTGTTTGCTGCTGCTGTTATTCCTATTTCAATTGCTGATCCAATGTTAATTAGACATTTGTGGGCACAGGGTTCTTTTGTTTTTGGGTTTTTTTTTCATTAGTGCCATTGCATTTGCCCACTTTCTTCCATCTTCTGTGGCCCCAACACAGGGATAACTGCTGCAGTTCAACTATGAAATGATGTTTCTTTAGCCAAGATAATTGGTTTTTCAAAGCAAGATGGACATTTCACCTTGACTTTATTAGCACTATACTACTCTAAACATTTAAATAGAGAGAAAAGACAAAGGACCTCAACATGATGTTTTGCATTTATTTTCCTTTTAAAATTTTAAATTTAATTTTGGTGCACGTAATTTACCTTGGCATCAGCAATTTATGTAGACCAGTCAGAAGTATCTTAGGAGAGGTTAATATCTACATGGAGGAATCAAACCATCTTATTGTTCCTTCCACCCACCTTTTATGTGTCTCCTTAATATTGTTGACCTTAAAAATTGTTTTAATGGCTTTGAGCTTTTTGAAAGGAGGGACCAGGTGTTATTTTACCATAAGGAATGTAACACAATGGGCTAATATGTGTGATTCATCTTAATAACATGAGCTGTGGTGGTCTAACGATAAATCTTACAGGAATCTGCATGAACATTTTTTTTACATGGCCTTAGTCTCTCTTCTTGTTCATTTAAAGTAGGTCAAATCAAGCCAGTTTTCTTTGTTGTTGTTAACATATCATAGCTTTATTCAGTAACGGAGTAGAATTTTTAATACAGAGAAAATGAAGTACCTGAGAATGATAAATAAGTTTACCACCCAGTTAACCACTGTTACTACTTCATAAAAAAAGTACTACATGTCAGTAAATTCAAGAAGAAATGCACAATATGAAAAATGAAAACCTTCCCCTCTTTACCTTCCGTAATAATTCCTCTCCCAGAATGATTTTTAATGCCTCTAAAAGGTAAAAGTATCTTCTCTGGAGCCTGACTCCTGAGTTTGAGTTCCATTTCTATTCCTTACTTCCTGTGACATTTAATTTTTGGCAAGATGCTTTTTCATTGGTAAAATAGGGATAAGAATATCTATAATGAGGCCGGGCAAGGTGGCTCACGCCTGTAATCCCAGCACTTGGGGAGGCCGAGGCGGGTAGGTCACGAGGTCAGGCGTTCAAGACCATCCTGGCTAACACGGTGAAACCCCGTCTCTACTAAAAATACAAAAGAATTAGCTGGGCGTGGTAGCGGGCGCCTGTAGTCCCAGCTACTTGGGAGGCTGAGGCAGTAGAGTGGCATGAACCTGGGAGGCGGAGCTTGCAGTGAGCCGAGATAGCGCCACGCACTCCAGCCTGGGCAACAGTGCAAGACTCTGTCTAAAAAAAAAAAAAATCTATAATGCTGTTGTGTAGATTAAGTGTGTTTATATGTGAAAAGCATCTAAAGCAGTCCTTAGCATATTTAAGTGTTACGTATCTGCTGGCTAGTATACCAGTGGGTATATATGCTTGAAAATTTTATACAGTCATTTACACACTGGTCTGTATTCAACTTCTGTGTACCCATAAAATTTTTTTTAAGTGATATAGTAGGTGCGTATATTTATGGGGTACATGAGATATTTTGATACATGCATACAATGCAAAATAATCACAGCAGGGTAGATAGGATATCCATTGTCTTCAAGCATTTATCATTTGTTATAAACATTCTAGTTATGCTCTTTTAGTTGGTATAAAATGTGCAATAAATTATTGTTGACTATAATCATCCTATTGTGCTATCAAATACTAGATCCTATTCACTCTATGTTTTTGTACTAATTAAGCATCCCCGCCCCTCCCCTGCCACCACACACCCCACAGCTCTTCCCAGCCTCTCGTAACCATCTCTATTTTCTACCTCCATGAGTTCAGTTGTTTCAATTTTTAGCTTATCATGGAGCTCTTTTGAATATAAATCTACCTTATTCTTTTATATCAGTGTGTATAGTCTATTAATTTTTTAGACAGATCCTCTATTGGCATTTAGTTTGTTTTCAGTTTTTTACTCTTCCAAACAGTGTTACAATGGAGATATTTGCATAGATATATTCGCGTACTTGTGGGAATAATTTCTAAAAGATAAGTCAAAAGGTATATGTGTCTTTAATTTTGGTATATCTTGCTGTAATGCCTTAGTAGCTAGCTGTTTTCCCCACTATAATCCTGTCTGAAATTGTTATCCCTTCCTGTGGCTTTCAGTTTGGTACCTACCAAATTTTTTGCCAAACTGCATTTAGAAAGGAAATGCTAATCCTCACTGGTAGATCACAGGATTACTAGTTCACAAAGGCAGGTGAGATTGCAGCCTTCCCTCAAAGGGAACCACATTTGACCTGCAATTTAGCCTTAGCAAGGAGTTACATAACAATGATGCTATTGCCTCTGGTTGTCAAGCCTTGACCTGTCTCTGAAGTTGTTTTGTAATCAAGGTTTTAATGGCAAATATAGGGAAAGAACAATTATGAATTTTGAAAACGTTAGTCTGGGTTTATGAGAAACTCCCTTTTATGCTAAAATGAGAGCACAGCTAAAATGGCTGTGTCATCTGACCAGAGGCCTAGAAATCTAGAGTTGCTCTAGTAACTGTAAAGGAGTCATTTCTTCCTGCCTCTATGTTTATGAAACATAGAGTTTTAAGATCTAAGGACTTTTTGAGGCTTATTTGGTGTCTTGAATAATTTTATATTTCTTCTGGCTATATGTTGGCATATATGTATCCCATTTTGCAAGTAAATATTTACATTTCAGCATAAATGTGTCATTACTGATTTTAAACTGATTTTGAAAGATATTTTGTATGTGCAATTATGGTATAACGAAATCCAGTAGGAAGTCATAAGTTCTAGAATTGTGATAATAGTCTACTGTTAAACCAATCCTGTTTTTTTATGTTTTCAGTGGTTAACATTTAGGCATATTGGATATGAGGCATTTTGATGAGCAAATATGTATCTCATGCCCCTGCCTCATAGACAGTATACTCTAGACAATGTGTGGTCATATTACTCACTAATTAATACGTGAAGTTAATTGCTGCCTCCTTTTCTTTCTTTTTTTTTTTTTTGAGACGGAGTCTCGCTCTGTCGCCCAGGCTGGAGTGCAGTGGCGGGATCTCGGCTCACTGCAAGCTCCGCCTCCCGGGTTCACGCCATTCTCCTGCCTCAGCCTCCCAAGTAGCTGGGACTACAGGCGCCCGCCACTACGCCCGGCTAATTTTTTGTATTTTTAGTAGAGACGGGGTTTCAGCGTTTTAGCCGGGATGGTCTCGATCTCCTGACCTCGTGATCCGCCCGCCTCGGCCTCACAAAGTGCTGGGATTACAGGCGTGAGCCACCGCGCCCGGCCCTCCTTTTCTTGACTCAGATTCACACTCCACAGTCTTTCCAGGAGCTAGATGGATGGTATTATCCAGCCATTGTCCTACAAGCCTAAAGCCAGGTGGAAAACCACCATCCTCACAGCAGGTGTCAAGTATTTTGGTTTAGAAACTCTTTCCAGATGATGTTCATCCTCATAGTAAAGAAAGTAATTATGACAAGGAGTGATGTTGATAACATAAAAAAAATAACAAAAAATCTGCTAAGCCATCTTTACTGTTTTTACAGGATAGACCAAAGCCCAGCAGAATTACTAATATAAGCATTCAAACTGCTTACAGAGGGTTTCAAGCATGATAATTTGTGAAGTCAACATGTATAGTAAACAAAACATATTTTAAGTGTGTTCATTATGGAGCTAATTGATAAGATGTCATTAAAAATAATAATGCTCATGGCATTTGTGTTAGGAACTATCAGCAGCAGTCCATCTTTAAATTTAAAAAGAACAGAGGCTATTCTCAAACTGAGAGCTTACCTTTTTGTTTTATTCTGTTTCTGTTGGAGCTGTGCTCTGTACTTTATACATGTTATTTCAATAATTCTTGTCCACAGAGTTTTCTAGGCAGCAACTCTCTGTGCACAATTTCAGCTAGAAACGCCATGACCTTCCCAGTAAATTTGAGACAGAAGCAAATTTGTAAGGAATCCTAACTGGGCAAAACTTGATATGCATAAATGCCTAATATGTATCTACATAGATATATCTATAGATAAATCTTCAACATTTACTCTGACTTTTATAGGATGATACAAGTTGTGGATTAAATTTTTTTTTTTTTTTTTTGAGACGGAGTCTCGCTTTGTCACCCAGCCTGGAGTGCAGTGGCGCGACCTTGGCTCACTGCAAGCTCCACCTCCCGGGTTCACGCCATTCTCCTGCCTCAGCTTCCCGAATAGCTGGGACTACAGGCGCCCGCCACTATGCCCGGCTAATTTTTTGTATTTTCAGTACAGACAGGGTTTCACCGCGTTAGCCAGGATGGTCTCGATCTCCTGACCTCGTGATCCTCCCGCCTTGGCCTCCCAAAGTGCTGGGATTACAGGCGTGAGCCATAGTGCCCGGCCGTGAATTAAATTTAACATAAACATAAGGATAACATATTTTTTGTTTTCGTACTATAGACAGACATTGTGCTCCTTTGTATACTTTTATTTCCCTTAAGTTTCCCAATATTTCTATAAAGTAGATAGTTTTATTCCCATTTTACAGATGAAATCAGATGTTGGTCTTACGTGAATATACACACATGCACACACAGTAAACATTGGGTCCAGTTTTTGTTTTGTTTCGTTTTTCTGGTCTAGGCAGTTGGCTGTGAGGTGTGCTTAGACTAAAGAGGGAGAGGGCTGAGTGGGAGGAGGGCCTGTGAATGCCTGGACAGGGAATTCCCTGTGCTGCCAGAACTAGTGGTGCCACACTCCTACTTGTGCCACCCCAATGTTGGCATTGGCCCCTGTTTTTTCCTAACCAAGTCATCTGCTCAGTCCTAACCTGCCTTCTAGGACCTGTGATTCTTTTTTTTTTTTTTTTTTTCTTTTTTGAGACAGAGTCTCATTCTGCCACCCGGGCTAGAGTGCAGTGGCGAGATCTAGGCTCACTGCAAACTCCACCTCCTGGATTCAAGCAATTCTCCTGTCTCAGCCTCCCGAGTAGCTGCGATTACAGGTGCGTGCCACCACGCCCAGCTAATTTTTGTATTTTTAGGAGAGACAGGGCTTCAACATTTTGGCCAGCCTGGTCTCAAACTCCTGACCTCAAGTGATCTGCCCACCTTGGGCTCTCAAAATGCTGGGATTATAGGCATGAGCCATCGTGCCCAGCCAGGACCTGTGATTCTAATCTCTCCTTTTTAGTTCAGGCCATGTTAGCTCCTAACTGTGTATGCTTTGGTAGCCTCCTAACTAGCCTCCCTGCCTCTGGGCTTTTCCCAGTTACAATCCAGTTTGTACATCCTCCTAAAAATTCTGGCCCATGAATCTTTAGCAACTCCCAGTTTCCTACCAGCAAGATGTACAAGTATAGTATTTACTGGTGTGACTCCCAAAATCTGACTCCCAACTGCTTGTATATCTTTGGGTCCTGCTATTTGTCTTCACTCATCCAGCCTCCCTAGTGTTCTACACACTCATGCCCCAGCTTCAGCCTTTCATTCCCCACCCAGCCTCTGCTAGAGCACAGCTTTCTCCCTGCCTGGGGTGAGAAGAAGGAAAGGACTTCAGCTTTCTTTTTTAACAACAGCTAACAAGTTTTGAGTACATATGGTTCAAAAATCAAATACTATAAAAAGATAATCTCCAATCTTCCAGTCTGTTCCCCATCCACCCCACTTATACTGCCTTCTCTCTTGGTGTAACCCCTTTTATTAGTTTTTTGTATATCCTTCCAGGGTATCTATACTGCTCAGCACTGCACTAGTAGGGACTCCTTGTGCCCCTTTGACGGGTCTCTGTCTGGGCTTCTAGGCTGTCCACAGCATCCTTTGAAATCTAGGCGGATCTCTTGGAAGGTCAGAGAACAACTTGCATTCTGCATGCCTGCAGAATTAGCGTCATGTAGATGCTACCAAGTTTTATGGCTGTATCTTCCCAAGTAGTAAGTCAAGCTGCACTTGGGCCTTCTTGAACCACAACTGGGGTGGCCGAGGAGCACTGTGCCAGAATGCAGGGAGCAGAGACCCAAGGTAGCTCTGGGCAGCAAACCTATGGAGGGCACCCTAGGTCAGTCCTCCAAAACCATTCTACCCGCCTATAGTTCTGGGCCTGGGTCTGTGGTGGGAGGGACAGACTTGAAGGTTATTTTTTAGTTTAAAGATCTCAATTGGCTTTATTCTCGATTCTAGAATTGGGCCAGACATCATTCCATAAAATAGAATAAGTGTTCCAATAAGCCGAGGAGCAGAGGCTGGCTTTATATACAGAGAAGGGCTAAAGAACGTAGAAGCACAGAACAGACAGCATATTAGTCATTTCAAAGCTACTCTTCTTGTAAGTTGGGGACAGAGAGGCCAACGATAGAAAAATAACTAATTAGTTAACATGAGGTTATTTCAGCCTACCTTTTTTGTAGAGAAGCAAGGACTAAAGTAGAAGGAACTTCATTATTATACCCACGGAAGATTTAAACTGGCCTCTTTGGGAAATTAGCTGTTATTCTCTTCTGATCTCTTACAAGGTTGGGTAACGACTTAGTCTAGGTTTGGTGACATGGAACTTTAGCATGGGTGACTCCATTTTGATTTTTAGTCTGGTCCATTGGGACATAGTACAAGAACTTAGTCCAAAACAATGGCCTCCTGTAATTTTTATTTGACAGTTTTCCCTTTTGGTCAGGTTGTTATGTAGGTGAGAGTGTAACCAAAACTTAGGTCATCAGTACTATCAGTTGCCATCATTCTGAGTTTCTAGTCTCAGCATGTGTTTATAGCTTATTGTGTCCTCCCCATTATTATAAGTTTGTTTGAGTTTTTGTTGTTCCAGCTAAAGACATACCATTTGATGCTTGACAGATGGCTCTCTGGAAACATTTAAAACTTTTTGAGAAGATACAGTACACCAGGGAGACTACTGTTGTGATTAGCAGGTGGAAAACATGAAGAGTTTGGAGCTTTCTCCTTAGCCAGGATTCCCATGAGCCAAACCAACTAAAATCAAATAACTAGATGAGGAGTCTACATGTTTTAACAAAGTAATCTGCTCTACAATACCCAATGTATTTATGTGCAACAAGAAATATCAGTTGCACAGATGGATCCCTGTTTAATTAATTGATATCTAGCCTCCCATGACTATCTTAAATTAAAGCAGAGGTCAGGTGCAGTGGCTCACGCCTGTAATCCCAACACTTTGGGAGTCTGAGGGAGGTGAATTGCTGAGGTCACGAGTTTTTGAGACCAGCCTAACCAACATGGTGAAACTCCATCTCTATTAAAATACAAAATTTAGCTGGGCGTGGTGGTAGGCACCTGTAATCCCAGCTACTAGAGAGGCTGAGGCAGGAGAATTGCTTGAACCCAGGAGGCAGAGGTTGCAGTGAGCCGAGATTGTGCCACTGTACTCCAGGCTGGGCGACAGAGCGAGACTCGTCTCAAAAAAAAAAAAAAAAAAAAGGAAAGAAAGAAAGATAAATTGCACAGATTGCTCCTTGTTTAGTTGGTAATCTAGTATCCCATGACTATCTTAAATTAAAGCAGAGGCCAGGCATGGTGACTCACGCTTGTAATCCCAGCACTTTGGGAGGCCAAGGTGGGTGGATCATTTGAGGTCAGGAGTTTGAGACCAGCCTGGCCAAAATGGTGAAACCCTGACTCTCCTAAAAATAGAAAAATTAGCTGGGTGTGGTGGTACGTGCCTATAATCCCAGCTACTTGTGAGGCTGAGACAGGGTTATTGCTTGAACCCGGGAGGCAGAGGTTGCAGTGAGCCGAGATCACACCACCGCACTCTAGCCTGGGCAATGGGAGTGAAACTCCATCTCTAAGTAAATAAATAAATAAAAGCCGGCAGTCCCAAATTACTTCTAGGAATTACTGATTGTGAAACTGTATAGCATTATCTAGTCAAGGGAAAGAAGTAGGCATAAATAAGGAATAATTAAGAGGAGTAAGAGTCTTCTTATGATGGGGAGTCTTATTCCAATGGTCTTGGGAAAAGTTGTCCCCAGCATGAAGTCAACAACTTCTCATCCTGATTTGCAGTTTGATTGTCTCTGGTGTGACATCAGGCATTCTGGTGAATTCTCTATGTGGCACATGTATCAGGTATGAGATATCTCCCTTGAAATTTACATCGAGTTGTCCAGCTTTTGCTTATAGGGCTTGAGAAACAGCCGTTTTTGTTATTTGAGAGTCTTAGCCAGATATTAGAGAAAACTAGAAGAATTCAGAATCCAGTCTAGTCTACTAGTGAAAAAAGGAGAAAAAGAAAAAAGAAAAGCAAAAACAATGAGCCAGGCTACAATCTAATAACAAGGCCACTATAACTTTTTTTAACGTAATTTTTTTCTCTACATTCACCCTCATTTCTACAAAAGATAATCACAGACCAATTTGCCTGATTATTTATAAAAGTGCAGCAAGAATAACTACATAGCCGTCTTTTAAATTTGCTTTGCTGCAAACTTTGACAAGGAATCTCAGATTAGAATTTTAGAAACCTCTCAATGTTAGGAAGCCAAATGAAGGCACACATCAGACTTTGCCTGCTGTATCTAGTACCTTGAGGTTCATGGGCCTGCCAGGAAGTGACAACCTTTACTCATTCACTATAAAGCTGAGAATCCTTGAAGCTAGGCATTCTTGTTTTTTTGAGATGGTGTCTTACTCTGTCACCCAGGCTAGAGGGCAGTGACGCAGTCTTGGCCCGCTGCAACCTCCGCCTCCTGGGTTCAAGCAATTGTCCTGCCTCAGCCTCCTGAGTAGTTGGTATTACAGGCTCATGCCACCACACTCGGCCAATTTATTGTATTTTTAGTAGAGACAGGGTTTCACCATGTTGGCCAGGCTGGTCTTGAACTCCTGACCTCAGATGATCCACCCGCCTTGGCCTCCAAAGTGCTGGGATTACAGGCGTGAGCCACCATGCCCAGGTGAAGCTAGGCATTCTAAGAACATTTTCAAATATGGTATTCCTGTCAGAGCCTTGATAATATAACCACTGTTTCCAATTGTATCCTGTTAAAGAGAACAGATTCTTTGTTGAACTTATGCAGACAACCAAATTGCCGTAAAAATAACAGTACTAACAAATAGTTTCCAAATTCTGGAGATATCATCAGGTAGAAAGAAAAAGCAAATGTTTCTGTTTTTATTCATAAAAGTATGCTTTACCAAATTGCTGTAAGCTATAGATAGCTTTTAAAAAAAGAAGTTTCCTTAAATCTGTAAAACAAAATATTAAAAAAAACAGCAATGTTTCAAATAAAGAAGCCATGAAAACCCATAGTTTTTATTTATCAGTTCAATCAGTCTCATGTAATTAATTCGTGCTCTGTTTGATCTTGGTTAGCAGTTTTACAAACCCATCAAATTTGTCAACCAAAAAGTATCTGAGACAAGTCTTAATCAATTTAGGAGTTTATTTTGCCAAGGTTAAAGACATGCCACAGCATCAGGAGGTCCTGAGATGTGCCGAAGGTGGTTGAATTACAGCTGATTTTATGCATTTTAGGGGGACAGAAGTTACAGGCAGACATCAATGAATACACGTAAGATGTATATTGGTTCAGTACAGAAAAGCAGGACAGCTTGAAGGTGGGGGGTGGGAAGGACTTCCAGCTCATAGGTGGAGTCGATTTTCTGATTGGTAATTGGTTAAGTTATTGTCTGAAGACCTGGAATCAATAGAAAGGAATTTCTGGGTTGAAATAAGGGGTTGTGGAGGCCAAGGTTCTGACACAGATGAAACCTCCAGCTAGCAGGCTTCACAGAGAATAGATGGTAAATATTTCTTATCAGACTTAAAAAGGTGCCAGACTCTTAATCTCTCCTGGATCAGGAAAAGACCTGGAAAGGGAAGGGGATTCTCCACAGAATGTAGATTTATGAGACAACTTTGCAGGGCCATTTTTAAATACATCAAAGAAATATATTTCAGAGTAAAATACTTCAATTTATTTCAATGTCTGCTGTCATGTGATGTATCTTATTGGTACAAAGAGTCTGTTTGGTCAGTCTTAAGATCTCTGTTTTAATGTTCATGCTGGTCAGTTGTGCCTGAATTCTAGAAGGAGGGTGTAATGAGGCATTCTGACCCCACCCCCATTCCCATCATGGCCTAAACTAGTTTTTCAGGTTTACTTTGGAAAGCCCTTGGCCTATTGAATGGGTGTCCATTCAATTGGCTGGAGGGCTTAGAATTTTATTTTTGGTTTACAGTTTCTTCATTAAACTTTTGGAAATTTTGTCCAATGGTATAAACTAAAAGTTATGTCAGAGTTTGTTTTTTTTGTTTGTTTTTTGAGACAGAGTCTCACTCTGTTGCCCAGACTGGAGTGCAGTTGCACGATCTTGGCTCACTGCAACCTCTGCCTCCTGGGTTCAAGCAATTCTCCTTCCTCAGCCTCCTGAGTAGCTGGGATTACAGGCACGCAACCCCACACCCGGCTAATTTTTGTATTTTTGGTAGAAACAGGGTTTCGCCTTGTTGGCCAGCCTGGTCTCGACTCCTAACCTCAAGTGATCCGCTCGCCTCTGCCTCCCAAAGTGCTGGGATTACAGGCGTGAGCCACTGCACCCGGCCTTCTTTTCATTCTTCTGATATAGCTTTTTGGAGACACAGCACTTTAGGATTATAATTGCTTGCAGAAAGCTTTCATAAAAGGCATTAGAACCAAAACAATTAACTGTGGACAACATGACTTAAAATGGCCATGGTTAAAACCTGATGAGAGTTCATTAAAATAATGATGAAATTGACAAGGAAATTTGGTTATTTTTCAACCAAAATTATGACTGATAGCATTTATACCAATACATACCAGATTTATAGGAACTTTTTTTATCACAGGGTGGGTGGGAAGCCTGATTTTAGGGGCTTTCCTAGAAATTTTTTTTAGCAGTCCTTTTTCCAATGTCCTGGTTATTTGCACAAGTGGTGGTACTTCCTATTCGCCTACGCAATTCTTCGATCCATTCCCAACAAACTAGGAGGCGTTCTAGCCCTCCTACTAGTGAATTTTTGGAAACTGCTGTTTTAGGGATTGCTTATTTGGGGAAGCACCCTAGGACAGGCCCAAATGTCATTCTAGGTTGCTGGTTGTCATGGAGCTGAAATACTTGGGGAATGGCTTTTCAAACTGTAATTTGCAGTCTTTTGGGTTTTGCCTGACCCATAAGTAGATCGGACGGGACTTGTTGGGTACTTGATAGAATTCTCAGGAGACTATCATTCTGCCTCTTTCATCCATGTGGGGCTCCCTAGAGTACACCAACACATATACTAGTTGGTACAGATCAAGTATACTGGGGTTATAAATTACCAGTAAGGCCAAGCACGGTGGCTCATGCCTATAATTCCCGCACTTTAGGAGGCCGAGGTGGGTGGATCACCTGAGGTCAGGAGTTTGAGAACCAGCCTGGCCAACATGGTAAAACCACGTCTCTACTAAAACTACAAAAAAATTAGCCTGGCGTGGTGGTGGGTGCCTGTAATCCCAGCTACTTGGGAGGCTGAGGCAGGAGAATAGCTTGAACCCAGGAGACGAAGGTTGTGGTGAGCCAAGATTGCGCCCTTGCACTCCAGCCTGGGCAACAAGAGTGAAACTCCGTCTAAAAAAAATAAAAATTTTTAAATAATAAGTTACTAGTAAGACCCTGAATTCTTCAGAAAACTTGTGAAATTTTTCTCTAGGTTTAGGAAAATCTTGAACTGTGGCCCTGAAGTCCATTTTTGTCCAGGGAGTGCAAGTCGCTTGGGGATTATCTCCTGATTTTTCAGACGATTCTCTTATAAGGAAACTGTTTAACTGCTTTTTTCAGGGAAGAAAGGCAATTCAGACAAAGCAGACTGAATATTTAGTAGTAGATTGTAAATATTCAGGCAAAGAAAGAGAGAGAGAGGCAGTAGGAGTTACATCAGTTTTACCATCCTTGGTAAGGGAATATCTTCCATTTCCAGCTTTTCATTAGCTCTTTACAGTGAATCTTTTTAAAAGGTGATTTTAGAGGACTGTCTCTTTGAGGCTTCTGAATGCCAATAAGAATTTTGTTCTCTCTGCATAATTTGGGAGGCTCGGGGTTCGAGTGCACTTCTTAGATGAATAGTCTTTTTCATGTGGAACATTCCATGTAATGGCATCATAATTCTGAATTATCTTTTGTAAGATTTTGCCATTTGTAAATATTTGTAGCTTCCAGAACCAGAAACCTTATACACAAAAAAGGCAGACTGGCCAGAAGGGAGGGTACTCAGATCTTTAGAAATTAAAGAAACCATTTTATGTTGGATATTGGGTCTTCCAAAGCCAAAATGGCTTTGGCTTTGAGATCGCCTTGACCAACTTAGCTAATGACATTTCAGTTTCTTTTTTGTCTGACCCAGTCAGATGCCTGAGGCCTCCCTCATCTAAACATGTAAGAAAAAAAGAACACACATACCTATGAATTCCAAAAGCCAGAGTTCATGTCCCCCTCCACCTCATGGTAATAACCACTTACTGTGACTGCCGTTGGTTACCTTTACTACTGCAGCCCTTTATGGTAGCCACAGAGAGTGTAACGCACATTTCCCTCTGGTCATATGCTGGTCACCAATGGGATGCAACCCGTATTTCTGTCCAGCCACATTCTTCAGGGCTTGACCCAAGCCTTTTATGGCATCATGCATGAGATATCACCAGAGTGGGAGCCGAAACAATGTAGTCATTGCCAGTGACTTGTCAGCCACTATGAACCCAGAAGTCATGTGCCCTGCCACAGTACAAACTAACCCTAGGTACCCCAAAGTCAAATGTCCTCTCATAGCACAAACTAATCTTGATACCCCCAAAGCCAAAGATATCAGCGAGCTTAAATACTTAAAGAGAGCAGAGCTCAGATCTGAGGGGGACTTAACCCTCAGGGCTACATGAAGGAGATAGTACCCCCCACCCCCAGAAAAGAAGGTTAGCATCACCTTTTCCTGTGTTCCTCAAGGAGTCTCAGGTCAGCTGTCTCCAGGTCCTTTTGTGGTCATCTGTCAAGAGACAAAATTACAACAAATGTAAAGATCTCAATTGTCTTTATTTATGATTCTAGACTTGGGCAACACTTGCCGCTTCCACATTTTCAGGTATTATAGCAACAGCCACACTGCCAGTACAATTTTCCGTCTTACTCTGTTTTCCAAGGCTGTAATAGAATACCAGAGAATGGGTAATTTATAAGCAATAAAAGTTTATTTGACTTATGGTTCTAGAGGGTGGGAAATTCAAGATCAAAGGGCCAAATCTGGTGAGGGTCTTCTTGCTGTGTCATAACATGGCAAAAGGTATCACATGGCAAAGGAGAGTGTGAGATGGAGAAAAGAAATGGAGCTGAACTCACCCTTTTATCAGGAGCTCACTCCGAGATTACTAACCTATTTCCACAATAGCTGCATAAGCCTGTTCATCAGGGCACAGTCCTAATGACCTGATCACTTCTTCAGTCACCTCTTCAAGGTTCCCCCTGTTAATACTGGCACGATGGCAATTAAACTTCCTTCTTTTTTATGTATTTATTTTAAAATGACAGATAACATTGTGTATTTTTGTCATGTACAGTATGATGTGTTGGAGTATATATACATTGTGGAATGGTTAACTAGCTAATTAACAAATGCATTACCTCACAGAGTTATCATTTTTGTGGTGAGAGCATATCACATTCACTCTTTTTACATTTTTCAAGAATATACTATATCATCATTAACTATAGTCACCTTGCTGTACAATTAGGTCTCTTGAAATTTATTGCTCTTGCCTAACTGTAAGTATGTATCTTTTGACTAACATTTCCCCAACCTCCTTCTCCCTAGCCACCCCAGCCTTTGGTAACCACCATTATACTCTCTATTTCTGTGAGACCACCTTTTTTAGATTCCATATGTAAGTGTGATCATGCATTATTTATCTCTCTGTGCCTGCCTTATTTCACCTAGCATAATGTTCTCTAGGTTCATCCATGTAGTTGAAATGACAGGATGTCCTCCTTTTTATGGTTGAATAGTATTTCATTGTTTATGTATGTATGTGTATGTGTAACACATATTTGTGTGTGTAACACATACACACATATATATATACACACACATCCACAGTTTTGTTTTTTTTTTTCTGAGACGGAGTCTCACTCTGTCGCCCAGGCTGGAGTGCAGTGGCGTGATCTCGGTTCACTGCAAGCTCCGCCTCCCGGGTTCACGCCATTCTCCTGCCTCAGCCTTCTGAGTAGCTGGGACTACAGGCACCAGCCACCATGCCTGGCTAATATTTTTGTATTTTTAGTGGAGACAGAGTTTCACTGTGTTAGCCAGGATGGTCTCGATCTCCTGACCTCGTGATGCGCCCACCTTGGCCTCCCAAAGTGCTGGGATTACAGGCGTGAGCCACCACGCCCAGCCCACATTTTTTTTAATTCATTCATCTGTTGGTAAACACCCAAATTGATTCCATACCTTGGCTATTGTGAATAAGGCTGCTATAAACGTTGGAGTGCAGATACCTCTTTGACATACTGATTTTATTTCCTTTGGACACATAACCAGTAGTGGGATTGCTGGATCATATGGTAGTTCCATTTTTAATTTTAAAAGAATTATTGAGGCCTGGCACAGTGGCTCATGCCTGTAATCCCAGCACTTTGAGAGGCCGAGGTAGGCGGATCATTTGAGGTCAGAAGTTTGAGACCAGCCTGGCCAAGATGGTTAAACCCCATCTCTACTGGAAATACAAAATTAGCTGGGCATGGTGGCACATGCCTGTAATCCCAGCTGCTCGGAAGGCTGAGGCAAGAGAATCGCTTGAACCCAGGAGATAGAGGTTGCAGTAAGCCGAGATCATGCCACTGTACTCTAGCCTGGATGAAAGAGTGAGACTCTGTCTCCAAACAAACAAACAAACAAACAAATATACATACGGTTTTTGGAGGGGTTGGGGCAGGCACAGAGGCTCATGCCTGTAATTCCAGCACTTGGGAGGTTGAGGCATGTGGATCACTTGAGTTCAGTAGTTTGAGACCAGCCTGGGCAGCATGGTGAAACTCTGTCTCTATAAAAAAAAAAAATACAAAAATTAGCTAGGCATGATGGCCTGCATGTGTAGTCACAGCTACTTGGGAGGCTGAGGTAGGAGGCTGGCTTGAACCCAGTAGGTGGAGGTTGCAGTGAGCCGAGATCATGCCACTGCATTCCAGCCAGATCAGTGGTGAATTCTGATATTTTAGTGCACCTGTCACCCGGGTAGTGTACTACACAAGTGTGTACTTATACCCAGTGTACCCAATGTAGTTTTTTTTTCCCTCACCCCTCTCCCAGCCTCCATCTTCTTAATCTCCAGAGTCCATTATGTCACTCTGTATGTTTTGGTGTCCTCATAGCTTAGCTCCCACTTATAAGTGAGAACATATGGTATTTGATTTTCCATTCCTGAGTTACTTCACTTAGAATAATGGCCTCCAGCTCCATCCAGGTTGCTGCAGAAGACACTATTTCATTCCTTTTTATGGCTGAGTAGTATTCCATGGTGTATAGATACCACATTTTCTTTATTCACTCATTGATCAGTGGACACTTAGGTTGTGAATTCTCCAGCTCATATTTTCAGTTTTTTGAGGACTCTTCATTTTGTTTTCCATAATACCTGTACTAATTTACATTCCACCAATAGTGTATAAGGGTTCTGCTTTCTCCACATCCTCACCAACACTTGTTATTGTTTGTCTTTTTGATAATAGCCTCTCTCAGTGGGGTGAGCTAGTATCTCACTGTGGTTTTGATTTGCATTTCCCTGATTAGTGATGTTGAGAATTTTTTCATATACCTGTTGGCCATTTGTATGTCTTCTTTTGAGAAGTGTCTATTCAGGTCATTTCAATGGCTGTTAAATTTCAACATGAGTTTTGGAGGGGACATTCAAACCACAGCATCAAACTTTAATCTCTCTTAGATCTATTAATATTTTTTCCTCTCAATCAGGGCACTCACTCCCCAGGTTGCCTTAGATGTTGTTTTCCTATTACTTTAATGTATTTACATTTGAAATCCCCAGTCCTCAATACAGTTGGAGATCCAGGCATGTAGCAAAAAAAATGGTATTTCTTGGAGACTTGAGAAGAACACAGATAAGACTAGCAAAGGAACTGTTGAATACCATCAGTGCCACCAGATTCACCCACTAGATGCTTCTTTTTAATAAACTTAAAACATTTGTAGTAAGAAAATTCTATTAGTATTTATTTCCTGCATTTTAATCTCTTCAAGGACTATGTTTTATTTGTCTCAGTCTCTTCAGATAATAATGTTGGTGGTTAAAAAACCGAAAGCATTAGTTTGTATTTTTAAAATATAAAATTAAAACACTTGATGAATATGTAGCTTGAGCAGTCTGTCAAAGCCATGACTCTGAGAACCAAACCCAATTCTAAAAATGTTTATCTGATATTATCACAATATATTTTAAAACTGGAGCCATCTGCCTTCCAAAGTTTATCTCCGCTGCACCTGCGCTCAAAAATACTTCTGCCTACACACAGGAACTATTGTTTAAAGATTTTGCTGTTGATTCAGCATGGAGGCTCTCCAGGAATTATTCACACTTTAAAATTTATTTTAAAAAATAATTACTGCGTACTATAAAAAACAAAACAGAAAACCCCCCAAATTCTACAAAGACATGCAGGAAAATTATCTTTTCCCACCTCTATCTGTAGTCCCTCTTACCAGAAATAACCGCTATTACAAGTTTCTTGTGGATCTGTCCAAGGATAGTCTCTGAATACACACATGCATGTGTGATACACATGCACACACGCAAAGCCTCCTTTTTCCACACATATGGCAACATATTGTATATGCTTTTCTACACCTGTTTTGTTTTCATTTTACTTAATGTATCTAAGGAGAGTTTTTTGGTATCAGTATATCTGCACTATTCTTTTGGCTCATACTATTACATTATGTGAATGTTTCATCATTTAACCAGTTTCTTACTGATGAATAGGTTTGCAATCTTTCTACTATAAACAGTACCACTAAGAACATCCCTTTATGTCTGTCTTTGTGCATGAGTGCACTTCTATAGGACAAACTTCTAGAATTGGAATTATGGGGTCAGAATGGTAGTGTGTTTTTAATTTTATTTGTTATTGTTCAGTGGCCCTACAAAGAATTACCAGTTTGCATTTTATTAGTGTATAAAAGTGCAGTTTTCTAACACCCTTGCCAACAGTTTTATCAGATCTTTTGCCAATCTGATAGTTGAAAAATGACGTTTTACTGTGGTTTTAACTTGCCTTGCTCTTGTTACGATCCAGCATCATTTTGTCCAGGAAAGAACACTAGCTCAGGACTGCCAGGCAGACAGATTTGGACCCCACTTGTTGGCCATCATTGTCATCTGTATTTTTTTATTTTTTATTTTTTTCTTTGGAGACAGCATCTCGCTTTGTTGCCAATAGGCGCTGGAGTCCAGTGGTGAGATCATGGCTCAATGCAGCCTTGATCTCCGAGGCTCAAGTGATCCTCCTACCTCAGCCTCCCAAGTTACTGGGACTAACAGGCACATGCCACCACACCCAGCTAATTTTTATTTTTTGTAGAGTCAGAGTCTCACTGTGTTGGTCAGGCTGGTCTCAAACTCCTGGGCTCAAGTGATACTCCCTTAGCCACCCCACCCAGCCTTAAATTATATGTTTATCTAACAAATCCATTCCTTTTTCCCTCACCCATCTCATTTTTTTTTCCTAGTTTGCCACTACATCTTTTAAATATTTCCTGTCTATTCCTTTTGTCAGTGCTTCTCAACAGCCAGAGACATTAACATTTGGAGTTCTGTCTGTCTGGGCAGGTTATTTCACAAAAGGTTCTCTATGAATTATTGGCTTATTTCCTTGATTGTACCTGAAAATTATTTCCACTCAACAACCCAGTAGACTGCCAACTCTGTAACGATGTCTTTTCACTGCTATTACTCCAGCCCCTAGAATAGTACCTGACACACAATAGTCATGCAATAACTTTCTTTTTTCTTTAGTATATAAATATTTTTTATTATATACAATAACATAAACTATGCATAACATAAAATTTACCATTTTAGCTAGCCATTTTTAAGTGTACAGTTCAGTGGCATTAAATGCATTTACATTTCAATAATTTTCTTTTGAATAAACAAATGAACAGTGATACTGGTTATTTGTACTTGAAAGTTACCAAGAGCCAGATGGTAACATTGCCCTTCTTTCCTGCAGACGAAGTTATACGGAAGCGTCTCCTCATTGATGGAGATGGTGCTGGAGATGATCGGAGAATTAATCTGCTAGTGAAGAGTTTCATTAAATGGTGCAACTCTGGGTCCCAGGAAGAGGGGTATTTCATTTTCACTGTTGTTTCCATACCAGTGTCCTAATGTGATTTTAGGCCCTATATTAAGGTCCTGTGAGTAGATCAAATTTTCACTCACCTTAAATGTACAGTGGAGTCAACTCTTAATTAACCAAGAGTAGATTTTCTTGGCCTTTTCTTCTCTTCAAAGGCCTCTCATATGTTTATTAAAACATGGAGAAGGCAGATTGGTAAGGAGAAATGAAGATTAAATTCAGACTCATTAGTTTGGTTACTTTTAGGACATAAGTGTTTAGTAAGATAAAATATCTAAATGGAATTTTCTCCTTTGCTAATAAAAGGCTGCTGCTATGTATGTATATATTAAGTTGGTGCAAAATTAATCGTGATTTCTGCCATTAACTTTAATGGCAGAAATGGCAGAAACCACGATTACTTTTGTACCAACCTGATACACACGCACACACGTATATCTAATCTTTTTTTTTGTGAGACAGAGTCTCATTCTGTTGTTCAGGCTGGAGTGCAATGGCACAATCTTGGCTCACTGCAACCTCCGCCCCCCAGGTTCAAGCAGTACTCGTGCCTCAACCTCCTGAGTAGCTGGGATTATAGGCATGCAACACCATGACTGACTAATTTTTGTATTTTAGTAGAGATGGGGTTTCACCATGTTGGCCAGGCTGGTGTCAAACTTCTAGCATTAAGTGATCTGCCCACCTTGGCTTCCCAAAATTCCAGAATTACAGGCATGAGCTACCACGCCTAACTATATTTATTTATTTTTTAACATAGCAAACTTTTTCTCATTTGAATTTGCTTTCCATATAAATAATTTTATAGAGTGAAAAAATTGTGGGAACAGAATTGTGAAGTTAAAAAAACATCTTAAAGTATTTCTAAAGTCTTTTAAACAAAATTCAAATAATTGTTTGAATAAAATGTGCATTGATAAGAACAACAATCCCACCTTTGCATTTGTAACTAAAGTAGTTAAATTCAAGAATACTACATTTGATAAAAAGAAAACTTAAGGGACAGATATTCTAAATTTTAAATAAGCAAATGATTCTCTCAGAACTTGCTATAATTTAATTAGCAAATATTTGTCTGCATTATAACAGTTCACTTTTGTCAGTCCACAAATATCTTTATTTTGGTTTTCTTTCTTTTTCATTAGATATAGCCAGTACCAACGTATGCTGAGCACGCTGTCTCAATGTGAATTTTCAATGGGCAAAACTTTACTAGTATATGATATGAATCTCAGAGAAATGGAAAATTATGAAAAAATTTACAAGGAAATAGGTAAAGAATCTTAATGTTTCTATCTGTAATTTTATTTTTTATGGTCTAAAGGAAACAATACCTGCTAACAATTTTCTTTGGTGGTAAAAGAATAATAACAATTACTGTATTAATGGAAAGAATACAGTAAATGTTAGCTATAAAAAATGTGTATTCTAAGATGATATAGTACTTTGGGTTACAGCTATTTTTTAAAAATACTAGTGTCTATTTTGTTACCAATAGAGGTTAATTTATAAATGCGTTTTAAAATTAAAAATGGATTATTGATTTTGTTACAACTATCTTTTAAAAAACCTTCTCATATAGAATGTAGCATAGCTGGAGCACATGAAAAAATTGCTGAGTGCAAAAAGCAAATTCTTCAAGCAAAACGAATACGAAAAAATCGCCAAGGTAAGGGTTTTGAGGGATTTAATGTGCAAATACATTATTACTGACTACAGTTTTCATGCAGTTTTTAATGTTGTGAGGTAAAATCTGCAGCCTGAATCAACCTGGATTAAAAAAAATCCAAATTTTAATTCCTTAAAACTATATTATTCTTTAAAATAGAGAAGGAAGTCTGTGTTGAGAAGAATGTTTTTGCTGGATTACATTGATTATCCAAGTATTTCTTTTCTGTTTTTCTCTTTTTTTTTCTTATCCCAGTATTTCTTAAGTATTAAATTTTTACCATCTTGGACCCTTTTGCCTAAATAATGTTATGGTTAATCAGCAGAGGCAATTTACATAAATATACTAGATTTATGGTTTGGGTTTTTTGTTTGTTTGTTTAATAGAGCTACTTTCCAAAAAATGAAATGGAAAAGAATTTAAACTCTGAGTTTTCATTAAGTACAAAGCAAGCAAACATTTCTAGACTGCCTAGAATATCTAATAAGAAGGTTAAAGTTGAGTTTTGTTATAATCTCTTGTTTTTAAGTTAGAGTATACCCTTATGTAGTTCCTAAATACTATTTCAAGATAATTTTTAATGTTAGAGGCACTGCTCTTCTTATAATGTAAATTGAAGAAAAGTAAAAATAAAAAATATAATGTGTAATCACAACTGTTACATTGATATGAAAAACTAGAAGAAAATAGAAAATGTTAATGGTTATTTTGAAGTTGTGGGTTTTTATGGCTTAGGTTCTTTTCTCTGTTTTTGTGTTGTTTTGTTTTGTTTTACATAGGGCATGTATTATTTTGTAATTCAAAAAATTTGTATCCAAAAGAATCATACTTTGAATTAATATGCTCAGTTCTAAAACAATGAATTTTCACTTTTTAATGAACTAATTAAGATGAAGCTTAATTTCCTCTTTTTACAAGTTTTTTTTTTCAGTTTAAAATGTGTATGGTGAAGTTTTGGTGCCTTATTTACAGTAACATATACCAACTTAGTATCAGTTCTAAAGTCATCTAAAAATATTTTGCAGTGTTTTCGTTGGTTAATGAGGCTTTTAAGTAAATCCTGCCACTCATCACTTCATAAGAAAGCTTAACAGGAGTTACATGACTTATCTTGGAGGTCTCAGTGGAGCAGAAAATAGAACCTGAATTTTAAGTTATTTGCAAGTTTCTGAAATCTTAACTTTTGGAATGAGTGAGAAGTGTAATTTGCTGTTGACTAACAACTCAGATTAATGGTAGGATATATTCACTGATTGTATTTTATTTTATTTTACTTTTTGGACAACTAGTGAGTAAGATCCTTCTCAGAATCAGTCTATTTGATAATCAATAATAACTTAAATTTGCTTATGCTTATGCTGACCTCTTACGTTCTGTCCAGGACATATAAATGGAAAAAAAGTGGGAGCTAAAACCCCTGTTTGGAACACTTTTGATGTTATGTATCGTTATAATTATAACTCAGTTAACTAAAACTGGCAATACTCATCTTTCAGTGATTTCATTTCTTGATGTACTAGGAAAGTGATTAGGAGAGGTTTGTGATATTACACATTTTGTTTTGATAATTCACATTCAAAAAATCCTTAGTTTGATAAATATTTTTATGTCTTACAGAATATGATGCTTTGGCAAAAGTGATTCAGCACCATCCAGACAGGCATGAGACATTAAAGTAAGTGTAGAGCTTTACTTTGAAAGGAACTAACCTTTATACATAAATGCTCGAAAACTACCGTAGGCATTTCATTTTTGCAGAAATAAATATGTTTCAAAAGGAGGGGTCAGATATTCAATATTATATTTTCCCATACTTCTCTGTTAGATTTTATTTTCCTCTAACCTTACCAGCTATATGTCTAAAATAAATGCATATAATATGCATCAATATCACAATGGATAAATAGAATATGGTCTTCATATATTAAAATATTGAATTTCAGTTAAAAAGAATAAACTAGTTATGCCCTTTTAAAACACAGCTCTCAAAACATAATCAGTGAAAAGACACATAATAAACTTTAAATTATATTTAAATTCCTGAAACACATACAGAATAATAACCATTTATAAAAGTTAGAACCCCCTTTCAAATATTATATACCAATACTGTGTATTATTCAGGGATACAAGTATATGCATAAAAAAGAATAAGAATGATATAGTAGTTGCCTGAGTGGGAGGTAGAGGAGATAAAAAGGCCCAGGATAGAGGACTAGGCGTAAGATTCAAAGGGTATTTCGAGTTAATTGGCAATGTTTTATTTCTTTTACCAAAATAAAAAACCCTCGAAGTTAAACTTCACAATATGTATCATTTCTTGGGTCTTGTTATTCTGTTATCTGTATTTTTCTGTACTTTAAAAATGGATCCAAAAATGTAATTTTAATGAAAGTGAGTCCATATTTAGAAGTTAAGAAGAAATCATCCTCAGCTTTAAAAGTTTCACCATAATGGAGTGTTATAACTCCTTATAAGCCCTTTTTTTATTTTAAAAATCCTATCTAGTAACTTAAAAGTTAGGCATTAATTGTAAACTCTTCTCCCCCATTCAGCAAAATGTAACACTGTTTTATTATTTCCAGGGAACTAGAGGCTCTGGGAAAAGAATTAGAGCATCTTTCACACATTAAAGAAAGTGTTGAAGATAAGGTATTCGCATATATATTTAGCCTTCATGATCTGTCTATCTGTCTGTCTATATATCTATATATACAGGTCATTTGTATAAATTTTTTTCTTGTTAACACAGCTGGAATTGAGACGGAAACAGTTTCATGTTCTTCTTAGTACCATCCATGAACTTCAGCAAACATTGGAAAGTAAGTAGAAATAGTCTCAAAGTAAATGCTTATGAAGATTTTTTAAATGACCCAGGGATGTACCTTTTGAAATATACATCTTGGAGAGACAGTATACCTTCAATTTCTGAACAGTGTAGCTGGATGACGTTAGAAGGTACTCATGTTCAACTTTCTTGAATACATGTAGAAAAGTCTTAATTTGTAGTAATATAGGATTTAAACATATACATAGTGGTTTAAATTAAGAAAAATTCAAGGATGATAGATTTGGAATCTTTCTTGGTTCACTGTAGTTGACTACTATAATATAACAACTCAGGACCCAGGCAGGCAATAATAAGAAATCAGTACATACGAACATTTGCATACCCACTGAGTAGTGGGTGCTTTGGGGAACTGGAGACTTGCTCTTTATATTCACTATAGGCAAGTGGAAATTTTTGTGTTACCTGATCTTCTGATTGTTTTAAAGAATAGCCTAAGACCCATTTTTTCTTTTCTTTTTTTTTTTTTTAAGACAGTCTTGCTCTGTCACCCAGGCTGGAGTGCAGTGGCACAATCTTGGCTCACTGCAATCCTCACCTTGCAGGCTCAAGTGATTCTCCTGCCTCAGCCTCCCTAGTAGCTGGAATTACAGGTGCATGCCACCACACCCAGCTAATTTTAGTATTTTTAGTAGAGACGGGGTTTTACCATGTAGGCCAGGCTGGTCTTGAATTCCTGACCTCAGGTGATCCACCTGCCTTGGCCTCCCAAAGTGCTGGGATTATAGGCATGAGCCACCAGACCCTGCCTGGATTTTTTTTTTTTTAAGTGAAGTCTATCACATAAATTTTAAAGTTTGATTCAACTAGTAGCCATCTTAGCTTTAATTGTATTGGCTAATAAAGGATAAACATGTTTTCATGTGTTCATCGAATATAAAATATAGGCAAACTTGACTAAGGTTTTATGTTTCCTTCTCAATTACAGATGATGAAAAACTCTCAGAGGTAGAAGAAGCTCAGGAAGCAAGCATGGAAACAGATCCTAAGCCATAGACAGGCTAATTGCCCACCACTCCCAGGAATATTGAAATAGCTACATGACCATAATGTGTTTAAAATGTGGTATGCTCTTGAGATATTTAAAGTTTTGGCAGTAAAATACTCTGTTTTTAAGTATGAATGTATTTCATTCATATTTCCTCTCACAAAGGAAAATGACTTCAGTATAGATTTGTTTTTATTAAAATGCATTTTTTATTCTTAAGTGGTAGGAAGCAACATCCAAAAATGCTTAATAAAATGCTTTTAAGCTGCATATGTTTGTGCTCATTAATATTCTAGGTAGTTTTTAACTGGTAACATTGATTGGCTTACAAAATAAGTTGAAAATTGTTAGAAGTTGGCATTTCTAGGATGTACATGGGAAAATGAGCCAATTTCTGGAAATGGTTACACTTCTGAAAACGGAGTCTATGAAGAGGCTTTAGGAGGACCATGAACCTGTGAAATTACATGCAAAATGTTAGTGGTGTATGCTTATTGTGGAGAGAGGTTCCAGGCTGTTAAAATTCGCTGGTATGGGACGTTAATTATAAGATGCAAAGTAAAATAGTGCACATTACTTTATATATCTCTCCTTAATATGAGAGGAATATGGTTCTCAAATGTTTTGTTGATCTGTTTTCTCTACTGTTTTGTTCTTTAGGAATCATTTTCAATAGAAAAAGATGTATTGATAAAGTGAAGAGTGTTTGAAGTAAATAGTTTGTTAAGATTGTTTTGCGTAGGCCAGGCATGGTGGCTCACACCTTTAATCCCAGCACTTTGGAAGGCCGAGGCGGGCAGATCACCTGAGGTCAGGAGTTCGAGACCAGCCTGACCAACATGGAGAAACCCCATCTCTACTAAAAAAAATACAAAATTAGCCAGGTGTGGTGGCACATGCCTATAATCCCAGCTACTCAGGAGGCTGAGGCAGGAGAATCACTTGAACCCAGGAGGCGAAGGTTGTGGTGAGCCAAGATTGCACCATTGCACTCCAGCCTGGGCAACAAGAGTGAAACTCTGTCTAAAAAAAAAAAAAAAAAGATTGTCTTGCATAAAGAATTTATAATCTTTTTAAAAATTAAGCTAAGGCGGAATCACTTGTAATTTTCTTAAGTATTTCATTATATGTGTAATACTTGTTCAGCTCCATCCTTATCCATTTATTTTAGTTCAGAAACATGACACTTTGCATGAATCATACCTTAATGATGTTACATTTTTGTAATTTTAATAATAATTTTTATCTTTAAAAATGAAAGTTTAAAATTAGCTCAGTTGTAGTCATATTAAAAGTGTCATAATACATATAAATGCTTCCTCTAATTTCATCTGGCAAGTCATGGGAGAAATTTCTTTGCAGAATTGCTATGCTGTGACAATCGTTTTTATTTTCCATTATTAGTAAGAATTATGAAACAAAAATTTGCCTATATTGACTCAGAATTAAAAATCCATTTTTCTTTTTTTTTCTTTTCTGAGACAGGGTCTTGCCCTGTCATCCAGGCTGGAGTGCAGTGGCTTGATCACAGCTCACTGTAGCCTTGACCTCCCAGGCTTAAGCAATTCTTCTATGTCAGCCTCCCGAGTAGCTGGGACTACAGGCAACACATCGCCATACTCAGCTAATTTTTAAAAATTTTTCGTAGTGACAGATTCTCACTATATTGCCCAAGCTGGTCTCAAACTCCTGGGTTCACGTGATCCACCCACGTTAGCCTCCCAAAGTGCTGGGAGTATAGATGTGAGCCACTGTGCCCCAGACAAATACCAGTTTTTCAAAAAAGATATTTATTTTTTAAAGGACTATTGGGTAGAATTTTTTTTAAAATGCTGCCTCCGTATCCCCACCCCCATTGATTAATTCACTAGAGAGATTTATTCAGGATTAAGTACCAAAAGATAAGAATCTCTTGGAAGACAACTTTTATTTATTTTTTTATTTTCGAGATGGAGTCTTGTGCTGTCGCCCAGGCTGGAGTGCAGTGGTGCGATCTCGGCTCACTGCAGCCTCTGCCTCCCAGGTTCAAGCAATTCTCCTGCCTCAGCCTCCCGAGTAGCTGGGATTAGAGGCGCCCGCCACCACTCCTGGATAATTTTTGTATTTTTAGTAGAGACAGGGTTTCACCATGTTGGCCAGGCTGGTTTTGAACTCCAGACATCAAGTGATCCACTCGCTCGGCCTCCCAAAGTGCTGAGATTACAGGCGTGAGCCACCACGGCCAGCCTAGGGAAGATAACTTTTAAAGAATCAGGAACAAAGTCAGAAGCAGCAGCAGGTACATGGGAAACACACATTTTTTAATTTATACTTCCTCATGGTTCTCTTGGATATCCTCTGGAACTGTTTAGAAGACTGAAGAATTTCATCCCCCAGAAACTCACACTGTTGAAGCTCAGCATGTCTTTGGGCCAGTAGCTTCATGGATTTATCAGTCACTGTTTCTATGAGGTCATCCACCTATGACAGATAAATACAAAGAAATGAAGCCATGTGTTGGAAAGCCTTGTCAAAATCAAAGGGATAGTTGCTTTTCCTGAGAGAAGAGTTCTGGAACTGGCGGACATTTTGCAAGTCTTAAAATATTATTCTAATTCAAGTCATAGCAAATGGAGCTTGAAAGCATACATTTACCACCCAGTGATAAAGACAATCTCAGTTCTTCTGAAAAGAAACCTATGTATATGCCTTCATTTTAACTGAATTCATTTAACATTTATCAGGTACACAGCATCATCCTAGGTGTCCTTGGCAATCCTTTAGCCACTTTCAGAATGCCCCCCTGCTAACATTATTTCTTAATGCTAATCATTAATTTCATCCCACACCCATGCTGTCTAGCAGGGCTGTGCGTTTACTTAAGCCTGGCTCTCTGATGCTTCTGAGACTCAAAAGTTAAAAGCCTTTGTCCACTACCTGCATTTGAAGCTTTCCTACTGTCAAATCTGATTTTCGAAGGATGTTTTCCATGCCACGCTTCTTTTTTTTAAGTGCTGGAAAGTGTGGTCTCTTTTTTGGTGAATATGGCCCCTATGGTAAAAATGCAAAACACATCAGATTAGGAACTACCAACATTATTTATGTGATGGTGCTTAAACAAGAGTTCTCACCCTTAGGACATTATCTTATAAACTGAACATTTGCCACATAACAATATTGGATTGCAGACTGTATTCATATTATTCTCCACACCCCAAGTATCTTCTTTGTGCCCAGAGCTCTCTTTGAAGAGATCTATAGGGTACAGAGAAATGAGATTGTCTGGCTCTGAAAGAATATACAGCATCAGGAAAAAAGCAGGTCATTCGTAAGGGGAAGAAGAAGAAATTGCCTCTGCAGCTGCTGAGCACAGTAAGAGTGTGGGGCCGTTGTGGACCAGTGCCCCAGAAAGCTCATTATCGTGGATCTAGTTGTTAATTTGGTCTCGTTTCTGCAGGTTTCCTTATTTTCACGGCAGTCACGTCTTCAAACATAAAAAGAAAGCTCTGGGTTCTTTTCACCCCATGCCTGATACTTTTCCCATTGTCCCTGGCTTACTGGTTACAAGTACCTGTCCTAACAGTGTTGCAATTGGAAATCATTCCCAGGTCATGGCTCCCAGCTAATATGCCCTTTTTAGTCTTACTGAGTTTACTCTTCCTTCCCCTTGTGCTTAATAATTAGCATTAGGACTATTGTGAGACCTACACAAAGTAGGATATGGGACCACATCTGGGTCCTACCTTTTGCCTTTACAAATGGAGTCTGCTGAACCACTGCTACCCTGCCAGCTTGCCCAGCTCAAATGTCACTTGCAGAATCTTCCCTGATCTATCTAAAGTAAGACCCCTCTTTTTTCTCTTTCATAAAACCCAGTACTTTTTCCTGTTAAGCAACTAGCATACTAGCATACTTGGCAGTCACTACATTATGTCTGTGTTTATTGAATACAACTATGGTAAAATCTAGTGCCTAGGCAAGTTTTGTAAAGCAGGACTAGTTGGGGCTGGTATGGACTGAAGAGACCACACCTTCTGCAGTACCCTGGCGCAGCTCCTGTTTGTTGCCATGAGGAATTGGCCTAGTATTTTCAAATCTTTTTATTTTTCAAGAGAAAGTAGAAAACCCAGAATTGTATTAGAAATATCCTAATTTCTAAACGTAGACAATTAATTCAAATACATATATATATTTTAAGATGAGGTCTCACTCTGTTGTCCAGGCTGGAGAGCAGTGGCATGATCATGGCTCACTAAAGCCTTGACCTCTGTGGGCTCCGGTGATCCTCCCACCTCAGCCTTCTGAGGATTTGGGACTAAAAGTGTGTACCACCATGCCCAGCTAATTTTTACATTTTTTTTTTGTAGAGATGGGGTTTTGCCATGTTGCCCAGGCTGGTATCAACCTCCTGAGCTCAAGAGATCCTCCCTTACCAGCCTCCCAAAGTGCCAGGATTACAGACATGAGCCACCACACCCAGCCAATTCAAATATATTTTTGAGAACATTCTGAGGGCTAAACAAAACATTTTTATAGCTAGTTGACAACCTCTGATCTAACACCATTTGATGGACAGAAATTCTTAATCATAGCCAAATTGCTCCATCTTTATCTTTATGATTATTGTTATGTGTGTCCTAAGAAGTGTTTCTCTATCCTGAAGTCATGAAGATATTCTTATTGTCCTCCAGGAGTTTTAAGATTTTTGCCTTTTCCACTTAAATCTATAACTGAACAGAAATTAATCTTTGTATATGGTGTGAGATAGGGGTCAATTTTCATTTTTTTTCTGTATGAATGCCCAATTGTTCTAGCAACATTTGTTCAAAAGATTATCCTTACCCCACTGCTGTATGGTGCTATGGTTTAATGTCTATCTCCTCTATTTGACTGTAAGTTCCACAGAAGCAAGACCATGTCCATTAGATCACCCTATACCCCCCAAACCTACAGACTGCCTAAAACATAATAGGGGCAAAATGAATACGAACCTAGCACACAAAAGGCAAAACTTCAAAACTAGTATCAGTGCACTCTGACAGTGGTGTTCAAGAGCAGCACTGTTCAGTGGAACTTTCTGTGAAGATGGAAATGTTCTCTATCTGTGCTGTATAGGACAGCCACTAACTAGGTGCGATTGTTGGCCATTTGAAACGTAGCTAGTGCAACTGGGGAACTGCACTTCTAATTTTATTTAATTTTAATTAACATAGGTGGTGACATGTAGCTATTGACTAGCATATTGGACAGTACAGTTAGTCTGTAGCATGGCAATTACTACTAAGGACTCTAGAGCCAGGTGTTCCTGGGTTTGAAACTTGGCTCTGTCACTTACGTGGGCAAATTACTTAAACTCTCAGTACCATCCCTAAAATAAGAATAATATTGCTACCTACGTTATAGGGCTATTGTAAGGATTATCTGAGTTGATATTTTTAAAGCACTTAGAGTTTGGAACATAGCTTTAAGGTAAGTCTTGTATCTAAAATAATAATAATAATAGTTCATGGTTCTATTTTTGAAAAATAGTCTGGGCAATTTAGGATCAAACATACATACATGGCCAGTAACGGTGGCTTACATCTGTAATTCCAGCACTTTGGGAGACCAAGGCAGGTGGATTACTTGAGGCCAGGAGTTCGAGACCAGCCTGACCAACATGGCGAAACGCTGTCTCTACTAAAAATACAAAAATTAACCAAGCATGGTTGTGCACGCCTGTAGTCCCAGCTAGATGGGAGGCTGAGGTAAGAGAATCACTTAAACCCAGGAGACGGAGGTTGCAGTGAGCTGAAATTGTGCCACTGCACTCCAGCCTGGGCGACAGAGTGAGACTCTGTCTCAAAACAAACAAACACACAAACAAAACCCATGCATACCTATGGATAAGTAAAAGCATTGGTTTGGAGAGTCCTAGATAATCTACGCTGCACTGTCTGTGTTGTACATATGGCTATTTACATTTTAGTTTCAATGAAAATTAAGATTAAAAATTCAGTTCCTCAGTTGCACTGACCAGATTTCAAAGTCTCAAAGCCAAATGTGGCTAACGGCTACTATATTGGACAATGCATACTTACATCTTCACAGAAAGTTCCACTGGACAGTGCTGGTCTAATGAGTTCCACTCCACATAGTATGCACAGATAGGCCAGAATGCTAATATACTAACATTTGAAGAGTGAGAAAGTCAGTTATAAAAATCCAAACTCCATCCACTGTTGCCCAGATGTAGTAGAAGCTGAACAGTTTGAGCTTAGAAGTAGAAGAATCTGACCCAGAGAGTACCCTAAATTCTTGGAGAGGAGACAGAAGCAGCAGATTTAAAGGGCTTATTGTGGAGGACTCATGGTAGGACAGAACTTGGTTTTTGCAAAATCTCTAGACATTGAGTTATGTGTAAGTCTTCAGAGGCAAATTCATTTAGCGTTTTACCTTTTGCAGTCCTGAAGGAAGAGATGTCACAGATAACCGCTTGGTGGTTCTCCTGGCCCGAAGGAGTGTGTTTCCCTGGGTTATCTCCTCTGTCTCTGCCTCTACAACATCAAGTTGTATAGTCGCTTCAAGAAAGGGGGAAAAAGGAATCTGTAAGGATCACAATGAGGAACACATTCTTCCTGTTAAAAATACAGTATTCTTAGAAGACAGCATCACTTGCTGCTTCAGTGGCTTTTTTTTTCTTTAGAGTTAAGAATAAAAAATTGATTTGCTCTTCCCAATCTTACACTTTCTCCTGCACGCATTTGCCTTTTGTTATGGTCATGACCTCAGTGGACACCAACCCAGTCTTTGACAAGGTAGCCACCTCTCTCTCTCTTCGAGATTTAAGTTTTTCCCCTGAACCATTGTGGAATTAGAAAAGTAACCCTCTAACATGCAAGGCCCTCCCTTGGGTATTCATTGTGGATTAAAGCAAATTTTCTATCTATTTTCGAGAAATGTGGCTCAAGGCTCAGTCATTTACATACCATTGATTTGTCTTTCCTATATCCAGGAGCCAGGTGAACTTTGGATTCCTTAACATTTTAAAACATATCAATTCAGTGCTTAACTCCATAAATGTATTTATAAAGGAAACTTTAAAACACTACCATAAATTTAAGACTAGTATGGTAAACAGGCATTAAAATTACTATGCTAAAAACAAAACTATGTTATTTTTTGCAGAAGGCACTAAACCTGAGGTTACTCTCTTTTTCTTTTTTTTTTTCTGAGATGGAGTCTCGCTCTGTCGCACAGGCTGGAGTGCAGTGGCATGATCTAGGCTCACTGCAAGCTCCACCTCCCGGGTTCAGGCCATTCTCCTGCCTCAGCCTCCCGAGCAGCTGGGACTACAGGTACTCTCTTTTTCTTAAAAAAGGGGGTCACTAAATGAGACATTTTCCTTGATGTATTCAAAAGGATGACAGCATTGGGGAAAGGGTGTTTGCAATTTGCTGTGTGTTACACTGTTCTTCATGCAGTGTGCACACCTAAAATCATCTTGTTGCTTAAAGTCCATTGATAAGGACTTCTCTGGGAGCCTCAGACCTCAATGAATACATTAGCCTACTTGACACTTCCACTTGGCTATTTGGCAGGGACCTTATGTCAGCAAGTCTAGCCAGAACTCATGACTTATTTTTCAATCCAGGTCCATTGCTCCTTATATTAGTGAATGATGCCTCCACCTTCAAAGCCAGTGCTCAATCCAGAAATTTTTCCCTCTCCCCAACCCTTCACTGTCCAACTCTTCCCCAACTCTTGTAACTTCTACCTATGCTTATTTCTCCCTTTATCTCCCCATTCCCACTGCCCTGACTAATCCAAGCTAATGTCATTCCTTGCCTGAAAGAATGTATGGGTGCTTATTGTTCTTCCTGCATTTGCGCTTACCCTCATCCAATCCAGTCTACACTAAAAGATAACCAAAGCTATCTTTTAAGAATGCAAATCAGATTATATAAATCCCCAGCTTGAAAGTATCCAGTGGTTTCTTATCACCCTTAGAAGAAAGTTAAAAATTCTCAATGTGTCCTATGACAGACACCCTTACTACCTAATTCAACCAGCCTCCCCTTAGCTCTCTGTGTTCCAACCTCCACTGGATTTCTTTCATTTCCTAATTGTGCCTGGTGATCTCTTGATATTGTGACTTGAACATGCTCTCCCTTATTCCTGGGAAACTGTTCTCCCCCCTCCACCTTGTGTAAGCCATCTTTATGTCTTAGACATCCTTCAGATCTCAATTTAGTTGTCCCTTCCTTGGGGAAGCCTTTCCTGAGACCCCTCCCCTAAAGTTAGAGCACCTATGATTTCTTTCAATAGCATCCTGTGCTCCTTTGGAACAAATGTAATTTTCTGCATGTTTGAAAGCCTCTCCATGAGGGAGGGACTATGTCTGTTCTATGTGCTACTCTATCCCAAATATTGTGGCTGTCATATAATAAGTACTTAGCAGATATTTGTTAAATAGATAAAAACATGTTTTGAAGGTCAGCAGGGAAGAGCAACTGATTTGGGGCCACAACAAAGGGTATTAATGTTTGAGCTACATCCTAAAGGATGAGCATGTTTTCTGGAGAAATCTTAGTTGATATTTGTTATTCCAACTAAGATAAAAATAAACCAGTGCACAGATTAGGAGTAGAAATTTGATCCTCTGTTTTCTGCTGGATTCTTCAATTCCAGCCCCAGCAATATAGAATCATGTCCTCTTTGCTATTTTCAACAGAAATATACAGCTCAATCCATACCAGGTAATTGCTAGATGCTTGGATGCTTGTATTAATGACTGCTTTTTCCAGAACACAGAGTTTGTTTGAAAGTAGTCGGCTGGAAACCATCAGGGTTTTTTTTTGTTTTTTTTTTCCTGGAAAAAGCACACATCAGTTTTGTTGCCTGATCATGGTGTGTAAAATGTGAGGTTGTATGTATATTTACATATACTAGAAGGGCTGTGTGTTTCCTGATTCTGTGCTGTGAAGGACATTAAAAAGCTACAGAGGATATATAGAGCAGTGAAATTATGGTGGATGTATGGTGGATGTATGTTATGACAGAGTATGACATAAAAGTAGGTATTTGTCAAATCCCACAGAACTGCACAATATAAAGGGGGAACCCTAATGTAAACTATAACTTCAGTTAATAATAGTAATATATCAATATTGGTTCATCGATTGTAAATGTACCACTCTAAAGCAAGATGTTAATAACAGGAGCTGTGGGGATCAGGGAAGGGAGGGCATATATGGGAACTCTACATTTTCTGTTCAATTTTTCTGTAAATATAAAAGTGCTATAAAAATAGACTTTTTCTTTTTCTTTTTTTTTTTTTTTTTTGAGACAGGGTCTCTTTCTGTCGCCCAGGCTGGAGTGCAGTGGCATAATCTTGGCTCACTGCAATCTCCGACTCCCAGATTCAAGCGATTCGCCCACTTCAGCTTCCCTAGTAGGGACTACGGGCACATGCCACCATGCCTGACTAATCTTTTTTGTATTTTTTGTAGAGATGGTTTCACCATATTGCCCAGGCTTGTCTCAAACTCCTGGGCTCAAGTGATCCAACCGCTTTGGCCTTCCAAAGAGCTGGGATTACATACGTGAGCCACTGCTCCCGGCCTAGACTCCATTTATTTTTTTAAAAGCCACAGATGAGAATGCAAACATTGGTAGTATTGTTAGTCATGACTCATAGGATGCCACATGGCATTAATACTAGTTGCAAAAACGACTTAAAGTTAACAGTTCAAATATTAATTCTTTCACACAGTACATAGAAAGTAAATGCAATAAAAGTGAGCATTCTTTATGACTTACCAGTTATACATTTTATTCATTTAAGTCTCACTACCCCCTCCACTGTTAGAAGTAGCCATGTGAAAGTCTGCATCACTACTTTTTCCAGAAACAAAACCAAAAATCCCCCTTGAGTTTGATTTTCCAATAAATATATATATGTATATATGAATATATACACACATATATATTTAAATAAAAAGTGACTTTAAACTGATTAGAACACTGTTTAATTGAACTGGAAGGAACCTCCAAGGCAATCCAATTCAGTGCTTCTCAAAAGGTATGAGCAAGGCTCACACCTGTAATCCCAGCACTTTGGGAGGCCGAGGCGAACGGATCACCTGAAGTCAGGAGTTCAAGACCAGCCTGGCCAATATGGTAAAACCCCATCTCTAGTAAAAATACAAAATTTAGCTGGGTGTGGTGGCACGCTCCTGTAGTTCGAGCTACTCAGGTGGCTGAGGGAGGAAAATTGCTTGAACCCGGAAGGCAGAGGTTGCAGTGAGCCGAGATCATGCCTCTGCACTACAGCCTGGGTGATAGAGCGAGATTCCATCTAAACACACACACACACACACACACACACACACACACACACACACACACACACAACGGTATGAACATACAAGCCAACTGAGGATCTTGCTAAAGTGTGGCTTCTCACTCAGAAGGTCCCAGGTAGGGCCTGAGATTCTGCATTTCAGACAAGCTCCTCAGGGATGCCATACTGGTGTAGCAAGATAATCCATCCTAATTTCACTCTTCCTCTTGGCCTCAACCCAAAGACAAATTGCCCAAATATGATTACCATTCTCTGAGAGCTTTCTCATTTTTGCTGTAAATAACTTGGGAGATGAAAACTCCTTGACAATCCTAGGGAGAAGGCTCTGCGTGTTTGACAGGAGGGCTTCTTTATGGTCAGTGGAGCCCTCTTGGCTGGCACATGCTGGCTTGCTTCTATACTTGTAGGACAGCATCCTCCCAAAAGCAGTCTTCACTTTCGTCTTCAAATTACTTTTCTGATTTTGCTGGCTTTCATGAAATCCCATGTCACTATCACTGGATGATTCCTCTTTAGGGACCAATACATTTTGTTTTAGTAAGTTGGTAGACACAGCTCTATGCCATCTAAACAAAATAAAAATGGTTCATATTAGGGAAACTGAAAAGTTAAAAGTGAAAAATTTAAATCATTAAAACACAAACTTCAAATGTGAACCAATTATACAATTCAGAAAAAAAAAATGAAATTGAAGACCAAGAATCAAATCACAGAAAAATAAAGCCAAAGCAACTACTTGGTGTTTTGTTACCAAATTATAGTAATCTGGCTGCTATTTAATTTAAACACAGTACTGTTAGAGGTAGGTTATATTATTGTCTTCATTTTACTTATGAGTAAACTGAGACATGGTTTAAATTAATTGACCAAGGGCTGAATGCAGACTTTAATCCAGGTCTGACTGTTGGAATCCATTAACTTATATTGGCAAATTGGCAATCTTATTTCAATGATAGTTTGACATAGTTTTTGCTAGATTTGGCAGTTTCAAAGTGAAAGTAATAAAAGATGAGAGAGTCTGCTAGGGTAGTCAATAAGGAGTAACCTCCAAGGCCCCATAAATACTGCATTTACATAAAACACTCATTTAGATAACATACTGTAAACTCATATATAGTGACTACGTGTACCATCTTCATAATTTTGGCATATTTTATTATACACAATAGACTAAACAATAGACAACATTTCCTGATAGCTTTCTGTGTGCTAAACACTCTTCCAAGTGCTTTCATGTGTATAACATAATTTAATCTTTATATTCTCATCTCTACTTCACACATGAAGAAATTAAAGCTTGGAGAGATTAAATAATTTATGTCCAGATTATCTGATCCTGAGGTCTGTGTTGTTCACCACTGTGCTAGAGTATCACCTGTACGGTGATACAATTATTACCTAATATTCTTCCTCAATTAACTATTTTTTGTTAGCTTCACCCAAAGTAATAATATCCATGAAATTTCGGTGTTTTTTAAATTAAAATTTTAATGTTGAGATCATTATAGTTTCACATGCAATTGTAAGAAATACAGGGAGGGGGCCAGGCGCGGTGGCTTACGCCTGTAATCCCAGCACTTTGGGAGGCCGAAGCAGGCGGATCACGAGGTCAGGAGATCGAGACCATCCTGGCTAACACGGTGAAACCCTGTCTCTACTAAAAACACAAAACATTAGTTAGGCGTGGTGGCGGGCGCCTGTAGTCCCAGCTACTTGGGAGGCTGAGGCAGGAGAATGTTGTGAACCCGGGAGGCAGAGCTTGCAGTGAGCCGAGATCGCGCCACTGCAATCCAGCCTGGGCGACAGAGCGAGACTCTGTCTCAAAAAAACAAAAAAAAAAGAAAGAAATACAGGGAGATTCTGTGTGCTCTTTACCTAGTTTCCCCAAATGATGACATCTTGCAAAACTATATTTTCACAACCAGCATATTGACACTGAAACAGTCAGAATACAGAACATTTCCAGTAACACCAGGATCCCTCATGTTTTATAGCCACATCCACTATCCACTGGTCCCCCCTTTCTTAAACCGGCATCTACGAATCTGTCTTCTGTTTGCGTAATTCTCGTCCTTTCAAGAATGTTATGTAAATGGAAATATACATCATGTAATTTTTTGAGATATGCTTTTTTTCACTCAGCATAATTCTTTGGGCATTCATCCAGATTTTGTGTATTAATTGTTCATATCTTTTTATTGCTGAGTAATAGTCCATGATGTGAATGTACCACACTTTGTTTAACTATTCACTGATTGAAGGATACTTGGGTTGTTTCCAGTTTGGGGCTATTATGAATAAAGCTGCTATAAACATTTATCTATAGGTTTTGTATGAACATAAGTTTTCATTTCTCTGGGTGAAATCCCAGGTTTTATATTATGCTATTACGTTGTATTAAATATATAACATATATTTCTAATATGGATTAAAACAAATTTATAACCATTAACAATGTTCTTCATATATTACCTAAAATATCTCATGTACCATCAGTAGCATATGTACTACTCTCCAGGAAAACACTGTTCTAAACAGAACCCAAATCATTCAGCCTTTTTCTGTAATTATATATGGGAAGTGGTTCAGTGACAGCCTAGACACTGGAGTTGAATGGTATTGGTTTAACTCAGGACAATTCCTAACTCTGTGACCTTGGGCATGTCATGTAACCTCTATAAGCTTTGGTCTTCTCATTTGAAAATGGGCATAATCTTTTCAGAATTATGAAAATAAAAGGAAATAATTCATGTGTTTGGAACCTTAAAAAGCATTCCATAAATGATACTTTTTATTACCATGTGGATCAGAACAGTGGGGAAAAGCCATTAACTTATGGGGAAAATCCATTAACTTAAAAGGCAAGCAGGGAGCCCACACTAGAGGGCAAAATAAGGGAGAAGCTAGCAGCCTCCCTTCTGGGACCAAGGGCAGGGTTCTGCAAAATGTACATATATGACTTCTAGGGGGTGCTATTCAATTTCATCCTTAGACTTGTGTATAGTTATTATAATGATTTTCTGGCAGATGGCAGTAAAATGTCCTGAGGAGGGAGCACCATTTCCTAATTCACCCAGAGATAACTTATGGGTAGGATTAATCTCCCGTAGACCCCTCTGAGACTCCTTTAATAATAATTTAATTTTTAAGTGATTCTACTACTATAAACATGTACACACATACACATACTGTGACACAGAACAATGCAAATACAGTTTCAGGAGATTCAGGAATTTTGAAGACCACCCATGTTAAAAGCCCAGTTCTAAGTGGTCTCAGAATCTCTAGAAGGTGTTTCCCATTCCCATCCTCCCCACTCTCATCCCCAATCTATCTAGAACATAATTAACAAAGGTGATTTAGCTCCAGAGCCTAGGAACACACTGCTGCAATTTCTGATATGAGCAGAACCCTCCCCTTCTTAAGTTTTTAAATATTTTTGTGTTGGTACTGAATTTATTTGGTTGTATTGCTTCCCCCGGAGTGCCTACTTTTCATTGAAAGTGGAAATCTCTGCAGTATTTTATTTTGTCCATGGAAGTTCACAAGCTTGGTCTTTGATGCTTCCAGGACTCATTAAAACACCTCACTTCTACATGTCTGAACTATAGCCCATGGACCTGGTAAGAGAGAAGCCCAAAGAAATTGGAAAATAAATCACCACACTGACTTTCCAAATTAAAATATATTATATTTTGGATGTTTCATACCTGTCTATATGGTTTTGTCATTGGCAAAAAAATAGCAAGTCTAAGGCAGTTTTAACGTTACATTAAACAATGTGTCCATAGTGAAATGTGATTAGTACATATTTCAGCAGCCCAAATTGCTGGGATAGGAGAAAGAAAGCACTGATCGTGGACCTATTTCGAAGAATGCACTAATGACTTTTCAAAATAATAGTATTTTCACGGGATGTGAGATGTCCAAAATTCTGATGCTGAAATATCAACATAGGATCAGAACTTATTTTAGTCTCCTATGCCACATTGAAACTTAATTTCGAGTGGAAAGGAAAGGTTTTCCCTGTTACAATTAAGATGTTTCTGATCATAAAATGAAGCTTACATTGTCACACTAGATTTCTTGATCCAACGCAGTACCCTCCCCGCCAATCCATCCAGAGTCCTCATTCCTAAATGCAATGCTTAAAAGGACATGCCACTATGCCAAACCCAAAGACTCTCATTTGACAGAAAAGGAAATGAATCTCTGTTACCTTTCTATCCCCTTCCTTTTGAATGAGCCATTTTTCTTCTTGAGTTGCTGGAATCTTCGGCACTGTCCAACTTTTCTGTAGGCAATCTTAAAGGGTTCTGGTAGATACAGCTGAGGTTGGGCCATTGCTCTCAACTTCACCTGTAGTAGCCGTTTTGGATTGTTTTAGTTCTTGAACTTACAGACTTCAATACAAAATCATCCAGTGACTGAATGTACTGTCAAGGTGTGGGCTATTCGGAATAAAATATGTAGGAAATTTTTAGAGTCTTTCCCTTATTCCCTTCCAGGTGTTAGAGACATTATTTGTGGGACTGGCCCTGTTTACAACTTCACAGAGGTCACCAGTGATGTATTTGACAGAGCTGTGTGAAATTCCATGGACCTTTGTGGAACACTTCACAGATTCTTGAACAAGGCAAATACAGAAATGATGATCTGATTGCCTCAATGCTGGCATTTGGATAGAAAAAAAAAATCAAACAACAACAACAACAACAAAAAACACCCACACACTAATTGACCACCACATTCAGAAGTGCGTATTTGAACTCTGAAGTGGTAGGGACCTATAGGAATACCAACGATACGCTGATTAACACAAGTTGAGCTTCTGTTAGATCTCTCAGTTACAGCTGGTGAATGTTCTCTGTGTCCTGTGGGACACATATGACAAGGCCAGTTGTTGTTTGGACATCTCAAAATGTACCCCAAGGGTGGTTTTCATTACATCTTGGAATTTTGCAGTGGTCTCTCAAAGTACATTGCTAAATTGAGGACCTGATCCACCCCTCCCTTCCAACATTGCCCCATTTATTTCGTGGTGAAGAGCGAATTCTGCCTGTGATGGAACTTCTCACCACAAGGTGGCAGCAGACACTAGGATTTATTCCTGTTACCCTCTCGCGGTTTGAGTTGTTCAGTCAAATAACTAGATGCTTAACAAGAAAAACTCCTCTAGAAAGGTTCTGGGAGTTACAAGAATTACTCTGCTTTCTGTGTTTGCATTAATCAATAATCTGGAGCATACTTCTCAAGCTTTCAAGTGCACACAAACTTCCTGGAGGTCTTTTTAAGATGCAGATTTCGATACAGTACATCTGGGCTGGGATCCAAGAATTTGCACTCCTAACAAACCCGCAGGTGACGCTGATGATGCCAGACTGCACTTGGAGTAGTGAGGGTCTTGTATGTTTCAGTACTGGGGAAAAGAGCTTTAAAATGGTCTAGAATGAAGTGTATAATGTTAAGGGGCTAAGAGAGTGGATTTGGGAATTATGCATGAGTTCTCATTTCTAGCTTAGCTATGTGACCTTGGCCAATTCATTTTAACCCACCCATGCTTGTTTTCTCATCCCTAAAGTGGGACAACTCATAGTGCCCAAGCCATAGTTTTATGGCAAAATTCAAGTGAAATAGAAATTCCGCTTCAGCAGGGAATGAGACCCAGGAATCCATATTCTAGGAGAGTGGGTGCAGATGTTCCTCTGTCCCTTATTTGAGAAACGCTGAAGTAGAGCATATCTAATATGCCTTGGCCAAATGGACATATGCTCCTCCCTGGTCTGTTTTTCCTCATCTGTTGGCATCCTCAGAGCACAATAAATAATAGGTGCTTGAATAAATGAATACATGAATATTTTCTTTAGCAACAGGGCAATATTTTTCATGCAATTATTGGCACTCCTGCCTTAATTCTGTTGTATTTCATCAATTATCTAGATGAATGAGATGAATTTTATGCTAGGAAAGACAGCTGTTTTTTATTTGTGCATGGGTGTCTATGTACATGTCTCTGTGTGTGCATGTCTGCATGTATGTGTGTATGTAATAGGCTGAAACACTTGCTGCTGTGGCATCTGTGACAAAACTTGTAGGTTCCCAAAGGAGTCCTGAAGCAGATGACAGAACTAGAAGGAGTGGGAAGGGGGTGGGGAAAGAGTTAGAGTATAGAGAGACATCAATTTTGAGCTGTGTCTGGATTTACATTCTAGATCTACCCCTTCCAAGCTTATGGGTCCTTGGGCGGGTAACGAAAACCTCTTTGGACCTTCATTTTCTCGTTCGTAAAACAGGAGTAATAACTGCTACCTCCCAAGCTTCTTTGAGTCATTCAGTTATTTAACAAATATTTGAATGCCTAGTGGTTCCCAGGCACCACCCTAGACACCACCCTAGACACCAGGGATACTGCAGTGAACAACATACACAAAATCTCTGAACTCATATAACTTAATATGCTGTGGGAGATGCAGGTAACAAGGAAATGAACATTTTAATTTCAGCTGGTAGTAAATGTTATGAAAAAAGTAAAAGAGGATGATGGGATAGAGTGACTGAGGATGAGGAGTGACTTTAGATGGAGCGTTAGGAAAGCCTGTCCAATGAGGTCATTGGTCCTGAATGCTGAACGGGGAAAAGAGCCAATCGTGTGAAAATTTGTGTGACCCAGGCAGATGAAACAGCATGTGCCAAAGCCCGGAGGTGGAAGAAGCCCAGTGTCTTTGAAAATGTGGAAGAAAGCGGTCAGGTGCGATGGCTCACGCCTGTAATCCCAGCACTTTGGGAGGCCGAGGTGGGTGGATCACGAGAGCAGGAGATCGAGAACATCCTGCCTAACGTGGTGAAACCCCCATCTCTACTAAAAATACAAAAAAATTAGCCGGGCGTGGTAACGGGTGCCTGTAGTCCCAGCTACTCAGGAGGTTGAGGCAGGAGAATGGCGTGAACACGGGAGGCAGAGCTTGCAGTGAGCCGAGATCGCGCCACTGCACTCCAGCCTGGGCGACAGAGCAAGATTCTGTCTCACAAAAAAAAAAAAAAAAAAAGAAAAGAAAAGAAAATGTGGAAGAAAGCTAGGGTGGCTGGAGCAAAGAGGTAGATGTGTGTGATAAGCTGGAGGGAGGACCAAATCTCTTGAGTCCTATAGATCAAATTAAAGGTTTTGGTCTTGATCTTCAGAGCAATGGGGAGTTGTTGAGGTTTTTTTGGTTTGTTTGTTGTTGTTGTTGTTGTTTAAACAGCATCTTACTCTGTCACCCAGGCTGGAGTGCAGTGGCACCACGCTCACTGCAACCTCTACCTTCTGGGTTCAAGCGATTCTTGTGCCTCCTGAGTAGCTGGGGTTACAGGCACGTGCCACCACGCCCAGCTAATTTTTTGTATTTTTAGTAGAGACGAGGTTTCACCGTGTTGCTCAGGCTGGTCTGGAACTCCTGAGCTCAGGTGATCCACCTGCCTCAGCCTCCCAAAGTGCTGGGATTACAGCCTTACTGAGGGTTTTTAGGGAACTTGTTCATATATTTATTCAGGGAAATGGAATTCAGTTGTGAAGAAAATGACTAAAATCCTTGCCCAGGAATTACAATTCTAGTGGAGGACACAGACACCAATATGTTAACCAATAGAAAATTGTTTCAGGTACTGACAAAGTATGCTATGAGACAAATAGAAAAAAAAAAACAAAATCAACAAAGAAAAAAGAATTAAAAATAAATAAATAAAAAGAAAAACAGGCCAGGCATGGTGGCTCATGCCTGTAATCCCGGCACTTTGAGAGGCCGAGGCAGGCAGATCACGAGGTCAAGAGATCGAGACCATCCTGGCCAACACGGTGAAACCCCGTCTCTACTAAAAATAGAAAAATTAGCTGGGCATGGTGGCACACGCCTGTATCCCAGCTACTCAGGAGGACGAGGGAGGAGAACCTCCCGGCTTCACGCCTCCTCGCTTGAACCCAGGAGGCAGAGGATGCAGTGAGCTGAGATCAGGCCACTGCACTCCAGCCTGGCGACAGAGCAAGACTCTGTCAAAAAAAAAAAAAAAAGAAAGAAAAGAAAAGAAAAAAACAAACAAATAAAAAGTAGAAAAACGTGGTAGAAAGTGACTGGGAGTGGGCACTCCTCCAAAATCATCAAGAAAGATCTCTTAAGGAGGTGGTGTTTGAAGTGAGACATTTAATGTTGAAAAAGAGACAAACTATGCTGAGATCTGGGAGAGGTATTTCAAAGACAGAAAACGACATGAGCAAAGGTTCACATGCAGGTGCAAACCAGGCATGTCTGAGGGCAGGAAGAAGAGCAATGTGGTGGGAACATAGGTGACATGGGGAAGGCATAGTTATGCATACGTTTTTAAAATGTTGCTGTGTGCAGCTTGGAGAATACATTGGAGAGGAAAAAGTGAGTGTTGAAAAGTCATTAGGTAGGCACTTGGTCCAGGCCGGCAACAGATGGGGGTGAGGAGTACCAGAAGTGTGCAGATCCAGGCAATATTTAAGAAGTTAAATACTGAAATGAATTGGGATATGGGGGAGATACAGTTTGGATATGTGTCCCTGAAATGAACTGGGATATAGGGGATGATACAGTTTGGATATGTGTCCCTGCCCAAATCTCATATTGAAATGTAATTGCCAGTGTTGAAGGTGGGGCCTGGTGGGAAGTGATTGGATCATGGGGCAGTTTCTCACCCATGGTTTTGTGGCATCCCCTGTTACTGTCCTCGTGATAGCAAGTGAGTTCTTGCAAGATCTGGTTGTTTAAAAGTGCGTGGCACTCCCTGCTCTCTCTCTTGCCCCTGCTTTCACGTAGTGATGTGCAAGCTCCCACTTCGCCTTCAGCCAGGATTGTGAGCTTCCAGAGGCCTCCCAAAAAACAGATGCTGGTGCCATGCTTCCTGTACAGCCTGCAGAACCATGAGTCAATTAAACCTTTTTTTTAGTAAATTACCCAGTCTTGGGTATTTCTTTATAGTAATGCAAGAACAGCCTACTATAGGGGGTGAGTAGAGAAGAGATACTCAGTTGGGGTGTTAAGTTGTTGCTGTAGTCCAAGGGTTTAACTAAAGGGGGAACAGTGGAACTAAGGAGAAGGGCACCCATTCAGGAGTCCCCCATCAGTCAACTCTCTTTATCAACCACCCTTCACAGGACATGGCTTGGAGCTATCCCTGTGTGATCATTCCCCGGACATTTGTAAATGTCCCTCTGAAAAGCCAAAAAGCCAGCTGTAGCAGGACAAAATCTGGTCAAAACACAATCTCCCTTGTTCTTAACAGTATTCTTCCTTTGAACATGTCTGAGATTGCATAATCCTATTCAGGTAACCATGACAACAGTTGACTCCTATTGAGATAGCAATTGATTGAAACCTCTAAGTCAGAGATTGCAAACATGAATAACCGCAGGAACCAAGCAGGGAAATGTGAGAAGCAGTGGGTGGGGTGTAAAAGGGAGGGGTGGGAATTGTGGTAAACTGTAGAGTACTGGACCAATCCAATTCTATTGAACTTCAAATCTTTAAGAAGACTCGCACATTTAAAAATGTGATCTGCAGGCCATATTTAGCCTGTGGGTCACCAATTTGCTGCCTCCAGAGATGCTTTCATGTTAACTCTCTGTTCAGCCAGGTATCTCCCATCAGTGCTCCTAAAGGTGATTTTCCCCTAAGCTTTAAGTTAAACATACTCACAAGCATTCAGTTGGCTCCTGGCCCGTTATTAGACTGTTTTTGCATCTTCTTGCTATCTGGTTGCATACTAACCTTGCCTAGCAACTTGTAAGCCCTCTGCAAACTTGGTAAGCTGAGATTCTAGATTTTTATTCTGAGTCTGGGTGAAGTAAATACATAGAGTAGAACAGGACAATGTCACTTTAGTGACCCGGAATCATTGTGAAGCAGAATCCTTTGATACATGAGTTTCCTGAAGAGTCCTCACTAATTCTGGCCACCCCAGTTTTACCAGGATTTGGGAGACCTTTGCATGTGGGGAAATAGCAACTGGGGGCTTTTCCACCTGGCTCAAGCAAATCCTCTTGCTGAAGCTTTTGCCCTTTTGAGAGAAGGAGGTATCACTTTACAGATCACTCAGCAACAACTGTGTCTCGGGAAGTGTATAGAGGGTGCCTGGAGACACAGTGTTTCTCCTGGGAAGACTCCTTACCAAGGGGTGAACTCCCCAGAAGTGAGCAAAGGTGCAGCTGGAGTAAAGTGTCTTCGAAGAGCCAACAGGCTTCCAAGTTAAATCATGCCTTTTTTTCATTTGTTTTTTGTGTTGATTGCTGCCCCAGGTTAGTATTTCTAACTTAAGACTCATATAGCTTTGAAATAATTATTTGGTAGTCTATCAGTTGGCATTTACTCTCTAACTTCTCAGTGTTGGCCTTTAAAATTGCCCAGTGCTCTGGGCTGTACCCCACTGGAAAAACAACATATGAATCAAAATGTCCTCTCAGATGCTGTTGATATCAATGGGAGTAAGCTCTTTGGAGAGCAATTTGGAAATACCTGCCAGCATCTGAAATCTTCAGCCTCAGAGCCAGCATTCCACCTCTGGACAGCTATCCTACACAAGTACACAATGATATAAGGATATATGTAGTTGTATTTGTAATAACAAAAGCTAGAGGCAACCCATATGTCTACCAGTGGAGGATTAAATGAATGGTGCTTCATGCATACTATGGGTATTGGAGCCATTAAAAGAAGAAGGTTGGTGTGGGAGTTCCGACGCGCAGGTAAGGAGGTAATCTGTGGTGTACTGTGGAGTTCTGTGGAGGCAGGATGTGCTAAAGCTATGAACACAAGAAGATCTTTTTAAAAACACCTATCTACATTCACATGCCAACAGGCATAGAAAATCCTGAAATAATGTATAACAAAGATTTAACTGATTGTTTCTGGAGATTACGAGTGAAAGTGGTAGAGCAGCAGAGGTGGGGAGAAATATGTAGGAGATTTAAAATTTTTTACTTTATAGACTTTACTGTTTGACTTAGGAAAAGAATATGAATTACATTTACGCTAAAAAATTAAACCCAAAAGTTTAGAAATGAATCACAAAAATTTTGAATGCATAATAACAACGGTTTAAATTTTTTTTCTCTCATTATGGCATGAATTGATTCATAAAACAACTCAATTGATGAATTCAACCATTTGCTTTAGAATCAACCACTTCTAGAATTGGAAAAGAGCCAAACTGTATTATTCACAACAACAAAAAAAATCAAGTAAAATAAGGATAAATGATAGGTATCTTAAGGACTGAAAGATCTAATGAAATGTAAGAAATATTTTATTTCAACTTAGTTTGTTATATTTTGACTTTTTTATGTGTTTGGGTAAAGATTTTTATCTTGAATCTGGAGACACACAGTGGAGATGCTCAGACATGTTTGGCCTATAGCAAGTTTGTCCAACGTGTGGCCCGTGGACCACAGGTGACCCAGGATGGCTTTGGATGTGGTCCAACACAAATTCATAAACTTTCTTAAAACATTATGAGATTTTTTTGTGATTAAAAAAATGTTTTTAGCTCATCAGCCATCATTTTTGTTAGTGCATTTTATGTGTGGTCCAAGACAATTTTTCTTCTTCCATTGTGGCTCAGGGAAGCCAAAAGATTGGACAACCCTGGCCTACAGGATATTTTGAATATCAGAAGATTTCACATAAAAATTTCCATTTCAGGATCCTCATAAAAAAATAAGAGTCCCTGGCAACTCAGCCCACATTCCCAGATAGGCAGAGGAGTGGCACCCCAGTTGGGTGGGAACAAGTTCTCAGTTTACCGCAGTCGCTACCACTCCCAGTGCTCTACACCAGCTGTCAGGCATTATTTTACAATCTCCATGAACAGAGTTCAACTAGTTTTTTTTTTTAATTTTAAATTAATTTTATTTTTAATATATTTTTTCTATTGGTTCTGTCTTTCTGGAGATCAATTTTTTTTTTAATCTCCTCTTGTCCTTGAGTATGAAGAGGCAGCATCTCAGTTTCCATCATTCTATGCCAGCATTTTCACATAGCATTCTCTATTTTTTCACAATTTGTCTTTGTAATACAGCTATGAGCCTATGATTATTTTTATTCTTTTTATTTTATTCTAGAGAAGGGGTCTTGCTATACCTCCCAAGTTGAACTGAGGCGCAGGTGATCTTCCCACCCCAGCCTCCCAAGTAGTCGGGACTATAGGTGTGAGCCAGTGTGCCTGGCTCTATTTTTTTTTGTTTTTTTTTTTGTTTTGTTTTTGTTTTTTGACACAGAGCCTTGCTCTGTCACCCAGGCTGGAGTGCAGTGATATGATCTCGGCTCACTGCAAGCTCCGCCTCCCGAGTTCACACCATTCTCCTTCCTCAGCCTCCGGAGTAGCTGGGATTACAGGCCTCCGCCCCCATGCTCGGCTAGTTTTTTGTATTTTTAATATAGATGGGGTTTCACTGTGTTAGCCAGGATGGTCTTGATCTCCTGACCTCGTGATCCGCTCGCCTCGGCCTCCCAAAGTGCTGGGATTACAGGTGCGAGGCACCTCGCCTGGCCGTGCCTGGCTCTATTTTTATTATTTTTAGTTATTGACTTAATTTCAGAAAGTGAAGAGTTTTTTATTTAACTATTTTAACAGGAAATGCATAATAAAATGCCAGCCCTGCTTACTTAAATAACAGTTTGGACCGAATATGGTGTCTCACACCTGCAATCTCAGCACTTTGGGAGGCTAAGGCAGGCGGATCACTTGAGGTCAGAAGTTTGAGACCAGCCTGGGCAACATGGCAAAATCTCATCTCTACTGAAAATACAAAATTACTCAGGTGTGGTGGTGTGCACATTTGTAATTCCAGCTACTCGGAAGGCTGAGGCACAAGAATTTCTTGAACCCTGTAGGTGGAGGTTGCAGTGAGCTGAGATCGCACCACTGCACTCCAGCCTGGGTGAGAGAGTGAGACTCTGTCTCAAACAAAACAAAACCAGTTTGGTGGATGGGTTGATATTCTCGGAAAATTATGATCCCCTTTTCTAGAGATTATCGTATGTTAAGGGATTGAGATTGTTTTTCAGAATATACCTTTAGTGGAAAACCAAATTATTCCCAAGTTTCTCAGCTCATGCAAATATATTGAAGAAAAACCTAAAATCAATTCACTCTTTAATGCAATGGCAACAAGACACCATCGAATACAGATATAAGCCGTCATTGACATGGCCCAACCTGTGGAATTGAATAGAGAATCCGAACCAACAAAATGACATGTAGTAGCAAGTTTTCAAGTGCATTCCGTGTCACGAAATAATAAGGTCTTGACCCATAGGTCAATAGGCTTGATATACTTCAGTTAGCAAAAAAGGATCATTTTATGTATTCATTTATTCACCTGATCATTCCACAAATCTCTATTAAGTGCCTACTATGGACAGACACTGTTCTTAGTACTGAGCATACAGCGAGGAACAGATGAAAGTTCCCAATTTCATGACACTTGTATTTTAAGTGGGAGGGGGATAGGGAGGAGGCAAAAAAATGAACAAATAATATGTGAAATTTTAAGAGATAGGAAGTGTCTGCAGGGGTGGGAAATTTTTTTATTTGGCCTGAGAAGACCTCTCTGCTATAGTGACATTATATTAGGTTGGCACAAACGTAATTGCGGTTTTTGCCATGACTTTTTTTTTTTTGAGATGGTGTCTTGCTCTGTCGCCCAGGTTGGATTGCAGTGGTGTGATCTCGGCTCACTGCAACCTCCATATCCTGGGTTCAAATGATTCTCCTGCCTCAGCCTTCCCAGTAACTGGGATTACAGGCACCACCATGCCCCGGCTAATTTTTTGTATTTTTAGTAGAGATGAGATTTCACTATGTTAGCCAGGCTCGTCTTGAACTACTGACCTCAAGTGATCCACCTGACTCAGCCTCCCAAAGTGCTGGTATTACAGGCATGAGCCACTGCACCCGGCCTGCCATTACTTTTAATGGCAAAAACCGCAATTATGTTTACTCCAACCTAATAGCAGAGACCTACAGGAAATGAGTAAATGAGTCATGGAGAGATCCAGGGAAGATGCACCTTGGACGAGGAGAATGATCAGAGCAAAGTCTCTGTGGCACAGACTGCTTGATGTGTGCAAAGAACAGACAGGCCTGTGTGGCTGGAACAGAGGGAGGGAGAGCAAGAGTGGTAGAAGATGAGGCCAGATAGATAACGAAGGGCCTAACATGTGGGATCTGGAGGCAGTTGTGGGAGTTTGGCCTTTTGCTCTGTGTGAGACGAGAAGCTCTTAGAGGATTTTGAGAAAAGGAGTGATGCTACCCAATTTCAGGTTTAGCACATTGGCCATTCACTATGGGCAGCTCACTCACGTAAGATGTGCTTACTGATATTTTCTTACATAATCAAAATAACCTCTGTGTTAATTTTCTTTTCATGCTGCAACAGATTATCCCAAACTTGATGATGCCTTAAAACAGCATAAATTTGTCTTACAGTTCTGTAGTTAAAAGTTCTGACATGGGTCTCACTGGGAAGAACTCAAAGTGTTGGCAAGGCTATGCTACCTTCTGGAGGCTGGAGGGGTGAATCTGTTTCCTTGCCTGTTTCAGGAAAGTCAATGAGCAAAAATAAAAAATATCTAGTTAACAAATTTTATGGTTCAGAAATTTTCAGACTATTGCTTAAACAGAAAGGTTTTATATATCCTAAAGCCCACCTTTGGAAGTAGAAGATAATTTTTTGATTCAGGAAAGAGGATGGTGAAAATATACATGATTGGAGAGAGGCTTGCAGCCACCTTCATGAAATAGATTCATGAGGTTTTGGAGAGGAAAGTCTCCTTTGATGGAGACCAAAAGAAAAAAAAAAGCACATTAATTTTCCAGTACTTCAGTGCCAGAGGACACCACAGGTACCGACGGAATTGGGATTGTGTGCACTGAAATGGTAAGAGTGAAAGGGATGTGGGTGGGGCACTGACAGTGTCTGCCTCACTGTTGTTTCCTGGATACATCACATTTTCTCCTGGGCTGAGTGTACCTGGGCAGGGAGTGAAGGGGTAGGTATGAGGCCCTATTCATCCTTGTGAATTTCTTAAGTTATACCTAATACCTAGGGACCAACCTTACCATTCAATAAAAGCTTGACCAACTAAATTGGAAGAGAAGTTTTAATTCGGGAATGAAGAGGCAATAGGACCTGAATTCAGGGCACTTTAAAAAAATTATTTGCTTTTTCCAAAGATGTTCTGAGAGTCTAGCCTTAGTTACCTTTGCTAAAACCTTCACTGTAAAGAAAAAGCTCAGCTGAAATTAAGGGAAGCAGAGAACAAATAAAAGAGAGAGAAAGAAGAAAACAGAGAAAAATACAAAGTAAGCCAGCACAGTAGGACATATAATGACTTTTTGTTTCCAAATGCATTGTGACTTCGAGCATTGAGTAATTTCCTGACACCACAGGGTTAGACAGAAGTTGTATGAAATAACATCATTTAGGGAACTATTTTTACCCAGCTTTCATACATCCTGTCTAATAAAACATAATGAATTTATGTAAAAAGAAACTCTACATTTTCTATGAGAATGAATGACAAATCATAGTGACCAATAATCTGTATCACTTATCTCTTAAATAACAATGAGGAGCTTCCTAACTGGTCCAGCCAGAGGCTTCTAATTGAGTGACAGTTGTCTTCTAGCCTCAGAGAAGATGAGTTGCTTGTCCAAGTTGTCATTTGTCCAGTGAGACTCAGAATTAGGATCTGAGCCAAAATCTGCTTGATCGGAAAGTTCGTTCATTATGTCGTTCTCCTCCTTCCTCCCCAGAGCTATTGTTCAGTTGCGTGAGAACTTTCTCAAATTTTGACATTCTGAAAACTTTCACTTTTTCTTTTTTTCTTTTCTTTTCTTTCCCTTTATTTATTTATTTATTTATTTCTCTTTCTTTCTTTCTTTCTTTTTTTTTTTTTTTTTTTTTGAGATGAAGTTTCACTCTTGTTGCCCAGGCTGGAATGCAATGGGGCGAGCTGGGCTCACTGCAACCTCTGCCTCCCGGGTTCAAGTGATTCTCCTGTCTCAACCTCTCGAGTAGCTGGGATTATAGGCGCCCACCACCACGCCCGACTAATTTTTGTATTCTCAGTAGAGACAGGGTTTCACCATGCTGGCCAGGCTGTCCTCGAACTCCCAGACCTCAGGTGATCCACTGGTCTCGACCTTGCAAAGTGCTGGGATTACAGGTATGAGCCACTTGCCCAGCCAACTTTTGCTTTTTCTCATTTTTACCCAAGAGAAGTTCATCCTGAATCATGAAAGCATCTCAGTCATTTGAAAACATGAGATTTGGTTCCAGCAAGTCAAATTTTGGGTTCAAATCCCAACTCTGCCACTGATTAGCTGTATAACATAAAACCACTTGGTGTTTCTGTGTCTCAGCATTCTCATGTGGAAAATGGAAGAGAGAATAATCATACCCCTCACCCCAGGGTTGTTGTGAGGATTAAATGAAAAAAATATGAGTGAAAGACTGTCCTACAAATGATCATTAATATTATTTATTATTCATTCAAAAAATATGTATGAGGGCCCGGGTGCAGTGGCTCACGCCTGTAATCCCAACACTTTGGGAGGCCGAGGCAGGTGGATCACGAGGTTAGGAGATTGAGACCATCCTGGCTAACACGGTGAAACCCCGTCTCTACTAAAAATACAAAAAATTAGCCGGGCGTGGTGGTGGGCGCCTGTAGTCCCAGCTACTCGGGTGGCTGAGGCAGGAGAATGACGTGAACCCAGGAGATGGAGCTTGCAGTGAGCCAAGATCATGCCACTGTACTCCAACCTGGGCCACAGAGCGAGACTCCGTCTAAAAAAAAGAAAAAAAAAATGAGGTATTCTTATTCAGTTATCAAATAAACACATTTTTTGCAGTTAGAGTTTATGGTTCCCCGAGGAGTCACCCAAACTAAAGGCAATTATAATACAATGTGTCAAATGTCATGATGGGGTAACATGCAAACACTGAGAAGGAATACTGAAGCAGAGTCAGGCAGGCCAGGAAAGACTTTCTGAAGAAAGTGATGTCTAAGGGCCAACTGAAGAATGGGTAGAATGTTAGGAAGTTAAAAATGCTGTAGAAAAAATATATATAATTGTTTAGAGGTGGACTAGAGAAGTGGAAAGAAGTTCGGGATAATTGCAACGAGCATATGAAAAGGGACGTATGGAAAGATGAGGCCAGAGACACGAGCAGGGATCAGATATGGCAAGGCAGAAGACCTTTCTAAACTTCAGTATTTATCTGAATTAACTGATCATATCTGATTTCCTTAATACTGTTCTCTTACTGAAATGGCCAGTGCCATATTCTTTATGTTTTGTTGCACATTGCAAAACATTATTATATCACATTGCCTTAGTTCAGATTCTCTTGAAAGCCAACACTAAGGGAAGGGTTCCAGTGCAAGTACTGTAATTAACTTGGGAGCTGATCCCAGGAAACACCCAGAGTGGGGTAAGGAAGCCAGACAATGAATGGTAGGCAATGGATAAAGGGTGTGTTAACAAGCGTGTTAGCGCCAGGGGCAACCAGAGCTCGATTTCATTGGGGTACTCAGGAATCCAGTGTGGAAGCACACCTCAGTGTTATTTATCCACACTAAAGGTGAGGAAGCTGAGGTATTTGATCACCATATCCCTCTTGGCCATTGCTTGAGGACAGCTTCCAGGGGACTTCACTCTCTGGCACTCTGGCTTATCCTTTGTGCAGGAGAAGCTGCTCTCCAGGCAGAGTTGTAGAAGTAGTATTCCACTTGTAGAGGTGAGTATGGAGGAAATGGGGGCGGGGCACTGCGCAGCTGCTACACATATTTTTTAAAGTATAAAAAAACAAAACCAAAACAAATGAAAAAAGACCAGCCCTTGCTGGGAGACAGTTCTCCGTGGGTCTCTTGCACTTCTGTGCATCTTGTGAGCAGAGGCACTGGTTGCCTTTGTTCTGGACAATTTTTTTTAAGCATGTTTAAGTAGTAATAGAGATACTATTTCCCTCTGAAGCAGAGGATGGTTTGTTTAGCATCCAGTGTAATAAAGGTATTTTCTCCCTCCAGGTCAAAGGTCAGGCAGGCTTACTGCTCGTTTTATAAGATGTGGGTTTGTAAGTTAAGGGTTTCTCAACTGTGATACAAATGCAGACCCAAAGCATGCAGAGCATCTATTTAGGGCATTTGTTTTTGCCCCCGTGGGGCCTGAGGAACAAAGAGAAAGGATGTGAACATGAAGCTTATGCTGGTTGCTGAGCTATGAGTAATAAAGTCCTTTGTCTCTGACCCAGAAGTCTTGTGTCTTCTGCCAGCCTCTGTGAAACTGCAGTATGGTAACTTGTAGGGTAAGTTCTGAAATCTTTCTCAGCTCCTGATGACCCTACCAAGCCAACTCAACTGATCTTTAAGACATTTAATTTAAAAAATAACTTCTAATTAATAAAAAAAGTAATAAAAAGAAGTATTTATTGCACTTTTCCTTTGTGGTTTTAAAATACAAAATTGGTTAGGAAGCCTTGTAGAAATCCTCATTAAAAAGCCAACTTTTGTGTTTCCTCTAAGATGTTCTAGCTTTTCCAAATTTTGTAATTGAGAATGCCAGCCCTCTTCTGGAAAATGCCTCTGAATATACACAGATTGCCAAAGTCACTGTGTCTGTCTCACCTCATGCTTCTCTGGTTGGAGATCCTGTTATTATTAATGCAAATCCTGCAGTCCATCCATTTGTGCTGTCTCATAGATCCATACATCTTTGGGAAGTAAGTATGTTGGCAAACAGTATTATCACTTGATACCACAAGGTCTTTAAAATGAAATATCATTCTGTTTTTTCTTACCTTCTACTGTATGTTATTAATTTGGTGACCACTCTTTGGAATCCTATTATATGTCAAACACTCTAAAAATCCTTAGGGACATCAAGATCCATTTATTTCACAAGTAATTATTGAGAATCTACTGAGACACAGGGAATTCCTTGCCCTCATGGAATTGACTTGTTCATAGGGAGACATACTGATCAAGTGAATATACCCAAAAGTATTAGGTTAGTGCAAATGTAATTGCAGTTTTTGCCATTACTTTCAATGGCAATTACATTTGCACCAATCTAACATAAAATTGTAAATGCAGTAACAGCCAAGAAAGGCAGACTCACAGGTCTGTGGGAGTCCCTAAAGGGGACATTTTAACTAGTCAGGCTTCCCTGAGGAAGAGCTACATGAAAAGCAATCTGCAGAATGCATAGGAATTGAATAGATAAAGAAGAAGAGAAGAACATTCCAGGCAGAGGGAGCAGCATGTGCGAAGTCCCTGTAGCAAGAAGGAGCATGGTAAAAAGAGAAGACTGAAGGATCAATGTGACAGGAGCCAAAGAGAAAGCACGTGGGAGATTATACTGCAAAGGAGATGGGGAAGGCAGAGCCTGCAGTGTCTGTGAGCCATGTTAGGAAGCTTTGTTTACCTAGATGGCTATATCATACCCAGCTAGATAAAATATAGCTAATTTTTCCCTCTGGATCAAAGTTTAGGCAGGCTGATTGTTCACTATAAGAAAGGGGTCCCCAACCCCCAGGCCACAAACCAGTATCAGCCCATGGCCTGTTAGGAACTGGGCCACACAACAGAAGGTGGGTGGCAAGCAAGCAAGCGAAGCTTCATCTGTATTTACAGCTGTTCCCCATCACTCTCATTATCTCCTGAGCTCCGCCTCCTGTCAGATCAGTGGCGGCATTAGATTCTCATAGGAGCGTGAACCCTATTGTGAACTGCTCATTCAAGGGATCTAGGTTGCGTTCTCCTTATGAGAACCTAATGCCTGATGATCTGTCACTGTCTCCCATCACCCCCAGATGGGGCCATCTAGTTGCAGGAAAACAAGTTTAGGACTCCCGCTGATTCTACATTATGGTGAGTTGTATAATAATTGTATTATATATTACAATGTAATAATAATAGAAATAAAGTGCACAGTAAATATAATGATCTTGAATTATCACGAAACCATTCCCACTCAACCCTGGTCTGTGGAAATTGTCTTCCATGAAACCAGTCCCTGGTGCCAAAAAGGTTGGGGACTGCTGTTATAAGAGATCCAGATTCCCTAAGGTCAGAGTTTCTTAGACCTTGATACAAACCCACTGCATGCACAGCATTCAGCCGGGCTCCTCTACATGGTCCCCATGGCACGTGAGAGCAAGGGGACCAATGTGAACATGAAGCTTATGCTGCTTGCTGTGCCGGAGTAATAAAGTCCTTGAGAGCAGCATGTTGTTTAGCTGATCTAGCCTGGTTTGGCTTCAGTCTGCAGGTTGAGTTCAGGTCTGTCTCTTGTCCTTCCCATTCTCCTTGGGACACTGGCTAGCAGAGGGACATTCTTCTCTGGGCAAAAGGAGGAGAGCAAGAGGATTTCTCAACCCCACATGTACATTTCAAGACCCACATCTGCGCATATCATTGGCTAAAACAAGTGTCACATATCCAAGCCATGGGCTGAAGAAATATACTCTGTTTTTATTAGGAGGAATTGCCAAGGCACACGGCAAAAGACATGAATATAGAAAATATTAAGAATTGGGGATATTAAATCCACCTCCCACACTTAAGAAACCACTAAGGAGTTGTGCAGGAAAGAGACATGATTTGCTTACAGCTTAATTTGCTATTGTAAAGAGAACAGATTTAAAAGGGGCAGGAGAGGTCTGTTATGAGGCTTTTGAATATCCTTGCCAAACCTTGGTATTGTCAGACTTAAATTTGCTTCCAGCTTCAGTTTGGTGTAAAATGTTTTCTCCTGCTTGTTCTTAATTAGATTTTTGTTTTAAGTCTAAATAGCAGCAGAATGATGGCAAAGAGTGTTCAGTAGTTTTGCTTAGTGTGTGTGTCTGTGTGTGTGTGTCTGTGTATGTGTGTGTGTTTCTGTGTGTGAAGGTAGTGAGCACAGCTGCTCTAAGCACTGATTTGGGGGTCTGATAAACCTAGTTTTCAACCACAGCTCCTTCAGTCAGTAGAAACATGACCTTGGGTAATTTATTGGACTTTCTGCACTTTAATTATTATTTTCAGGGATTAGCAAGAAGATTCTAAAAGATAATGTATGGAAAGTGCTGTCTTACTGCTTTGTCCATAGCAAGCAGTCAACACACAATAGCTGTTACTGTAATAAATATACTTATACTTCAATATTTAGCATTATTATAGCCAGATTACAGGTAATAAAAAAACTAAGAAAGATGTGGCCACATAATCATAACTGTATTAAAGACAAGCTTTAGAAGTAGTTCAATTATGCAGCAGTTTCATAACAAGCAAGTACACCTGCAGATAAAGGCTAAACGAAATGAGTTAATAACTGTTTCTACAACATTGCAGTACAAGGATGGAAATACTGTTCTATTTGGGGTTTGGCATATCCCAGCATATCATTATCCTTTTCTGAACTTCTTTCCTTGCAGCATATATGCTTGTTTGTTTTGCAAAAGACTGATTGAGCTTAGTTAGGAAGGGCGATTGGTCAGGCAGTCAAACAAAAACCAACAACCACCAAATGAACACCAAGCTAGTCTCTGCAGAAACAATAGCAAAGCTTGAAGTGAACTGATTATATAGATAAATCAACGGAAATGAGACAAGGTACACTCCAGTTATGTAATCTTCAAATTGCGACCTGTCATTGAGCAACATAAGTGGGGTTGCATAGGCAGGTTGGGAAAATGAACCCAAGTTACCCTTTCTGTGTTCACCCTGCCTATTCCCTGGATGGAAGTAATCTGCCAGATGGAGACTTAAACCATCTTCCTGTTTTCTCCCAGTGTAAAGAATAGGCATTTGCATTGATTCAATAAATATGTGTTGAAAACGAATGGGAAGCCTGATACCATGTAAGATGCTAGGGAGCAAAATGGACACACTTGCTGTCCCTGGGGGCTCCCAGGACAGAGGGAAACATACCTGAAGGGCCAGCTTGAGCCCAGGGTTGTATTTCTTGGTTAAGGGAGCTCCTTGAAGTGGATATGTCTACATAGATGCTCTTCCCTGTGCCCCTTGTACTCTCAAAACATCATGGCTATAATAGTGATAAAAATGACAGTAACAATAGAAATGATAAATGGCTGACGCTGGGCACTAACTATGTACCAGGCACTGTCCTAACAGCTTTAACTGTACTACTTTATTTAATGCTCACAACACTAGAGGTAAGTTCTACTCTTATTTCTATTACGTAGACAACAGAAAGGTGAAGTAACTTTCTCAGTGTTGAGAATTATTCATTTATTTGTTTGATGATTGTGTACTAAAAATTATCTTATTTGTGTGATTATTTAATTAATGATGTGTCTATATCATTAAGCTAGAAGCTTCACCAAGGACAGGGACCATGCCTCTTTTGCTTCTTCTTGCTCTGTTTTTTTTTATTTTTGTCTATTTATTTTTTCACCGTGTATGTATCTCTTTCACTTTCTCTCTTTCTCATCTCTGTCTCTTTCTATGTAGTCAAATATTTAATGCCTACATGTTCTCTACTATAAAAAAAAATTTGAGGCTCAGATATTGGAGTGGCCACTAACTGGAGAGAATTACTTGTCTTGTCTAAGCTTCAGTTTCCCCATTGATTAAACTGAGATATTAATCCCATCTTGATGAGGCTCAGGGTTTTAAAGTGCCAGGTACACAGTAGGTGCTCAACAAGTGTCTCCCTTTTTTCCCTTCCCCAGGGCAGACGGTAAACTCCTCCTGGGCAGATACAAGGTGAAATTATGCTCTTCTGACTTCTAAAACTGCGAGCTTGGTGCCAGAGTGCTTGTGGACACTTGATGAGCATTTGCTTATCAGATGAGCAGGTCCTGGCTACCCTCTAAGCAGGCCCATTGACCCTTTGGCTATCCACATATCCTGCCTTCTTGGCACAATTGTGCAGCAGTTTCCCCTGGGTGGTTCTTCCCCTCAGACACTCAAGGATCTCTTACTGCCTCAAGGTTCCTGTTGCTTGGAAAAGGGATTCCACTGGCAAATTTGCAAGTTTGTATTCCTCACTGTTTTAAAAACATATGGGAAGAGTGCAAAATTAAGGACAAGACAAATTTTAATAAAATAATTAGGCAATATTAACGTATTAGCTATGTGACCTTGAGCCAGTTATTCAATCTTTCTAAACCTTAGTAAAATGGAAATGATGATAAAGTCACCAGTGATGTTAAGTGCTTAGTAATTAATAAGCACTCAAAACATGTTCAACATTGTTCCTGTTTAAATGTATAAATCTCATTGGTCTATACTTGACACATAAGAGACACTTGACAAATGGTATATTATTATTATTATTATTATAGGTTTAATGGGAATACCCCTATAAAACATCTGTGCTGAGCAAGCGCAATGCCTTAAGTTTTATCTGAAATTCACGATTGGATGAGAGGTTTTAGGCTTATGGGGGTGATGCTCATTCAAGCACATCTGTTGTACATTTTCTGGCAGTTACTGAGATTTATATCCTGAAAGATATTGCCCCAGGCACAGTCATTTACTGAGCAGCGGCCAACGACCCAGAGGATACCGTTTTGGAGGTAATTTATGCTTTGGGACAGAGAATAACAGTGCCTAGTGGTTTTATGTGTGATTGAATTCAAATATAAAGCCATGGAGGCAATCAAGTCATTTATACCCACAACTTAGGTTTCAAACATACCTTTGCCTCAATTATCAGGATACTTTAGGTGAAAATGATTAAGGTCTGGGTTGTCCAGGTAATTGCTTCCCTTCTAGTACATTCCATCCTGTGCAGGCCGACCCAACCTAATCCTTAAGTAACTTTAGCAAAAGATGTCAAGACATTTCATTTTGTTCTTAGGAATCTTGGCTATACACAGGTAGAGAAAGAATCCAGCTTTCTGGCAGAATTAATTTGTATTTCAAAACTCTAGGTCTCGTCCTCAGGTTTTATAATGCCCTAGATGGAGAGGAAACTATGGGCTTGGTACCAAGAGGCTTGGGTTTAAGTTCTTACTCTACTACTGCAAATCACTTAACATTTCTGCTTTGCTGTTTCAACTGTAAAATTGGGAAAATGACACCTGCTTTTTCTTGTCTCATATTGCTTTCTCTCATTATAATTAAACATAATATTTGATTATGTTTATATGAACATGAAAGTAGTTTTTAAACTGTAAAACATTTTGCAAATGATAGGCTTTATAATAATGTCTTAATTTTTTATGCCATATGGAACGGTTATGGCATTATTAAACTATAATATTTTAGCTAATGAATTGATAGAAAATAATATTGTGTCTTTCATTTTTAGTGTTGTATTGCCTTCCCAGACTGGCTAAAAATTACACAATTGAACATGTTGATGCTGTACACTCAATATTTACAACTTTTGGTAATGCTATTGGATACTTGCTCCAGGCAACTTGAATCATACAAAATTTTCTTTAAGCAGTAGATGTCCACTAATATTTGAGGTATTGTCCACATGGTTTTAAAAAGTATTGAGTACACTTGAATAATTACACAAGCTTCCCCACACACATTTGTCTCCTCCTTCTCCCAATAGCACAATGCCACATCCAGGATGGGACTGGAAAGGTCACAGCTTTCTCTGTAACATGCAATTCAACCACGTAATCATGCATATTGCTCCAAATCAGCATGTTCAAGATTATAGGATTGAATGCAGCACTGAGCAGCTCCAGCCGCACAGGAATCAGATATCATAACACAATTGCTTCCTTGTTGTTCTCCATGGCAGCTCACCCACCTAAAATGTTGACATTATAGGGCATAAAACACACCACAGTCCAATAGGGTTTAGCTGTGACTCCAATGTACAATCAAAATGACTTACTAGACAATTAATGCAAGTAATTCATTTCAAATAAAGGACTTCTAAATGCTTGCTCATAGAGATTAAATGTTTCTGGTTCCGGCCCTACACTTTTCACAGAAGAGAATTTGTTCCTGGGCCATATTTGGAAGGTCTATGCAATGTTCTCTCAGAATTTCACCAATCATGGAATGACATTTCAGCGGTGACATAGGCTGTGGAAACTTACATTTAGACACACTCCTACATACATCATTGTGACACAGTAGATCAGGCCAGATGCTATTCATGTACTCATGACTGGGTTACAATATTCATTTGTTTCAGTCTTTATATTGATTCACAGAAAAACAAGTTCTAATATTAGGAAGAGGCTGCCACTGTTTTGGGGCCTGATGATGATGATGATAGTAAAATAATATTAATAACTATTAAGTGTTTATTATGTGATAGGCACATACTTTATATATTAAATCCCCATGTTAATCCCTGTAGTAGATGCTATTGTTGCTATAGTATTACCTAATATATTGCTAAAGAAGTATTATATTTTTAATTTATAGAGGAGGAATATGAGGCCAATAGAAATGAAGTAATTTGCCTCAACAGTAAGTAGTGGAGTTACAATTCAAATTCATGTCCATCTTGCTCTAAATCTTGCATGTTTCCTATCATACCAACAGTTCCCAAAGTATTCCACAAAACACACAGTTTACCAGATGCTCCATGAGAAAAATAAAAGATCCTGTGATCAAATTATTTTGGGAAATGATGTCTACACATCTCCCCTGAATTAACAATACACAGCACATTAAATTCCCTGTGGAGTTGTCTAATAGAGAGATGTGTGTTTAATCAAATTTGTTCCAATTATTTGTCCATTGCACTTAAAAAAATGTAACACCTGTTAACATCTTATACAATGCCTAACTAGAATCCACAGAGTAGGAAGATTGTGCTAGATCACCCTGTAAGATTGATCTAATATGATCTATCTCTGGGGTTATTAGAAAGATGAAAGGTGAAAGATGAAATTCCATAGTAATTGCTGAATAAATGACAATGTAACGAGTCTGGATTATATCCACATCTAGACCTACCTAAATTCCAGGGCCAGGGCTTTTCATACTTCACCACCATTGCTACTCTACATGTTAAGAATCCCTGATATTTGTTCTGAGATGTAGAAAAAGTGGGACTTCTCATCTTCACAACAAAGAAAGGCTGAACAAAATGAAAATCAAAACTTTTCTTGGACGCCTTAGGGCAAACTGCCACTCCAAAATCTGGAGTGACAGGTAAACGGAAGACTGCTAGCCAATCTCTGCTTATTTGGCACAGAAGCTTCTGGAACCATAGACTGGTAGGAAGATATACTTGGTAGCTTTGATGAATTACTGGAGGCTAAGTGTGGACTAGCAGGAGAGTGAGAAACTGTGTGTCACAGTCTTGTGAGGGTAGTCCTACACTTTTGTAAGTTTTACCGTTATGAACTCTACTGGGTTCTCACAGCAAAGATCCAAGAAAGAACACCTTGTGTCTCTGGGAGAGGGAAGAGAAGAGAATCATGGTGAAATAATCCCAGAGTTTTCTGCAGGACAAAGGCCTACCCTCCAAAGGAAAAGTCTTTGTCTGAGCCTTATATTATCTGGGACTCATCTACCAGATTTTATATATTCACACATAACTGCATACACACACATACCCCTAGACATACCATATTCAAGCCTCAGAAACCAAAGAGAGAGAGAGAAAATCTTGAAACATGCCAGAGGGAAAAACACCTTACCTATAGAGGAACAGGATAAGAATTACAGCAGACTTTTCATTAGAAACCAAACAAAATGAGAGTGGAATGAAGTATTTAAAATGAGATTTTATTGAAATTTAAATAAAATATATCCAACAAAATTATATCAAGTCATCAAATTCCATACCTTAGATATATCCAATTTTAAATTGAGGTCAAATATACCTCAAATAAACAAAAAAAGCTAAAGAGAAATAAAGACTTTCTCAGACAAACAAAAACTGAGGAAATTCATGACCACCAGACACCTGTCCTGCAAAAAATGTTAAAGAAGTTCCAGGGAGAAAGAAAATTATATGGCGCAGAAACTTGGATCTGCATAAAGAAGGATATAGAAGGAATAAATGAAGGTAAAGTATATGTATTTCTCCTTTTAGTTGATCTAAAAGATCACTTTAATACTAACAGTGTATTGGGTGATTATATCAAGTGCGTAAGTGAAATGAATGGCAGCAACATCATAAGTGACAAGAGGAGAAACTGGAAATAAGAACTTTCTTATAAGATACCCACACTATCTATAAAGTCATATAGTGTTATTTGAAGCTACACTTAGATTAGTCAAAATTGTATATTGCATATATCTTGGGGTAGAATGTTGCTGACAAAGGCCCCGAGGAAGAAACAGGCTAGCATTTATTTGGAAGGCACCACAAAGATAGTGATTTAATTGAAGAGCAAAGAGTGAGTGGGAGAATTAGAAAGAAGACATTGGAGATGTAGCCAGCAATCAGATTTTGTGGGTTCTTTTAAACATTGGTAAGGATTCTGGATCTTCTTTTGGCTAATGTGGGATTAATCCCCTTGGAAATTTTTGGTAGGGGAATGAATCATATTAATATTTTTAAAAGATCAAACTATCTTGTGTGTGAAAAAGTTGACGGTCAAGAGGCAAGAGTGGAAGCAGGGAGACCATTTAGAGGTGACTGCCACAGTCCAGGTGAGAGATGATGGGGGCAGTTGGGGTGATGAGAAGTTATTGCATTTTACATATTTTTCCCAACATTTCATTATAGAAAATTTTAAATATACCAAAAAGGTGAAAGAGCTGAAAAATTGAAAGAGTGAACACCCATATACCCACCACTAGATTCTATTATTAATATTTTACTGTCTCTGCATTATCACATTATCCATTTTTGTATCCATATATGAATTCCTCTTATTATATTTGTGTACTTCAAAGTAAATTGCAAACATGGTTGCCCTTTCCCCCTAAACACGTTGGCAGTTTGCATATATTTTGGAGGTAATGTTGACAAACTTGACAAATTGGGTGTGGGATATAATGGAAAGAGAGGGATCAAGATTGTTTCTAGGTTTTTGGCCTGAGCAACTCATTAAAGAGAAATGAAGTTGAGGAGGAAAATCACGTGCTTTGTTTTGAACATGTTTACATTGAGAAGCCAATTAAACAACCAGAAAGAGTAGGCAAGTAGGTTTAAAAATACGTAGTTCATCAAAGACATGGGGCCTGGAGTGTCAATGTGGAATTACCAGTTTGTACACAGTGTTTACAGCCTGGAACCAAATGAGATCACCTCGGGCGGTTAGAAGGAAGAGGACGATTGAGCAAATGAGATTGAACAGGACCAGCAAGGTAAAAGGAAAATCAGGAGAGTGGAGTGTCTCCCAGAAGTATAGGGCTGTCACTGGTAGAGGGTCGTGACTGCAAGTTGTCCAGATTCTTGGCATTTTGAACAAAGAATTGGACAAAAGGACCAGCAAAGCAAAGAACGAGTGAGGCAATGAAAGAATAAAGCAGGCATTAATTGAAAACGAAAGAACATTCCATAGTGTGGGAACAGACCTGAGCAGCAGCTCAAGGGCAAGGATACAGGATCTTCTTGGGTTCAAATACCCCCTAGACGTTTCCCATTGGCCACTTCCTGCTCACCTCATGTAAATAAAATGGTAGCCCTCAATCAGTCTGATTGGTTGCAGAAAGCAGCCAACCAGAGGCTGAAGTGAAGTTAAAAAGGTCACATTCCTATGCAAACATCTGATTGGTTGCAAAAAGTAACCAATCAGAGGCTGGGGTGAAGTTACAAAGTTAAACTTCTATGCAAACAAAGGCTCTGCCCGCAATCAGTCTGATTGGTTGTGAACAGCAACAATTCAGAGGCTGGAGTGAAGTTAAAAATTTGCAAAGGGAGACGGGACGGCAACCAGGCTGATTTATTGCAGACAGCCAATTTCCCACCTGCAGGGCAGAAAAGGTGGGGGGTTTGCAGAGTGTAGCCTCTGATCCTTTTGTTACTTAGGTATGGAAAGTTAGGGTTTTCCTTTCAATTTAGTTCTAGGAAGTGGTAGTGAAACAGCCTTAGGTTCCCTGCCTCCAGACCCTATTTTCCTGCCTCAGGACGATGTATTTCAAGGAGAGATTGGTCAAGTGCAGCTGAGATGTTGAGGGAGATGAGAACTGAGATCACCAATCACTGAAGTGGCAAAATGCTAATTGCTAGAACTCAGACAAGTACCTGGCACATAGGAGGTGTTTAATGAGTGAATGAAAGGAGATCTTTGGTGACCTTGATAAGTGGGTTCATTTGGTGAAGTGAGAATGAAAGTCTAATTGGAGAAGTTTCAAGAGAATGATAGGTGAGGAAAGTAGCCATAGTGAGCAGAGACAACTTTCGAAGAATTTTCCTAAAAAGCAGAGCAGGGAAATAGGATAGTACCTAAAGGAGATTTTGGAATCAAGGGAAATTTTTACTTTGGAATGATGAGAAATATTATAGCATGCTCTATGTGGATAGGGATAATCCAATAGAGAGGAGAAAATGAATAATGCAGGAGTTAGTGACAACAGTTGTTGAAGTGATGGCATCCAGGCATGAGTGGAGGGCCTACTGTCAGAAGCACAGTTTGTTTATAGAAACGGAGGAAGATGGGGTATAAGGGAACATATTCAAAATGGCAAGTAGAGTAATTGCATGTTCGTTCTTTTGCCCTTCCAACAATGTGTGTGTGTGTGTGTGTGTGTGTGTATGTGTGTGTAGGTATTTGAGATGGAGTCTTGCTCTCTTGCCCAGGCTGGAATGCAGTGGCATGATCGTAGTTCACTGAAGTCTCAACCTCCCAGGCTCAGGTGATCCTCCCATCTCAGCTTCCTAAGTAGCAGGGACTACAGGTGCATGTCACCACCACTGGCTAATTTTTTAAATTTTTGTAGAAACAGTGTCCTGCTATGTTTCCCAGGCTGGTCTCAAACTCCTGGGCTCAAGCGATTGTCCTGTTTGGCCTCAGTAAATGCTGGGATTACAGGTGTGAGCCACCACACCTGACCAACAATTATTTATTGAGCGCTTATTTGTCCCAAGCATATTCTAAGAAGTGGGGCTTTAACAGTGAAGGAAACAGACAAAAATCTCTGCTCTCATGGAGCTGATATTCTAGCGGTAGGAAGATTGCCCATATATTTTGGTATATCAGATGCTGCCTAGTGTGACGGAGCAAAATAAAGCAGTGAAAAGGATAAGGAACTCTATAGAGGAATAGTTTGCAATTTTAAAACGATAATCAAGAATTTTAAATAGTGGCAGTGGATATTTTCTTCTGATTGCTTCCACTCAGTGAAATAAGAAATGAGGCCAGCAGCAGAGAGTGAGGAGAGGGAGGGGGTTGTGGGGAGTGCTGGAGACTCGAAGAAGGGGAAAAAGGCATGAATTTGCTGCCTCCAAGAGAAGGAGAGGGAATTGTCCAGAGAAATGTGAAAGGGAAAGGGAACATTCAGAGAAGAGGTGGAGGATAAAAGGGGGGTTGCTGATGAGAGACTAAATTTTTGAGGACATATTGAAAGGGTTTGATGATATCAGTGGGATAAGCGGTTGTCCTGGTGATGAGGACTGAACTTCCTGGGATGACTGAGATATGTGAGGTATGATGGATATGTCCTGGTGGTTGCTTAAAGGTGGCAGGAGGTGAATAGTCTGCATTGATTATAATTTATGCTTGAGACTAGTCTCTTAGGAGATTTAAACAGTTGATATAGTCATTGCCCTTGAAGGAGAATAAGGGTGGCTATCTTTTTGGGAACAGAAAGAGCTCTTTGGGGTTTCCTTAAAACCCACTGTGGTCAGTGTCAAGAAGGAGAGCGTGTGAAAGGAGTGGGAACCCATTCATGGCATCACTACACAGGAATCCATAATTTAAGTCTATTCGCAGAAATAAAAATGAAGATTTGTCAATGGTTAACCTGGTCAAAGTAAACAGACAACGAAACAAGACAAAACAAAAATGTTTTGCTGTTCATGTAATACCACATCACCTGGATAGTGCCGACGCACACAAATCTTTTCTCATATTTATTAAAAAGGTGAGATTACCTAGGGATGTAAACCTTTTGCACCTAGTAGAAAAACTAACTCTTTGGGCTACTTGATGCCAATTTACATAGCAAGGGAATGGTTGTCTTTTACCTAATCGGTTTGTGGTCCTGTAGACATATCAATGCTCCTATAAAATTGTATTATCTGTGTTCTTCCTTCACGTAAACAGGCAGTGGGCCTTGTTTTTCTTAATTCATAATAGACTCTCAGGAAATGTTTGCAGAACCACTTGAGAGATTAATTTCTGGGTTGCTCCCAGTGTCCTGGTCTTCTACCCTAACGTCATCTTAAAATTTTATCTTTTTGTGACACCAAGAGAAAGGGGGGAAAAGGTTTGAGTCATATGATATGATGTTAGATAATTTTGTTATGTGATGAAATATCATTTAGTTTAGGCATAGAGTGGCCAAATAAACTTGAGAATGGAGGCAATTATCTGGGTTATTCACGCCGAAAAACAATTTGGCTTGAAGTAGCTATATAATTGTGGAAAAGTGATTTTAAGAAAAGCTTTAATTATCTAGAAAAATATCTTTAATTCTTCAAGTGAAAGTCAGGTATTTGGAGAAAACCACAATCACAGTTTTAACAAATATTTTTGGGGCAGTTGTTTACTTCATAGTTGCACAACTTGCAACATCCTCCACAAGATGGCATGCAAGTTTGTAACATACTGTAGCTGGTAGTCATGCCATTGCTAAATCATTTTGCTGCAAGCAATAAAGTCCAAACAATTGCACAATGAATTATTATTTTCTGTGTTACACACTGCAAATGTATACATTCTGGCAACGTTTTCTATAGGTAAAGATGATTGTTTTACAGAGGTATGTATGTCTCTGAGTGTAAATATTTGAAGGATATACGAAAAGAAATCAAGAATTTAAGTCTTTTCACGCAAGATGAAGATCTGGCATCAGTTAGCATGTTTAAGTCAACACTTTGTTGAAGGCCCAAGACAAAACCAACAAAAAAGTCCTGATGTTCACATTTGAAAAAGAAATTTTTATGAGACTAAGGAAGAAATTATAAGAAAATATTTATTTTTAGGAGGATTTATTTCATTGTTTTAAAGTATTCTTGAAAATATTGCCTGGAACAACTGGAATATAGCATGGCAATTCATGGTGAATATTACTGTGGTTCTTTGTCTTGACTGCAACAATAGAACCAAGTGGGATGCTTTTAATAAAACACAAATGCCAGGGCCCCCTCTCAGACCAATTAAATCAGAATCTCTTGGGGTGGGCCCAGGCATCAGTATTTTTTAAAAGCTCCCTAGGCATTCTGATGGTACCAGAGGCATCAGAGTTCACTGACAGTATTGGGTGCCTTCTCATTTGCTCACCGCAGGCATCACTAACTGAACCTGAGCTCACCTTTTCTCTCAGTACAATGCTCTGGGTAGCCTTTACCAATCAATTCAGAGATGAAATGAAACCCACTTGCTAACAGACTTATCAAAGAATATGGGAGGGACAGAATTAAATGCTACTCACATATAAGGTGATTGATTTCCTAATATGGTAACTAACTCTGCTTTCTAGTATGATTCAGCCAAACAATTATTTCAGCCTTCTCCAACAAAGGAAGTTTTAGAGACTGCAGTGGACAATATCCATGCTCTTCCCATATCCCTTTGGATACCTTTTTGCCATTTTTGTGTGGTGCACCCCATTCTCCACCAATTTCAATGTGCTTCTGCTTCCATCACCCAGAAGAGAGGGCTGCCTTTGGGTGTTTCTTGCAGGTTGAAAAAACAAAAAGTACCTGGGAATTTACATCTCCCTGGAGTAACCCTTAACCACTCAATGAATATGAAAGCCCCATCTCTTTTCCTTGTGTGGGGACAACTCTGAGGCATAACGTGTACTCCTGAGCTTGCCTACAGGGCCAAGCTAAAGCTGCATCTGTGGGACTTTGCAATCACACTTTTGTTTGGCTTCCTTGCCATCTCAATCCCTCTTCCACAGTTTTTCTGAAGCACTTACTAAATAAATTCCACACAAATTTTCATCTTAGGGTCTGTTTCTGGGGAAACCTGAAGATACATATCAAAAACAAAGGCCACTGAGCTGCAAGAGAACCTATACAAACCAAGTGTTAAATCATGCAGTTAATCGTCTAATGGGAAGATGTGAAAGAATGATGAATACTGATCTACTCAGATCCATGAAAGATGTAGGTCTTAAATAGATTACTGCATTGAGGTGCCAAAAAAAAAAAAAAAAAAGAGGTAGATGTGCTATAGCAAGATCCTAGACTTGGCTGCACTATGAAATTATACACCATTTAATAAATATTCGTTCCCAGGTTACACCCCCAAGATTCTGATTTCACTGGTCTCAGGTGTGTTCTGGACGTTGTCCCATTTAAAGCTCTCCAGGTGGTTCTATTGTATAGCCAAGGTTGAAAATCGCCTTAAAAGAACCAGATTCAGAGTACATAAACATTACTTTGGTCAGCCTGTTAGAAATTCACATTCCTGGGCCCACCTACACCAGGTATTAGGATTCAACAATTCTGCATATATTACAAATATTTGTTTTCAGATGTCTTGGCTGCTACCAGGGAAACAGTAAACACCTGGGTAAGTCCACTGAGAAAATCCGGCTAGGTCAGGGATGGCAAATCATACTCCACTTGCATACCCTCTCTTATTGATGGATAGAGGCTCTCAGGAGTGTTGAGAAGGATTCTGAGGCTGGGTCTGGGTTCAGCAAGCAAAGATACTACAGCGAAAACTTGCATAGAGGTGTCTAGCTTTATAGCTGGCTATAAGGACAATGTATTAGAGTGGTTCATAAGGATTTGTGCTAGGAAGGATAATGGCTCTAATAGTCCAGTGGACGTTTACAGGTAAAAAACCATTCCTATTGCTTATAAAGTGGATGTATGAGAGGGATCTAATATACTGTGGAGGAAAGGAAAAAGGATTTCATGTAAAGTGTGAAGTCTCAAGCTTTCAAGGGCAAGCATATGTCCCATTGTACTTCCTTTTTTTTTTTTTTTTTTTTTTTTGAGACAGAGTCTTGCTCTGTCGCCCAGGCTAGAGTGCGGTGGCGCCATCTTGGCTCACTGCAACCTCTGCCCCCAGGGTTCAAGCAATTCTCCTGCCTCAGCCTCCCTAGTAGCTGGGATTACAGGTGTGCACTACCATACCCGGTTAATTTTTGTATTTTTAGTAGAGATGGGTTTTCTCCATGTTGGCCAGGACGGTCTTGAACTCCTGACCTCAGGTGATCCACCCTCCTCAGCCTCCCAAAGTGCTGGGATTACAGGCGTGAGCTACTGCACCCGGCCCCCTGTTGTACTTCTGTTGAAAATGCTCAGGGTGAAGTGATATTCTACTCTACATAGTCCCAAAATGAAGATTCAAAGTTACACTAATGTAATGGATAGGATTATATGTGTATTTATAGTTTGAAACTATTTTCTTAAAAGTGTATCTCTCCTATACAAGGTTTTGTAGATCAACGGTCTTCAACCTTTTTGGCACCAGGGACTGGTTTTGTGGAAGACAATTTTTCCATGAATGGAGGAAGGGGAGATGGTTTTAGGATGAAACTGTTCCACCTCATATCATCAGGCATTAGCTGAAGTCTCATAAAGAGCGTGCAGCCTAGATCCCTTGTATGCGCAGTTCACAATAGGGTTCACACTCCAATGAGAATCTAATGCCCACTGACCTGACAAAAGGCAGAGCTCAGGTGGTAATGCCCGCTCGCCCGCCGCCCATCTTCTGCTGTGAGGCCCAGTTTCTAACAGATGACGTACCAGTACTGGTCTGTGGCCTGGGGGTTGGGGAACCCCTGTTGTAAGTGATCAGTGATTAGCCAATATTTGTGCTTCAAAAGAATCATAAAATATTTTTCTATTAGGAAAAAAAAATCAGCCCAGATCATACTTCAGTACTAATACCCCTCAAGAAAATGTTACTCTGGGTCGATCAACCGAACTAGACATAGTATATCAGCAGAAGAGCACGGATTCTAAGGTTAGTAGCTTAGGTTAAAATTTGGGCTTTGTTAGTTTCTAGCTTTGTGACCCTGGGCAAGTCTCCTAACCTTTCTGTACCTCAGTTTTTTTTGTTTTTTTTTTTTAAATTGTAATAGGGTTAATAATAGGATCTTCCTCCGGGCTGTTATGAGGATTAAATGAGGTTAAAGAAAGAAAGAACGACTGTGTCTTATTTTGTTTCCTGGTTTACCCCTCTCTGTTGGCCCTTCCAATGTTGCAAGTTCTCAGGGCTCCATTTTAGACCATTCTTCTCTTGCCTTGTCCTCCCCTTCTGTCCCCTTCCTGTCCTTTCTTTCCTTATCCTTCCTCATCTTCCTCTGTAAACAGTGACACTGAGTTGCTCCGTAACAACGTTTTCACCCACCTAGATTCTTTAATCCCCTCTCAAAATGTTTTTAAAACAAGTTTAAAAATAGAAAGACATATTGTATTTCTCCCAGGAATGTAGTCTTCCATGAGACCAGCAGAATAACATAATGGCTCTGGAGTCAGAAAGACTTGGGTTTGAATTTCAGCCTAACCACTCACTAGTTATGTATTCTTGGATCACTTCCTTAACATTTGCAAGCCTCAGTTTCCTCACCTGTAAGATGGGCTAGCATTATCTCAAGGGTTAAATGAATTCATTAAGGAACAACCTGAGCACAGGGTCAGAGTAACTGATAGCTATCACTGTTGTTATTTTTATTATCAATGATGCTAAGAACCCAGAAGAATCCAGCCATGGTTTCTATGTCCCTGCTCTTGAAGCACCAAGCTTGCCAGCTGTTGGAGAGGCTCTAACTCTTCTCATTGTGTTTGACCTGAAGTTTGGGCACTGACATTTCCAATTCCCAAGCTTCTCTAAAAGCAAATAGTCATGAACAAGGCTTTCAGAGAAGGGAATAAAGCGGATTCTGTGGATAAGTCCATCCAGAAAAACTGATGGCTCCTTTTGACACACATTCTCCCCAGTAATCTGTTCTCATGCTTCAGAACCTGGGAGTTGGGTTGCCATTGTTATTTTGTGGCTCAAATATTTCTTCACCAGTTGATGGCATCATTACAGATACAATGGGAGGGGAAAAAAACAAACAGAAAAAGAATCTAAGTTGCCTGGCCCCACAGAGAGTTAATTTCTCATCCCTAGGACTGCTTTCCTGTTCGGGGGAAACTTTCATTTCGGTGGCTTTCCCGGTGATGGCCCTGGCTGCCTAGCAACCACCATCTCCAAACCTTCCCTAAAGGACAGTGGGAGTTGTTCATATCAGTGTCATCAAATTTTTTTTTAAAAAAGGGTATTGAATTTTATGAAAAATTAAACCTCATGAAGATGTAGCTTCCCCATGTGCATTGCTCCCAAACAGTTGTTGACAACTGTGTGACACCGAAATTGAATTTGGAACTGCAAACATAAATGCAAGCATCTTTTAAAAATCATATATATTTATATATAACCAGACCCAGTGTCTGTGAGTGCTCTCAGGTAATTTAACCACAACTGCCTTTCTTCCTTTCCCCATGAAATAAGCATTATTATTCCCGTGTTTGACGTAAAAGTAAATATGTAATGGATTTGCCTGTGTTCCTGAATGCTAATATTCTACATTGTTCTACAGAAAGAGCAGAAATCAAGTCCATCTCATTTACATATATGGAAATGGATGGTATGAATTAAAACGAATCAGAACATGATGATTCATCAGAAAGTCGATAAATTAAAAGGTCACTCATTTCTCCAAAAGATTTTGAGGTTGCTTTGCAGTTCTTCTGGGCTTAATCTTCTCTATTAAATGATCTCTGTGTCTACACAATTGTTAAGTAAATAGCACTCAGGGTAATGAACTCTTGATATTAATTCTCTTATGGATTTTTGCCCTGGATTTTTCTGGTCATTTGATTCTCACCTAGATGAGAGACCCTGACTTCCACTGCTGTCTTTCTCGAGAAGTTTATCTTAGGGATAAAATGTGGAGAACAGAGAGACATGATGTAAAGTGACTAAACACTCAGCTCTCAAACTGGGGACAAGCCACTTGAAATTTCTAAGCCTGTGTTTCTATCTGTGAGATAGGGATAATATCAGTACCTATGACATAGAGTTATTGTGAGAATTAAAAGACAACGTGTTTGAAGCACTTAACAGAGCAACTGGAAGGCAGTATAAATGAAAATCAAAGACAGGTTAAGAAAACAACTTGATAAAATATTGCCTGTGCCTACACATACAAATTCAGATGAACAGACGTCGGAGTATTTCATATTTTTTTTCCTTCTTTAGCTCCACGACCTCCCTCCACATAAAAGCCCATTCTTTCCATCAACAAGCAAACAAACAAAATTATCCCTGAGTTCTCATTAAACAGTCAGCATGTTTCTCTAAATGTAAACTCCTTTTTATTTAATTTTAGCATTGGGGGAAGTGTTGTGAGAAATGTTCAGATAACATACTGAACATAAGAGAACAGGAAAATTCATTTTTCTATTCTTGAAAAAGAATAGAAATTTTTCAAGAATAGAAACTTGAAAGAATTGAAACTTGAAATTGGTTGAATGGAATATAACTTCATCATCATCATCATCAGTTACGAACATTTACTGAGCGTCTATCATGTATAGGGGAGGGGGGTCAGGGGAGTGGGAATGGGCTCAGAGCACAAAGAGATTTCACGCCTGGTTTTTAGAGATGCGTGGAATCAGGCCAGGGAAGTAGTTGATGTATCTGCAATATTTTGCTTTCTCTTTACTGTCCAATAAACAGTACTTCATTTCCCCGGAGGGCTCTGGCTTTATAATTGACAGCATCGGAACAATTTCCACAGCAGCAGTTTTTGATTTTGAAAGTGAATCTAGAAGGTAAATACTACTACTGGGTTTTCATTTGGAATGCCAGTTCTTTGGTTCGTATTTCCCTTTTCATGAATATTTTCCCTCATCTGGCCTTGATGTGCTCCCCAAATTAAGATGCTTTTGGTGGTTTTCTTTTTTTTAATGAAATCATTACTTAACAGATAGTTGCATGGTGGCTGGTTGATGCTAGACTTGGCTGTTGGGGCTCCTCTCTGCATCATCCTGTTTTCAGAGTGAAGCCACGATTATTTTGGGGGTGGCATTTGCATCCTGCTGTGGAAGTAGGTGAATACTCCTCTCTGGATACCTGTGACACCAAATTCATTCACCGTGTAATACAGTATCTTTAAAAAGTTAATGCACACACATGCCATCTCCTAAGTGGGTAGCCACTGGTTCAAGTTATTATTTTTATTTTTGTAGTGATTTTTATGAACACCCTTTTCAGTCATATGTTCTGCATCAATGTGCTTCATAGGAAAAGGAAATGGACCTTTAAACCTTTCCAATCAAATTGCTCCTGAATCTGATAAGATATTCTTTTCTATTATGAAAGCTGAGGATGGGATATATCCTAAGTGTTAGCATCTTTAGAAGAGAAGTCCAGTGGAGGCCAGGCACGGTGGCTCACGCCTATAATCCCAGCACTTTGAGAGGCCGTGGCAGGTGGATCATGAGGTCGGGAGATCAAGACCATCCTGGCTAACACAGTGAAACCCTGTCTCTACTAAAAATACAAAAAAAATGGCCGGGCATGGTGGCGGGCGCATGTAGTCCCAGCTACTCGGGAGGCTGAGGCAGGAGAATGCGTGAACCCAGGAGGCAGAGCTTGCAGTGAGCCGAGATCACGCCACTGCACTCCAGCCTGGGTGACAGAGCAAGACACTGTCTCAAAAAAAAAAAAAAAAAAAAAAAAAGAAGAAGAAGAGAAGTCCAGTGGAGACTAGGGGCCCACACATCATATGAGATTACCTCTCAGTGAAACAGATTAGGAGTTCAAAACTAGACGAGATCTGCAGCATTAAAGAATTCAAGCTACCTGGGGTCTAGCTGAATGCTGGAGGGTTGATGACAGCAAGGAAGGAAGAAAGCAATTAGCCTTTCTAACACTTTCACTTTTTTTTTGAGATGGAGTCTCACTCTGTCGCCCAGGCTGGAGTGCAGTGGTGCGTATTTGGCTCAATCCAACTTCTACTTCCTGGATTCAAGTGATTCACCTGCCTCAGCCTCCTGAGTAGCTGGGAGATTACAGGTATGTGTCACACGCCCGGTTAATTTTTGTATTTTTAGTAGAGATGGGGTTTCACCATGTTGGCCAGGCTGGTCTCAAATTCCTGACCTCAGGTAATCCACCTGCCTCGGCCTCCCAAAATGCTGGGATTACAGGTGTGAGCCACCATGCCTGGCCAAAAAAATGGGATATGCTGTCTTCTGCCAGCTTCTTAAAGTCAGCTGTATGCATTATCTTTATATATTTTTTTAGTAGAAATTGCCAAAATCTTTATCCATTTTCCTTTAATTCCACTGCTGTGCCCCATGACAAACAATTATTTGCATTATCTTATTTCATAAATCACTCTGGGAATAATGGATTATAGCCATCACAGTTTTGTTTTTCTTTTCTTTTTGGCCTGGTGTATCTCATGGAAGAGTGATTATGCACAAGCAAGGTATTTATAAATCCCCAGATTTGTTAATAATGGGAGTAAAAGTTGTTAATGACTTTTTAACAAACTAACTTTTTCTTGATAAGTGAAAACTAAATCTTTCCTTTTTCTCAGTATGATTTAAATCAAAGGAGCTAACATGGGACAAGTTAACCTTTGTTTGCAGAATTTGAATAAATAAGTATTTGGCTAAAGCTTTGCAATGGGACCTCATTGAAGTTTTACAGAGAGTAACTATTCCTTAATTTCCTTCTTAGCTGCAGAGCTTCTAGGGTCACTGAGCAGACCTTTAAGTGAGAGTCAAGGAAATTTTGAAATGCCTCATTGACTTTTATCAATTCTCTCCATTCTCTCCTTTCAAAAAAAGATATAGGGGCCATGAAATCACTTGTTCAAGTCCTGATGAAAGTGTTAGAAAGGCTCATTGCTTTCTTCCTTCCTTGCTGTCATCAACCCTCCAGCATTCAGCTAGACCACAGGTAGCTTGAATTCTTTAGTGCTGCAGATCTCATCCATACCTTATTCCTTCTATTCTTGTAGTAAAGGCTTCCCAGAATTAATTAATTAATTAATGAATTAATTAATTTAATTTTTTTTTGAGATGGAGTCTCGCTGTGTTGCCCAGGCTGGAGTGTAGTGGCACAGTCTCGGCCTACTGCAAGCTCAACCTCCTGGGTTCACACCATTCTCGTGCCTCAGCCTCCCAAGTAGCTGGGACTACATGTGCCCGCCACCACACCTGGCTAATTTGTGTGTGTGTGTGTGTGTGTGTGTGTGTGTGTGTGTGTGTAATTTTTAGTAGAGACGGGATTTCACTGTATTTGCCAGGATGGTCTCAATCTCCTGACCTTGTGATCTGCCTGCCTCAGCCTCCCAAAGTGCTGGGATTACAGGCATGAGCCACCATGCCCAGCCCAGAATTATTTTTTAAATGTCTTTATTCTTAACAGTGATTGACTTGTGGTTTTTGTCAAGAGTATCTCATAGATAATCTTCTTGTAGGAAAAATTATGAAAGAAGAGGGATATTGAAAACTGGTTTAGTTTTTATTACAAGTGGAAGAAAACAGTCAGTTTGGTCTTAATAGTACATTTCAAGTATATTTTTTATTTTTCTGAAGGGATAACCAACGCTCTCAGTTTTGCTGGAACAGAGGAGTTTTCTGGGATGGGAGACTTACAGTGCTAAATCTCTGGACCTGGACAGTCCTGGGCAAATTGGGAGAGTTGACCACCCAAGATCATACTTTATGGATATGAACATTCATCTTTCAATTAGGATTCATTCAGTTTCATCATTTCGAGCACTCTTATGCCTCAAACCCCTACACATCTCTGTTAAAATAAAATCCCATTAGTCATCTAACTGTCCTAATATCCCCTCATAGTCATTAAATTGTTTTGAAGTGTTCTTAACACCTTCTCCTTTGCATGTGTCTGTTTTCAAAATTGAAACATCAGTGTTTGGAAGGTAAGAACCCATAGCCATAAGTTCTGTTTGCTATAACATGCTAAGGATTTCCCTTTGCCTTTTTATTGTGTATGGAGATTAGCAGACTTTTCTAAGTTCCTGCCTGTCCTTTCAACTGACTCGACTGATTTAGTCCTTAACAAAATGTTAGCCATTTCTAACTGTTAAAATAACTGGCTTGATTGACATTTTAACTAGATGAATCGATTGTTTTAACTGATTGTTGTAACTAAACAGATTCTACTTCTGTGAAAGCCTGTTAGTTTCTGTACAATCTCAACTGTCTTTCTTGTGGCTTCATTTTCAGTTTTTCAGTGGTTATTAAAGTGTTGACTCTGGAGGACTGTTTACAGCTGGAAATCTAAAGATTTTTCTCATCAATGTACACAATAAGGACCCCATTCTTATCTACAGGTAAGATCATAAAACATAATATTTTAGTTTGACCTTGAAAATTGAATTTGAAAATGTTTTGCAAATTCATTATTAAATTTTTATGTTTGTTTGTTTTTTTTGAGAAGGAAAATAAACGAGTAAGATGTAAACATCCACTTTAAGATGTAAGATTTTTTAAAAAGGGTTTTCTTAAAAACTGAAAGCAAATTAATTTTAGAGTATAAAGTGTATTGAAATTGCAATAGAATAAAGTGTTAGTGCAATATGTTCTTAGTGTCTGACTTATGTTGGATTATCTCTCTCTATCCTCAAGGGAGATTCTGGCTAATATTATCATCAAGGAGTTTATAAAACCGTATTGAGGGTCAACAGTGATTCACTATAAGAACCAGTAAGAAGCTGGTTCTTACAGAAGGATAAGAGCACAGTGATTAAGCATACAGGCTCTAGAGCCAGATAGGCTCGGGGTCAAATCCTCTCTCAGCCACCTTGATATTTACTTCTGAAAGTTACCTAATGTCTTACAATTTCCATTTCCATGTCTGTAAAATGGGGACAAAAAATGGTCCCTACTTCCTAGGGTTGCTGTGAGGAATAAATGCAACAACACTTAAAAAATGCTTAGGAGTTTGTCTAAACTGTAGGTAAGTGATCAATAAATGGGTTGCTTGTTAAGCTCATGGTCACAATTTCCACTCTTATCATTGCAATCTCCAACCTCCTACTCTTCTGCCACCATAAGGTGTAGAAAAGAATACACAGCAAGCAAATGCCTCTCTCACAATCTTTCCTTTTTAAACAAGTTTATTAAATATTGAAAATGATGTCTCGAGTGTGACTTCCATAAACTCAACTCGGCACACATACTGCCCAAGGTAATTTATAGATTCAATGCCATCCCCATCAAGCTACCAATGACTTTCTTCACAGAATTGGAAAAAAACTACTTTAAAGTCCATATGGAACCAAAAAAGAGCCCGCATTGCCAAGTCAATCCTAAGCCAAAAGAATGAAGCTGGAGGCATCACGTTACCTGACTTCAAACTATGCTACAAGGCTACAGTAACCAAAACAGCATGGTACTGGTACCAAAACAGAGATATAGATCAATGGAACAGAACAGAGCCCTCAGACATAATGCCGCATATCTACAACTATCTGATCTTTGACAAACCTGAGAAAAACAAGCAATGGGGAAAGGATTCCCTATTTAATAAATGGTGCTGGGAAAACTGGCTAGCCATATGTAGAAAGCTGAAACTGGATCCCTTCCTTACACCTTATACAAAAATTAATTCAAGATGGATTAAAGACTTAAATGTTAGACCTAAAACCATAAAAACCCTAGAAGAAAACCTAGGCATTACCATTCAGGACATAGGCATGGGCAAGGACTTCATGTCTAAAACACCAAAAGCAATGGCAACAAAAGACAAAATTGACAAATGGGATCTAATTAAACTAAAGAGCTTCTGCACAGCAAAAGAAACTACCATCAGAGTGAACAGGCAACCTACAGAATGGGAGAAAATTTTTGCAATCTACTTATCTGACAAAGGGCTAATATCCAGAATCTATAATGAACTCAAACAAATTTACAAGAAAAATACAAACAACTCCATCAACAAGTGGGTGAAGGACATGAACATACATTTCTCAAAAGAAGACATTTATGCAGCCAAAAGACACATGAAAAAATGCTCATCATCACTGGCCACCAGAGAAATGCAAATCAAAACCACAATGAGTTACCATCTCACACCAGTTAGAATGGCAATCATTAAAAAGTCAGGAAACAGGTGCTGGAGAGGATGTGGAGAAACAGGAACACTTTTACACTGTTGGTGGGACTGTCTGTAAACTAGTTCAACCATTGTGGAAGTCAGTGTGGCGATTCCTCAGGGATCTAGAACTAGAAATACCATTTGTCCCAGCCATCCCATTACTGGGTATATACCCAAAGGATTATAAAACATGCTGCTGTAAGGACACATGCACACGTATGTTTATTGCGGCACCATTCACAATAGCAAAGACTTGGAACCAACCCAAATGTCCAACAATGATAGACTGGATTAAGAAAATGTGGCACATATACCATGGAATACTATGCAGCCATAAAAATGATGAGTTCATGTCCTTTGTAGGGACATGGATGAAGCTGGAAACCATCATTCTCAGCAAACTATCGCAAGGACAAAAAACCAAACAGCGCATGTTCTCACTCATAGGTGGGAATTGAACAATGAGAACACATGGACACAAGAAGGAGAACATCACACACCGGGGCCTTTTTTGGGGTGGGTGGAGGGTGGAGGGATAGCATTAGGAGATATACCTAATGTTAAATGACGAGTTAATGGGTGCATCACACCAACATGGCACACGTATACATATGTAACTAACCTGCACATTGTGCACATGTACCCTAAAACTTAAAGTATAATTAAAAAACAAACAAACAAACAAAACTCAACTCAGCACAATAAAGTTGACATCACACTGGATGAAGAAATTCCAATTGGGAAAATGATTGGAGTATGCCAGGCAACAGATGAAGATAACCTGGGGGATTTAACCTTTCAACTAGATCCACGGAATGATTACTTTGCAGTTGACAAAGGTAGGTTGAGAAAAGTTCTTGGCAAATTATATATCCTACCGTATGCTATTGCCGTCTTCTGTTGATCTTTATATTTCCTCCACAGACTGAGTTTCTTGGGGTTACATATCAGTCTTCTTCGTTTTCAGAACCTCAACATGAAGCACATAGTAGATGCTTCATAAACATCTGTTGAATAACTCTCTGTGAGACCCAAGTCTTTGTTCACTTATGAGCTAATAATATGTGGCTCTTCATCCGCTACAAAGCAGCAGTCCTAGCCCTTCACTGAACATACCCTTCTAGCACATCTTCTCAGATCTAACTAACTCTACTCTGTACTTCAGGTCCAAGTTTTTTGAGAGAGAGAGAATCCGATTGGACTTTCTAGAGTCACTCATTCATTCCTCATCCAATCCGCTGTGTCTGAGGCCGGGGGAGGGTCAGATTGTGTGGTATTTAAGGCTTCCTCTAGGGCTGAGTAAAGAAGAAAGGTGGTCATCTTAGCACTTAGGCTGGTTTAAGCCATTGTAGCAGATGCTGTCAATATCCTACTCATACCTCCTCAGGCCTTAACAATTCAGTGCAGCAAGCCCAATTTCCACCTGCTAGTATATGCATTTCTTTGCTTGAGGTATTATTTGGATCTGACATCTGCTCTGCCCTGCCCCACCCCCCAGGAAGTGTTGGAGAAATACTACCTCCTAGGAGTTCTCAGTCAATGAACGAAAGGAATTGGTGCACTCTAGTTCTTTGCCTCTGGTGGGGGACAATTTTGAATGTGCATTCTACACTCGCTTCCAGGGTTCCCAGGATTATTAAATTCTAGCTTCCCACAGTAATGACTTGTTTGATGATGTACTTTTTATTGGGATTTTTTCTTCCTTGTCTCACTTTTCTTATGCCACATAGCTCTGATCACCTCCCAAATAAACTACTTTCACTCTAATCTTTCTTATGCCACATAGCTCTGATCACCTCCCAAATAAACTACTTTCACTCTAATCCCCATCTCAGATTCTGTCTCTAGAGGAGCCCCCAATCATGACAGCCACCATTGTGTCTTACCTGAGTTAATGCTCATTTCTCTTAACTGGGCTTCTTCTTTCACCCTTACCGCCTCCTAGAAGCTCCACAGAGCAGCTAGAATAATTTTTTTTAAAGTTAAATTGGATCATATTCCTCCCCTGTGTAAAATCCTCCTGGGATTTTCCTTTGCATTTGGAATGCAATCCAAACTCTTACCCCACTCCCAAGATATTTTCTCTGGCCCTTGTATCCTTCTCCAACCTCATCCTGTTCCTTGGCCCTCTTGGTCCATTATACTGAAACCAAACAGCTAGGCTGCCTGCCTTGGGATGTTTGCTCTTGTGTTTTTCAGGATCTGACCATTAGACCTTATTTTTAAAAATCACTTTACAGTTTTCATTTTCTTAATAATATGTCTATTTGAATTTTGTGTTTTGATTTTCTACACTTGCTTAGTGTTTGTCTCCCAGCCCAGATTATAAATTTGATAAATGTAGAGATTTCACTTCATTGTAGCATATACAGAACTTAGCACAGTTCCTGGCACATAATTGGCACTCAATAAATGTTTGTCGAGTGAATATGTGGATGGATGTGTGGAAAGAAGCACAGTGAGTTATGGTTCATGTTTTCATTTATGATACTCTCTATCGGGAACGATCTCCCCATTCACCACCATTTTCTTATCCTACATATGTCAAGTCCCCAAATAAGGGCCTCCTCTTCTAAAAAGTCTTCTCTGTTCCCTAAGCCAAAAATAATTTTCTTTTTGTTACCAGCTAACATAATATGATTAATTAGTGTATTTTGGTGATAAACAATTAAAATTGTGCCTATATTTGGAATCACTTTCTTTTTCTGTTATTTTATTTATTTATTTATTCATTTATTTCATGAGACAGTTTCTTGCTCTGTGGCTCAGGCTGGAGTGCAGTTGTGTGATGACAGCTCACTGCAGCCTTGAACTGGGCACAAGCGATCCTCCCACCTACACGTGGCTGACTTGTAATTTTTATTTTTGAAGAGATCAGTCTCACTATGCTGCCCAAGCTTGTCTCAAGCTCCTGGCATCAAGTGGTCTCCCCACCTGGGCCTTTCAAAGTGCTAAGATTACAGGCGTGAGCCACCACACCTGGCCTGAATCTATGTCTTAATTCTAATGAATAGGGCATAATTTTCCCCTTATCTTTTCCATTGTTATGTATGTAATAAAGTAATTTTGAAAATGACAGCATGGATCAGTTTGTAGAAGATGTGCTATTTTGTTACAGAGCGTGGAACTGTGTTTACTGCTACACGTCTTGACGTGGAGAGAGCTGGGTTTGCAAGTGTCCAGTCCTTCTCCATTAAGGCTCGTGACTGTGACTGGCAGTGTGCAGCAATTCTAGTAACTGCCTATACCCATGGCATTAATGACAATTCACCTTTCTGTGATCAGTACCTCATTAGGTGTGCTGAGATAGGTGGGCATGGGCAAGAATTTGGAGTGGGTCGAGAGAAGAGAGATTGCCATATTTATTGGCCCAACTGGACATGTGGTTAATCATCAAATTGACTCTTGTTCATCCCCAGGTAATGGTCCTCAGAAATAACCTGTTGGGCCTATCTGTGTTAGTCCATTTTGTGTTGCTGTAAGAGAATACCTGAGACTGGGTAATGTATAAAGAAAAGAGGTTTAATAAGATCATGGTTCTGCAGTCTGTTCAAAAAGCATGGTGTCAGCATCTGCTTGGCTTTGAGTGAGGCCTAGGAAGCCTTTATTCACGGCTGAAGGCAAAGGGAGAGCGAATACATCACATAGCAAGAGAGGGAACAAGAGAGAGGTGAAGGTGTCACACTCTTTTAAACAACTAGCTCTCCTATGAACTACCAGAGTGAGAACACTCTGGACGGGTGTCACCAATCCCACAAATCATGGGGGATCCGCTCTTATGACCAAAACACCTCCCACCAGGCCCCATCCCCCAACATTAGGAATAATATTTCAAAATGACATTTGGAGGGGCCAAATATCTAAACTATATCACTATTCATTATTGCAAGTTGGATTTCCAGGATCTGACAGTAAGTGGCAAAAGCTTGAATTTTGGAACCATAGACCTAGCTTGGAATCCTGGTTCTATCACTTTTCAGCTGTGTGATCTTTGGTAACTTACTTAAGCCTTTGGTTTTCAGTTTTTTTCTTTATAAAATTGGATAATAATAGTACTTACCTGCAGGATTGTTGTGAAGAAAAAGTGGGATAATTTATGTGAGATTCTGAACATAGTGCTCACATATCACATGACTTTTATAAATGCAATTTATTACAGTTAAATAACCCATTATCTGAAACCTTTGGCATTGAATATGTTTCAAGATGAAGATATTTTTATCTGACTTTAGAAATGTAATAGGATGTGTATATCATATATTATGCAACTTCCCCAGCAAGAGTAATATCCATATACCCCATATTCAAATTTATAGTGAATACTCACACTAAATGGGACAAATAAAGATCTGACAGTTCAGGTAAGGTTTTGAAGTCGAAAATTTCAGGTAGGGTCAGGCTAAATTTTGATGCCAAGTAAGTTATGAAAAAATTCTTAGTTTCAGAGCTTTGGATTTTGGAGTTTGGATAAGGGATGGCGGGTTTGTATTATCGTTGGTAGGAATATTTTTATTATCAGAAACTCAGTCTCCAAACCTACATCTGTGTCACTCTTCTTCCCCCTTAACTCCCTTCTGTTTCTTATTTACACAGAGGACAGCTGTCCCACGTTTCCTAGGTTTTACTCCTAATTGCCTAATCAAAAACAAAATCTAGTCTTGCTAACTACCACCCATGTGGTCTTGTTTGGGTCCCAATTACTCCATCTTCCAAATGGAGGTGATTATTGCACCTACCTCACAGCATTGTCATAAGGATCAAATATAAGCAATACTTGGAATTTGTTTAGTTGGGCTTGGCATACACTCAGTAAATGTTATCCTTTCTGCTTCTCATTTTCTTTCTTCTTCTTCTACTTTTTCTCCTTCTTCTTCCCCCAGGAGAATCATATTTAATTAACCAAACACCTACCATATGCTGCACCCAGTGCTATAGCCCCTAATGGTGTCAGTATGAGTATTTGTTATGGTCATTTGTTGTAAGAAGATTGTATCTTGTCAGAGTGATAAGATGAATATATGTAAAACGACAGATGATAAAAATGTGCAATGACTTCAAGTTCTAGGTGCTGTGCGTTAATTGTTAAGAGGAAGAACACATGAGACTGGAATAATCAGAGGAGCTTCTTGAGGAATGAGAGCTGTTAGCCTTTGAAGGATGAGTAGGTTTTAGAGGCTGAAGGCTTAAGAGTGAGCATTTGAGGCAGAGAGATCCTGATGAAGAAATGGGTAAACATATTGAGATGAAAATAAATCCACTTTGACTATAGAATGGTAAGGATTATCTGTCTTGACCACACCACCCAGATGTTCCAGGTTGGAACAATCCCAGAGAATTATCTGATTCCCACTTAAGACTTCTCCACTAAGGTGATGTCCTTGATCAACTGCCCATCCCAAACAAGTGCCCATCTGGGTTCAGAAAATACATACTCCCAGAAAATGAAAACAATCCTACCAAATTCATAGAACCTTTTGGGAAATGGCTTCTTAGATGGTACGCCAAAGTTGAGCTGTCTGCTCCAGGATACACGGGGCATCTACACACATGCATTACCCAAACTAGTGTATATTTATGGAAAATGCATTAAATTTAAAAATAATATCTATCTAAAGGGATTTTTCTTCTTAAAAAATTAAACAGGCACACACTCAAGGAGGAAATTGCGAAAGATACAGTAGTTGCAAAACTCTTGTGTCGGGACCTTGATGAGCCTCCTGATACAATCCATTATGCTCCTAGCTCAGGCCCAGTTGGTTCTGGACAACTCTTTGAGCAAGTGCCAAATGCTGAAAATGTCATCCAGGTGAGAAACAGTTGCTGTAACTCCAGAGAGACGGAGTCATTTTATGGCCACAGTTAAGATGCTGCTGGTGGATTCAGCAAGAGGAACTCTAACATAGCACAGCGTAATTCTGGGCTCCTCTGCTGTCTTAAAAAATATTTTTTTAGAAATAAAGTTTTGCTCTGTTACCCAGGCTGGAGTACAGTGGAGTGATCATAGCTCACACAGCCTTGAACTCCTGCACTCAAGTGATTCTCCTGCCTCAGCCTCCCCAGTAGCTAGGACTACAGGCCTGTGCCACCACACCTGACTAATTTTTAAATTTTTTTGTAGAGACAGGATCTTGCTGTGTTGCCTAAGCTGGTCCTGAACTCCTGACCTCAAGCGGTCCCCCCTTGCTGGAAGGCATTTGGGCAAGTCCTTTATTATCTTGATGCCTGTCATCAGTTTCTCCTTCTTTTTTTTTTTTTTTTTTTTTTTTTTGAGACAGAGCCTCGCTCTATTACCCAAGCTGGAGTGCAGTGGTGTGATCTCGGCTCATTGCGAGCTCCACCTCCCAGGTTCACGCCATTCTCCTGCCTCAGCCTCCCGGGTAGCTGGGACTACCGGCGCCTGCCACCACGCCCGGCTAATTTTTTTTTTTTTGTATTTTTAGTACAGACGGGGTTTTACCGTGTTAGCCAGGATGGTCTCGATCTCCTGACCTCGTGATACACCCACCTCGGCCTCCCAAAGTGTTGGGATTACAGGCATGAGCCACCGCACCCGGCCAGTTTCTCCTTCTTATAATAAGCACAAAGTAATTTGTGTCCTAGTTAGCTGGGGAAATGAATCAGAGGGTAAAAAGCACACTGATTTCCTTAGAGATTAGTCTGTGTGACTATGTGTGTGACAATGGTTCATTCTCCTGGCACTGGGAGCAGTTGATCAGCTCCTCTTTTCTATACCCTCTGGAGATTATACACTTTCCATCGGCAGATGATGGACACAGTTAAGTTTTCTTTTTGCTTCCCAAGATGGGATTCTGTCTTGGAAGAAATCCCTCCTTCTAACTTCTAATTTCCATAGATCTTTATTTCAAAGTGCTAATCCTTGTTAGATTTTATAACCCAAATATCACCAAGCACCCTCCCCACACTTAGCCAGAAGATATGGCTGAGACCACTGGTAACATTTCTCTTTCTCTGGCCCTAACCCCAGATTTTTGTGACAAACTCCATAAGCTACAAGCTGGCCTTTTGCATATATTGTGAATTTTGGAAGCTTAGGCACTGAGCCAAGAGATTTCCTGGGTTGATGTTCATTTTGAAATGCAATGCCAAACTATCACCTTTTAAAATGAAATTTGGATGAAGATGGAGGTTTTATAAACATGATGCTAAGATTTGGGTCTTCGTATGTTCACTTTATATTTGGGTAACTATCTCCACCATTTCTCACCTCTAATTTATTTTTATATTTGCATAATTGTTCCACAGATATTAAATGTTACTTATTCCTAAGAGCTTCCTTTAATGCCATAACTGGCTTAGTTCTCCCTGATAAGGGCTTGTATTATTAGTTGTATATTCCCTATCAAATCACTTGTTAGACTCTGTTGTAAATGCCTACCTCATTGTTGCTCTTATTAGACTGTAAGCTTTACACATTTCTAAGTGGTTTATTTTTGTGTGTCAACACCTGCTTGGTGCATAGTGGGTACTCAATATACTTGAATGGATGGACAAATGAGTCAGTTTCTAAAATTTTTAAAATGTGGTTCTTCCTGAACACCTGGGTACTTGGTGTCATATAGATCCATTCCAATTTATGCCACCTGAGATTCATGCCTGTGCTACTAAATTAGGACTGTTTTCAAGTCACTGATAGGGGACTATCTTGTTTACTGATATGTCCTTAGTGCCTACAACTGTACCTCAAACATAATTAGTACTTAACAGGTATTTTTTAAGTGGTGAGGAAACATCATAATAAGAATAACTTACATTTTGTATAGTGCTTTATCGCTTACAGAGTACATTCAAAATATTTTCTCTTTTTTTCCTACACTGAAGTTTGGAAAGAAACAAAATGTTTTCTCTTTTAAAATATTTTGCCCAAAATCTCCTTAAGCTGATAAGCAACTTCAGTAAAGTCTCAGAATACAAAATCAATGTACAAAAATCACAAGCATTCTTATACACCAATAACAGACAAACAGGGAGCCAAATCATGAGTGAACTCCCATTCACAATTGCTTCAAAGAGAACAAAATACCTAGGAATCCAACTTACAAGGGACATGAAGGACCTCTTCAAGGAGAACTACAAACCACTGCTCAATGAAATAAAAGAGGATACAAACAAATGAAACAACATTCCATGCTCATGGGCAGGAAGAATCAATATTATGAAAATGGCCATACTGCCCAAGGTAATTTATAGATTCAATGCCATCCCCATCAAGCTACCAATGACTTTCTTCACAGAATTGGAAAAAACTACTTTAAAATTCATATGGAACCAAAAAAGAGCCCGCATCACCAAGTCAATCCTAAGCCAAAAGAACAAAGCTGGCGGCATCACGCTACCTGACTTCAAACTATACTACAAGGCTACAGTAACCAAAACAGCATGGTACTGGTACCAAAACAGAGATATAGATCAATGGAACAGAACAGAGCCTTCAGAAATAACGCCACATATCTACAACTATCTGATCTTTGACAAACCTGAGAAAAACAAGCAATGGGGAAAGGATTCCCTATTTAATAAATGGTGCTGGGAAAAGTGGCTAGCCATATGTAGAAAGCTGAAACTGGATCCCTTCCTTACACCTTATACAAAAATCAATTCAAGATGGATTAAAGACTTAAATGTTAGACCTAAAACCATAAAAACCCTAGAAGAAAACCTAGGCATTACCATTCAGGATATATGCATGGGCAAGGACTTCATGTCTAAAACACCAAAAGCAATGGCAACAAAAGACAAAATTGACAAGTGGGATCTAATGAAACTAAAGAGCTTCTGCACAGCAAAAGAAACTACCATCAGAGTGATCAGGCAACCTACAAAATGGGAGAAAATTTTTGCAATCTACTCATCTGACAAAGGGCTAACATCCAGAATCTACAATGAACTCAAACAAATTTACAAGAAGAAAACAAACAACCCCATCAAAAAGTGGGCAAAGGATATGAACAGACATTTCTCAAAAGAAGACATTTATGCAGCTGAAAGACACATGAAAAAATGCTCACCATCACTGGCCATCAGAGAAATGCAAATCAAAACCACAATGAGATACCATCTCACACCAGTTAGAATGGCAATCATTAAAAAGTCAGGAAACAACAGGTGCTGGAGAGGATGTGGAGAAACAGGAACACTTTTACACTGTTGGTGGGACTGTAAACTAGTTCAACCATTGTGGAAGTCAGTGTGGCGATTCCTCAGGGATCTAGTACTAGAAATACCGTTTGACCCAGCCATCCCATTACTGGGTATATACCCAAAGGACTATAAATCATGCTGCTATAAAGACACATGCACACATATGTTTATTGCGGCACTATTCACAATAGCAAAGACTTGGAACCAACCCAAATGTCCAACAATGATAGACTGGATTAAGAAAATGTGGCACATATACACCATGGAATACTATGCAGCCATAAAAAATGATGAGTTCATGTCCTTTGTAGGGACATGGATGAAATTGGAAATCATCATTCTCAGTAAACTATTGCAAGGACAAAAAACCAAACACCGCATGTTCTCAGTCATAGATGGGAATTGAACAATGAGGACACATGGACATAGGAAGGGGAACATCACACTCTGGGGACTGTTGTGGGGTGGGGGGAGCGGGGAGGGATAGCATTAGGAGATATACCTAATGCTAAATGACGAGTTAATGGGTGCAGCACACCAGCATGGCACATGTATATATATGTAACTAACCTGCACATTGTGCACATGTACCCTAAAACTTAAAGTATAATAATAAAAAAAAAAATTGCCTAAGGTCACACCATTTACATGCAGTAAAGACAGGATACAACCCGTTTTTTATTCTACTTTGCCACAATGCTTTGTCCAACAGTAATCTACACTGGAAGGAAATCTAAGATGTGCCTTTGTTTCACCAAACTGCCTGCTTTTGTGTGTCAGTCTGTGTCAGTCTTGGGTATATTCTGAGACCATCCCTGTGAAATGAAAATGGAGATATGCTTGCCTTTTGCAGAATGATGTATTACTTGAAACACATACATTTAGCTGGGTGTGCAGTGGCACATGTCTGTAATCCCAGCTTCTTGGGAGACTGAGGTGGGAGGATTGTTTAGCCCAGGAGTTTGAGAATAGCCTGAGCAACATAGTGAGACCCCCATCTCAAAAACAAAAACAAAAACAAAAACAGAAAACATGTACGTTTAAAAAATTTGGTCATTTTTGTTCAAAGAAATCTCATTTTATAAGGTTACTAAAGAGTTGGACTATGAAGACCCAGAGATAATTGCAGCTGGACATACCTATGAAATAATGATTTTAGTATTTTATGACCTACTTCCTTCCCATACAGGTAATCTGGATAAACTTTTCAAAGAGCAATAAGTGTCTATACTCTAGACTCTTCAATTTAGATTTTAAAATGTAAAGATCCATCGTGTTTGAGGCAGTTTTTTGAAGTTGGGCAAAGGAGGAAGAGGAGAATTAAGTAGACTCATGTTGGAAGTTTTCATTAGATCTGGGAAGTCTCTTTTGCCTCTTAACAATGCCTTAATGAATACACAATTCTTAAATACCACTCCAGCTAGAGATCCTAGGAGGTAGAAGGGGCAAGGGATGTGTAGAACTAACTCTTATGCTTTATACTTGAATACCTTTATGCTAGTAATGCCAGACACTTCTTACTTGAAAAGAACCATATGTTGGGCAACATGTAGTCTGAACATATAGGTAATAGGATGTTTTAAAAGTATTTTATTTGAATTATTTTATATGACATATATAGAGCCATATTAATGCAAATCATGAGTTACTTGCCAAGTTCCGCAGCCCGGGAACACCTTCATGGAGGTGCAGGGCATGGTTATCCCTCTCTGCCATTTGGTCTTTTCATAACCATCCCACCATTTTGGGTCAGCCTGTGTTAGAATGAGTCTTTGGTACAGTGAGATTAAGTCCACCCAGATTCTATGGTCATAAAATTCTTGGCATTTGTGGATTTAATAGTCATAGTTTTGCTAATTGTAAACCACTCTTTGGTACATATTTAAATTGTGAGCTATAGATCTAGAGCAGAGTACTTAGAGAGTGGCCCAGCTTAGTTAAACACCTGACACCTGCTTCTGTTTGCTTATTGTACTACACATCAGAACATACAAGTGCCCTAAAGGGTCATTTACATATTCACCTATGTATTACCATTTTAAGAGTTAATTTGTTGGCTATAGAGGTATTTGTGAAAGTAGAGATTCTTAAAATTCTGGATACATTTGTTATTAATGCCAAGCATCTATTGTATCTGGAAAATATGGTAGTAAGTAATCGAGCAGTTGGTTGGCATCAAAGATATTCAAGACAATGTGGGTGTTTGGGTTGCAAACATAAGTTTAGTAGTAGAATGTCAGTTCCTGGTAAAGGAGAGCCTAGAATAGGGGTGGCATTTGAGTTTCTTCTCTTGTGAGAAGTCTGAATCATTGGTGGTAATTTCCTGGGTCATTGAGAAGGATTTTGAGATTGCATCTGGGAGCAATGAGGAAGAGTGCTTTGTCTGTCATGGATGGATAAGAGTGGAATGATGGTATATATCTATACGTTTGCAACCAAAGGGAACTTAGGCTGAACTGTAATCAGCACATCTAGGGCTCATTAAATCACTCTTGACTCACGGATACAAGAGTTCTAATGAGGCTAAGTCTACAAAGGTGATTTGAATACTTAAATGACCCAACCATGTGGAAAGATGATGTATAAGGGACAGGGACTTAAGCATGACACTATGCCCAGAAGTGTTCTTGTTGTAGTTTCTCTGTTCCTAACTTGTGTTCTGATGCAAGAAGCCTATATTGTAGCCCAATTGACCTTTCAGGATGGATACACTTTCTTGCAGCTACTCATATTGATTTTCTAATCAAAAAAGAGTCTTTCCCTCTCACCAGATTTGAGCCTTTCCCTGATACGGAAGAGGAAAGACATTTCTCACAGTAATAAATCCCCATTCTTTCTAGTCCCTTCACACCCAACACATTCAAAGGATGTGAATAAAGGATGCTTGTAATAGTGCACAAGTAGTTCAATATATTTTTACAAGCCAGCTAATTAGTATAGTTTTGAGTGTTTATGGATGCAATAAAAATCATTGTATGGCAGAGCTGTAAATGGCACCTGCTCTTGCAACACATGAGTGACGTTCATTGTAGGAAATATAGAGGCTTTAACGTAAATCACCTGTCTTTGTAGAATAGTGCTTCTTAATCTTTCTTGTGGGGCATGAACACTTTTGAGATTCTGATAAGAGCTGTGGATCCTATCCCTTGAAAAATGCACATAACAACACATACCAAAATTCAATGAATGTCACAGATTCTCTGAAGTAAACGTTCTATGAATCCTACGAATCCTAGATTAAATTTTCTTATTTGACACACGTGGCATGGATTTTCAGTAGAGGCAATACCAGCACTCTTCAGAACATGAATTCCACAAGATAATCCACTAAAGAAGAATTCTTTGGTCAAATAAATTTGGGGAGCAAGGCATACCTGGAGATTTATCATATATAATGATATATTGGAGATCTGAAGAAGTCTTGCCAAAAAGAAACCTTTTACCTCTGTTTCATTAGGATTCTACTTTTGACACATTAGCATCTCAAAGAAGATATTTTGGGAGATGCTGGTGAACATAGCTTGGTTTAATACCCATCTGGTGACTTATGAGTTTTGTGATCTTTGTCTAAGAACTGAACTCTGTGAATCTCAGTTTTCTTGCCTGTGAAATGGGGACAATAATACCAATGGCAAATCAGTACCTTTTACAGTAAATGTTAATTATTATTTTACCTTTATTAAAATTTTTCCGTGTTTGCAAGTTTCTTGCTTTTATGTTGAGACATCAAGTTCCTTCTTTTTGACAACTCTGTAATGATAGTTTAAGCTTGTTTGTCTGAAATACAGAGTTCATTTTTGGTAACACACAATATACAAACATTTGGCTGAGGTGAATAAAATGTAATAGCTGCCTTTTTACTTAACCTTTTATAGTTTAAATATACCTTCTTGGGCACGATCTTATTTTGTCTTCATACCCACACTGTGATGTAGGAGATTGAAACTGATGTTATTCCTTTTTTTTTCTTTGATGAGGAAACTGATCCTTGGAGAAATTAAGCTAGTTCAAGGCCTCAGGGTACAGGTGAACCATGAATAACATGGGTTTGAACTGTGAAGGTCCATTTATATACAGATTTTTTTCAACCAAATGCAGATCCAAAATACAGTATTCAGTATGAGAAACCTGCATGTATTAGAGTGGCAACCTTTTGTATTCACAGGTTCTGCAGAGCTGACTGCAGGACTTAAGCATGTGCATGTTTTGTTATATGCCAGGGCCTTGGAACCAGTCCCCGTGTATACTGAGGAACAGCTGTACGTGTTCAAGGCTAAGCCTTGAACGTGATTTTCTGAGTCTCTTTCCCTTCCACTTTCTAGGATATACATTAAAAGCAGAATTGAGAATGTCACATGCTGGGTTGAGAATGACACGCCAACAAACTCTCTAATGGAGGAGACTGTACCCATGAAAAATGCAATAAACTATCTTGTGTGAAATATATAATTGTATATTTTAAATGATGTATATAAATACATGCATATTTCTACTATACAAAACAAAATATACCATGCAATACATTATGTATTTTTCACTAAATTGCTTTGGCTAGCACCAAAATTTATTTTGGTTCCTTGAGAATGCAGTCTGGGAGCAGGGGTTGCTTGGGAGCACAGAGAATCCCACTGCAGTTTCAAAATTCCTTGCTAAGCCTGTTCCTGGGGGGACGGGGAGCTTGTTTGTGGAATAAAACTACAACAACAAAGCATTTATTCAGTGTTCAATTTCACAGCAACTGTGACCTTCATTGTGAAGGTTGCTCCTGCCAGTGACTTCAGCCCTGTATTTAAAGCTGCACACTATTCATTCTCTGTTCCGGAAACGTTGGGAGGTAAGAGATTCCCCAAGTCTATGGTGTTGAAACATGCAGAAGGAAACACCTACCACATTTCAAATGAATGGCCAGTGGAAAAAAGCATATACATTTACAAAATGCAAGCAAATAAGAGAGCATTATGGAATCCCAGACACTCAAGAACAAGGCACTTTTCGTTGGTAACACCTTCAGTGTATCATTTTGATGGCTCCCCGAAGACTTCCTTAACATTTGATGACGTAGGATTTTTGTAATAAAAAATTACACAATACTAATTTTATTCCATTTATCTTCCCCCTTGCCTCTAAATTAGATCTAAATGCAAAGAAGGTAGAAACGATGTGCTCATTGTCCACGCAATTCAATCCTGTGAATGTCTGGGGTCATGATTTTAGGTCCAGAGTCAAGATCTTAGTCAGGGTTCTTTTTCAGCCATTTATTACATATTAAGTAGGACACATTTGTTAGTATAGATCAAGGAACGTTAAATTTAGAAGAGACAGCAGAGGTCCTACTTGTATCTTCTGTCATCTAAGAGAGGAACACATCCTTTCTTCAGCATCTCTTTCAGGTTTGACTTGAATACTTCAAGGGATGGATGGAACCAGTTGTGTGCTAGAGTTGAATCATACTGGCTTGCAAGATCCAATTGTTAAATCTGCAGGAATTTGATAACCTGATTATTAATAATATTCTTAAAAATAAATTAATAAACTTAGTTATAAAAGTTATGTTAAAAGTTAGTAAATGCTAAAAACTCAGTACTTCTTAATTATGTTACTACATTTTACTATTATATTTGCCTTGAGGTTATTCACATCTGTTGGGACTGAATGGTGAAATTCCATAAATAGAATGGTGAAATTCCATAGATAGAATGGCATGCTACTGCATTTCTCTTTCCAAGTTAGCAATAATTATTGAAAATTTAAAATTGAAAATGGTGAGAGCATTTATACCATAGAAATCAACAAACATTACATATTAAAACTTGATTCATAGTTTTTAAAAAAAATTATCTTGTCTTAAGAAATTGATAGAGAAAATGTTAATAATACAGATTAAATGTAAAAGTCTGACTGGATTAAGAAAATGTGGCACATATACACCATGGAATACTATGCAGCCATAAAAAATGATGAGTTCATGTCCTTTGTAGGGACATGGATGAAATTGGAAATCATCATTCTCAGTAAACTATTGCAAGGACAAAAAAACCAAACATCACATGTTCTCACTCATAGATGGGAATTGAACAATGAGAACACACGGACAGAGGAAGGGGAACATCACACTCTGGGGACTGTTGTGGGGTGGGGGGAGGGGGGAGGGATAGCATTAGGAGATATACCTAATGCTAAATGACGAGTTAATGGGTGCAGCACACCAGCATGGCACATGTATACATATGTAACTAACCTGCACATTGTGCACATGTACCCTAAAACTTAAAGTATAAAAAAAAAAAGGTCTGAGATTATTGTTGTGAGTGCACAAAAATTGTGGAAATAGTCTTCTAGCAATCAAAAACTGTTTTCCAATTCAGCAAATAAGCCATTCCCATCATTGATGAGCTAGTGAAGTTCTGCCACGGCTTCACTTTCACCTTACTCTTTAATACAAAGGAAAATATCAACTAACATTCATGTTGGCACTACTCATTTGTCATTTGCAATCATAGTGTGGCAATGTGTAGGACAGTTTGTGAATCAGTGAAAGCATTCTATGAAAATCAATTGTCTATATGGAAATTTACAATACAGAGTATTTTATATCTCATCGTTAACTGTAAATTTTACATTCCCTATCTTTTATATCAGTAAAATTTATAACAAACATATATTTATGTGAATATGTGTGTGCATGCACACGCACGCATGTGCGCGCGCACACACACACACCAGTTTTTTTTCAGAGAGTTGGTTTTTAAACATTTGCCAGCATAACACTGGGTGGAACCCACACTACTTCAAGCCAGCTTATTTCCTTGCCAGACAACTGCAAATGTTGAGAGACTAGGAAATCAAACGTTAGACAAATGTTCTGAGGAAAGACTGGAAAATCAAAAGCCCACACATTTGAATTTCTTTCTTTCTCTCTTTTCCTTTCTTTCTTCTTTTCTTTCTTTCTTCCTTCCTTTCTTTCTTATTTTTCTTTCTTTCTTTCCCTCTTTCCTTTTTCCTTTTTCCTTCCTTCCTCCCTCTCTCTCTCCTTCCTCTCTCTCTCCTTCCTCCCTCTCTCTCTCCTTCCTCCCTCTCTCTCTCCTTCCTCCCTCTCTCTCTCCTTCCTCCCTCTCTCTCTCCTCCCTCCCTGTCTCTCTCCTTCCTCCCTCTCTCCTTCCTTCCTTCCTTTCCTCCACCTCCTCCTCCTTCTTCTTTTTCTTCTTCTTCTCCTTCTCCTTTGTCTTCTAGTTCTTCTTCTTCTTCTTCTTCTTCTTCTTCTTCTTCTTCTTCTTCTTCTTCTTCTTCTTCTTCTTCTTCTTCTCCTTCTTCTTCTCCTCCTCCTCCTTCTCCTTCTTCTCCTTCTCCTTCTCCTCTTATTTCTTTCTCTCTCTCTCTCTTTCTTTTCTTTCTTTCCTTCTTTCTTTTTCCTTCCTTCCTTCCTTCCTTCCTTCCTTCCTTCCTTCCTTCCTTCCTTCCTTCTTTCTTTCTTCTCACTCTGTTGCCTAGGCTGGGGTGCAGTGGTGCAATCACATTTCACTGCAGCCTAACCCTCTTAGGTTCAAGCAATCATCCCATCTCAGCCTCCCAAGTAGCTAGGACTACAGGTGCACACCATCATGCCCAGCTAATTTTTGTATTTTTTGTAGAGATTAAGTTTTGCCATGTTTGCCAGGCTGCTCTTGAACTCCTGGGTTCAATCAATCCTCCTGCCTCCACCTCCCAAAGTGCTGGGATTACAGGCATGAACCACTGTATCTGGGCTGTACTTGGATTTCATTTCTTTGTTTTTCTCACTGTGCAGCTTTGGAGAAGTTCTTAACGTCTCTGTGAAATAAATACACACCTATTATATCCTGGTTCTGGAATATAATACAGTCTGATTTTGCAATATGTGACCAGACAATCCAGAAAAGTTACATATAAATTGAATGTATTGTAAACAGGATTCTGGTCCCCTCTCACCCCCCCATTCTGCCTATGGGCTTTTGGAAGTACTCAATATTGATTTTTGAGTAATCTTTTATTGATAGAGCCTCATTACAATGACTTCTTTCCTTTCTTCATATTCTTCCATTTCTCTGTGGTGGTCAATAGTGTAATCTTCTAGCTCCAGGGAGTTCTAGAGTTAAAAGAGCATGATGATGAGTCAGAAGTTGAGTAGTTCACAATCATCTAATCATTTCCTGGCTTATAAATCCTAAATATGGAGCAGAGGGTGTGAACATGGGCTTTGAGAATCTCTGGGGGAAAAGCTCCATAGGCTTTATCAAGTTACAAAAGGGATTCCATGACCTCGCAAAGTTAACAGAACCAAACAAGATTTTAAAATAGATACTTGCATTTTTAAAAAAAGATACTATTTTTTTAGAGCAGTTTTAGGTTCACAGGAAAACTGAGGGGAAAGTACAGAGATGTCCTATACACCCCTTCCCCCGCGACATGCAGCTTCCCCCATTATCAACACCCCTTGCCAGAGTGGTGCATTTTTACAATTGATGACTCTACACGGACACATAATTATCACCCAACGTTAACAGTTTACACTGGGGTTCACCCTTGGCATTATATATTCCATGGGTTTGGACAAATGTAAAATGACATGTATCCACCATTTTACGATTATACAGAGTAGTTTCACTATCCTAAAAATTCTGTTCTCTTCCTTTTTATCTCTCCCTTCCCCCAATCCCTAGCAACCACTGATCTTTTTACCATCTCCATAGTTTTGCCTTTGAGACTGGCATTTTTAAAAATGCCATTTTAGGAGAAGCAAGTGTTTCATGTCAGTTTCTTTCCAACTAACTGAAGTTTTCCTGAAATTTAATTTATGTTTGAAGGTAAAACCCTCTAAATGTATTGAACACTTACATGTTTTCTTAAGTGTAATTTAATACTTTATTGATGGCTGAGAAGAAGGATTGAGAATTTTCAGTCATAATATTGTTGATTTGGAACAGCTGAAGGATTCAACCTCTTTTTTTTCACTATGAGGAAATTGGAGTGGAGAAAGAAATGAGTTTATCCAAAGTTACACAGCTAATAAGTAGCAGATGTTGTAGCTAAATGAAAACTTCCAAATTCCTGGTCCAGTTCTCTGTTTAGTATTACAGGCTGGTTTTCTTGGATGCATTTTTATGACTGAGACCAACAGAGATCTGAAAACAAGTTCTGAGAATTCATACAAAGAGTTAAGTGGGTACTGTTTTCCAAATAGTTGTCTAGTGACTTGCTCTCCCAGACAGAGGACTCCTAGGTCTTTAAAAGGGAGCACACTGATATAGCAAAAAACTATGGGAGCTAGAGCTATATAGAACTAGATTTAAAGCGGACTCTGTTACTGCTAGTTAAATGACTCAAAGCAAGTCACATAATCTCTATGTGTCTTCAAGTTCTCATCTGTAAAATAAAGATTGCAATAATTATTTTATGAATTAAGAGGAGGATTAGCACACCATTGCAAATAATAATCACTATCATTTATTGAGTGCTTACAATGTAGAATGTGCCAGAACTTTTCCCGTTCTTTTCTTTTCTTTTTTTTTTAAAACAAACAAACAAACAAACTCTCTTCATCTTCCCCAGCAGAGTACATAAACCGAGTAAATTTAGTACATAAACAGAGTACATAAACTGAGTAAATTTAGGTGAGAGTTGTTCTTTGAGATGATGTCTTATCTCAAATGAGATGTCTCATCTCAAATGATGTCCATCAGAGGAGATAAATCTTCACAATCAGTGGAAATTTGCTTTAAAGGAGGAAATTGGGAAGGTAAAACTACTCAGAAAATGAACTATCCTAGTAATATCAAAGGTTTAGCCTATAGACTTTGAGGACATTTTAAAAAATCCATTAATGTGGAAGTCTTTTTCATGCTGTGTGGATTAGCACAGAAAATTTGAGTGTATTTGAGAACTACATGAGTTTTTCTCCCCCCAAATTATGGAAATTTATAATATTTATAGTAAATTTTTTCTAAAGGTAAGTGATAAATTCACAAACACTTCTAGAGGGGGTTAGCAATAGGCAAAAATATTTCTTTATCAGAAATTATTTAGAAGAGAATACATGATAATTAAATCACACTGGGTTGCAAGTCACAAAGCAAAATATATTTTATTTCCAATAGTTTTTGATGAGGTATTTGGCAGAATTGCAGAATTTCATAATTACTCTATTTTAAACTTCAGCTAAAGATGCTCAGTATAGCTTTTAGTTTTTATTGAAAGGTTAATTTTACACTTACAGAAGAATAAGCTTCCTATTATACTTATTCAGGTGTTAAATGTGAAAATGACACCATCTTTGCCCAGGACTGTCTAATAGAGATGGCAGTTTTACCAGTAATCTATTTTATGTGGTCTTGTATCAGTTGTGACGCTATTCTCTTAGTACGAATTATTTCATGCGAGCAATAGGTTGGACTCTATATTCTGGATTTGCCACAGTAAAACACATTCTTTTTCATGAGTATGGTTTCTCTGTTTTTGGTATTATGAGGTGTGTTCATTGCCTGCTTAATAACACATTATTAGGCAGGGCATGGTGGCTCACTCCTGTAATCCCAGCACTTTGGGAGGCTGAGGTGGGCAGATCACTTGAGGCCAGGAGTTCAAGACCAGCCTGATCAACATGGTGAGACTCTGTCTCTATTAAAAAATAATAATAACAAACGAAAAATAACATATTATTAGAGACTGATAGGGAACCTTGGTAAAAGGAGGATACAAACAGAGAAAGAAACCTTACTAGGTTGAAAGTGGCGGGCACAGCAATGAAATGATTGCTTTATATTAATTTTTTATTCTTGGTTATTAGCAACCAAAATGTGCTGTACTTGTGTTAGTGAGCCAGCCATTGTATAGTGGTATTTCACTAAATGGTAGAGATAAGATGCCTGCCCTGGAGTTTACAGTTCAGGCAAAAATGATTGAGGGGTAAACTTGTGGTGCCAGTTACCTACTACTGTAAGTATGCTATGTAATAAGACCCACAAAATATTAGTGTAATACAACAATAAACACTTATTTAGCCCATGAGTCTAAGAAGTGGCTGGCTTGTCTCTCTGGTCATGGCTGGGCTTGCTCAAAATTGTGAGTTGGCTAGCTTTCAGCTGATCTATTCTGGCTTCGGCTGGGGTGACTGGGAAGGTTGGCTCCTCTCTCATCTTCCAGCAGGCTAGCCTGAGCTTGTTTTCAGGGAAAAGGAGGAAGTGCAAAGAGGCCAGTCATGGTGGCTCGTGCCTGTAATCCCAGCATTTTGAGAGGCCTAGTTAGGCGGATCACCTGAGGTCAGGAGTTCGAGACCAGCCTGGCCAACATAGTGAAATCCTGTCTCTACTAAAAATACAAAACTTAGCTGGGTGTGGTGGTGGGCGCCTGTAATCCCAGCTATTCTGGAGGCTGAGGCTGGAGAATCGCTTGAACTCAGGAGGTGGAGGTTGCCGTGAGCGGAGATTGCCCCACCGCACTCCAGCCTTGGGGACAGAGCGAGACTCCATCTCAAAAAACAAAAACAAAAACAAAATTAGCCAGGCATTGTGATGGGCACCTGTAATCCCAGCTTCTTGGGAGGCTGAGACAGGAGAATCACTTGAACCCAGGAGGTGGAGGTTGCAGTGAGCTGAGAGCCGAGATCATGCCACTGTACTCCAGCCTGGGTGACAGAGCCAGACTCCGTCTCAAAAAAAAAAAAAAAAAAAAAAAGAAGTGCACAAGAAAGGCAAGCCTGATCATGCAAGTACCTTTCAGGTTTCTGCTGGCATCAGATTTGCTAATATCCCATTGGCCAAAACAAGTTGCGGGCTGGGCCCCAAGTCAGAATTGGAGGGGCACTAAGGGGTTAAATGGCAAAAAGCATGAACATCGGAAGGATAAAGAGTTTGGGTCTAGACTGGGTGCAGTGGTTCATACCTGTAATTCCAGCACTTTGTGAGGCCAAGGTGCAAGGATTGCTTGAGCCCAGGAGTTTGAGACCAGACTTGGCAACATAGCGGGACCTCGTCTCTAAAATTTTTTTTTTTTAATTACTTAGGTGTGGTGGCATGCACCTGTACTCCCAGCTACTCAGGAGGCTGAGGCAGGAGGATCACTTGAGCCAGGAGGTTGAGGTTGTAGTAAGCCATGGTTGCACTACTGCACTCCTGCCTGGGTGATGGAGTGAGACCCTGTCTCAAAATAATAATAACAATAATAATAATAATAGTAATTTGAGCCTATTTGTTATGCAGCCAATAGATCATACCCATTTCTCTTCTAAGAGATTATCTGGGGGTATTGCACACTGGAATTACAGAAAGTGATTTTAAAAATATGGGCTGTAGAATCATCAGGTACCAGTTTAAATCCTGATTCTACCACTATTAGCTCTGGACAGTGAGCAAGTTACTTAATACCACTAGACCTAATTTCCTTATCTATAAAATGAGGACTGTAATAGTGGATATATAATAAGCCTGTTGAGAAGATTCAATGAGATAATTCAATTAAATAATAGCTAATTTTTACTTAGTATTTACTTACATACCAGGCACTATTCTAAGTGCTTTATACATTTTAGCTCATTCACTCCTCACAACTTTGTATGGTAGATATTATTCCTAGTTTGCAGATAAATAATATGAGGGCTGGAGCGGTTGAAGAATCTTCCAATGAGTTGCACAAATAAATGATAGACCTGAGACTTGAAACCTAGGAAGTCTGGTTTCAGAGTCTGGGCTGTGAACCGTTATCTGATGCTAATCTTAGCATGATGCCTAGTAGAAAATATTCATGCAGTGCATGTAAGCTAATCATTATTATTATAAAGTTACTGTTAACTTATGTTATTTGACTCAAGGCAAATGGTTTAAAGTGATAGAGGACTTTCTCTGAATTTGTTTTCCGTTATGTTGAGTTGAAGGTCTTCAAACATATTTCATTATCCAAAAGAATAGAGGCTGATCCTTTGAGAAACTGTGATACTATTTGGTAGGCAAAGACATGTTAAGTTTTTTTTAAAGCAGTGTATCTGCATGATGAGAATGAGCCTTATAAAATGTTATTGGCAGCATTCTATAAAGTTGGAAGAGTGATTGCCATTGATGAAGAGCACCCACCAAATTGTGTGACATACGAAATAGCCAATGGAGACACCCAGGTTATACAAAGATTCTGGATTCATCCTCTCTCTGGAATGATCGAACTTACCACACAGCCAGACTGTGAGTCTGTGAAGCAATATAACCTCACCGTGGAAGCTGTGGACTGTGACAGATTTCACCCTTGTACAGCAATGACCATGATAAGTAGAGAGACCCAGATTTTGACATTATAGAGATGCTCTATTAAATTCTAATTTATTAAAATCAGACTGGCCAAACAGTTACAACAATGGAGAATAGAGAAGCTCATAACTTTCTCTTACTGCCTAAGCATTCTGTAACTTTTGCACATGTTATACTTTAAAAGTTTGAGGCATGTTTGAAAATGAAGAACCTGCTAATACCCCTCATTCTGATGAAAATAATAAACTTATAATAATGTCAAATATTCACCTAGTACTTACCGTGTGTTCAGTTCTAGACACATTATATATATTGACATGGTACAACTTCACCTTAAACTTTTTAGGTAGGTAATAATATACTATAATCATTTTCACCCTACAGGTGAGGAAACTGAGGGACAGAGTTTAGAAAACTTCCCTTAATTCCCTAATTATAAGATTTGTAGAACTAGACTTAAATACAGTCTGCCCCTTGTTAAGAGGTGATGTTTGTAATGAAGGTAGTTAACCAAGGTGCATTCTTTTGGCATCAAAGTGGGGGAAGGTATGGCCCTCTAAGTTATGTAAGCAATGTCAAAGGACTCTTGAAAGAAACCAAGGGTGAATGCTGCTGTACTGATGATGTGGTGTGTGTTATTAATGACAATAAGGTTTTGTCATTGGAGAAGAAACAGGAAGCTCTTTTGAGAAAGAGGAAGCAAATTTATCTATGCCTTTAAGCATAGATATTTAAAGAGTTCAAGGGATTACAATTTCTAGAGGCATCATTCGTCAGCTTTCCTTTTCTCATCATTTACATTAACAGTAGGCTTAAATAATTATAAGGACTCCATCTGGCCTAATGACTCCCTGTACATTTCCTCCTATTGTACAGAGCCCCCTGGCTTGCTGCTTATGTGGTTATTAGGTTTTCTGAGTGTGTCATTGTGATGAAAACATCAACCATTTATATCATAATTAGAATGACTTTCACAGGGACTGAGTTACAGTCATGAGGAAGGGATTAAGTGGCTTGTTTGTCTCAGTATGATACCCATAAGAGTAATCTTTAGACCTAGGTACCTGTGGCAGTTTTTCCTGTAGACATTTAAGGACTCCCAAATAGTATAGGATGATACCACTTAGAATTATCATTTACTTACTACAAATGAGAAGAGGGGAAAGCAGATTTAATAATAATTCAACAACCCCCAAATCTTCAAGTGACTCTGTTTCACCCAAAAACAAAGCAGGAGCTTGCTCATTCATTCTTTCTTTAATGAATATTTATTGAATGTTTACTCTATGTACAACATCCTTTGTTACAAGGAAGTATAAGGTAGCATATATGACCAGAGAGCTTCAAAATTTTAACATGTGGGAAGTTAACTAGTATATAGCAACTGCCAAATTTTATATATATTTATATGCCAAATTTATATATATATAATGTGTTTATATATATATAATGTGTGTGTATATATATATGTGTATATATATAATGTGTATATATATATAATGTGTATATATATATAATGTGTATATATATATATAATGTGTATATATATATATATATATATATATATATATATATATATACACACAATTCAGAAAAGGGAGATAGGGCTTTAGGCTCCAAAGTTTAGGAATCCATCATCATCATCATCATCACTATCATCATCATCATCATCACTATCATCATCACCCACTCATTATTGAGAATCTAATAAAAGTCAAGTGCTATGAAATGCCCTTGATTATCTCATTTAGAATTTAATCTCATCTTATGGAATAGTTACTGATACTCCTTTTAACAGATGGAAGAATTTTATTTCCAAGGCTTCAAAGTTAGGTAGCTTATCCAAGATTACCCATCTGAAAGAAGGAGAAGGATTAAGTCTGAGTACTTAATCACTATCATGTACCCTAAATTATTTCTCCAATCCAACAGCAATTTCTGTCTTCTCTAATTTCAGAATGTACCTTAAGTCCTTCCACTTCTTACTTTTCTAACTTGTCTACTGCTAATACCCCAACTGTGCCTTTACCATACCTCACCTGGTCTAGTGTAGCAGCTTCTTGATTAGAACCCCCATTCCTACTTGTGCCCTTCACAGCCTACTCTTCACACCACAGCCAGAGTGACCTTTTAAAAAGATAAATCATCCTGTTCCTCAACATTCTCCATTGGCTTCCCATCATGCTTAGTTAAGCTCCAATGTCATCTTCAAAGTCTGCAGTGCCCTCTATGATCTGGGCCCTGGCTACCAATTTGTCTTTAGCTCCTAGCTCTCTCCCTCTTACTTACTTCAATCCAGCCACATGAAACATTTGTTGTTTTTCCAACACACCAACAATGTTTTACCTCAGAACCTCTGCCAAAGACTGTAATGCTTATCTTCCATTGGCTCATATTCTCACTTTAATCATATCTCTGCCCAAATGAAATTTGTTTCTAAGGGCCTTTTATATTGTGTGTAATGGTGGGCATTTGAAGCAATCCATGTGTGTTCATCATGGGAAATGAACAAGCAAATATGGTAGATGCATACTACAGAATACAGACTCCAGAAATAGCAAATGAATTCTGCAAACAAAAACATGGAAAGCACATATATGGCGCTGGGTGAGAAAAGTAAGAAACACAAAAGGTCTATAGCACCATATCATTTGTGCAAGTCAAAATTATACAACTAAAAGCTACATATTCTATGAGGATACATACATGCTTAAGGACATATAACAAACATGAGAGAGAGGGAATAGGTGAGTGGGTCAAAGAAATAAATCCCTCTTAAAATACTTCCATCAGCTATTCTCTATCTCCTTAACCCAAATAGCATCAGCTTATCCTATGATTTTGCCTAATATATTTATTTGTCAGTATAGTTATTGCTTTGCTTTCGTCATTAGAATAAATTATATTAGATCAGGGTCTTTGTTTTTGGTTTACCACTGTAGCTTCTGTGGTGTCTAGATCAGTGCTTGGCACATAGTAAGTATTCAATAAATATTCACTGAATGAATGAACTGATCCTTCTGACAGTCCTGAGAAGGTAGAGATTGAGATCTGCTTTTTGCAGTTGAAGAAAGAAAAGGTAAGTCACTAGTGCCAAATAAAGTCATCAATAAGTGTCAGGCCCAGGATTTTAATAAAGATTCCTGATATCTTTCTGTGATATAATGGAAATAGCACTGGACTATTCCAGAAATCTCCTTAAAATCCGTTTAATTATTATGTAAAAAGTCTCACATACTTGGTGAGACACATAGCTGTATTCAGTCTATAGAAGTAGCATTAAAGAATGAACCATTCCTTAAGAATTTAGCTATGTTTTTAAAACATTACATAAAACACTTTAAAAAGATAATACTTGCAAATATTGGTGCACCACGGATTCTTCTGCAAGTATTATTGAGACAGTTATTAGTCATCTAAGAAGTGGGTAGATAACCTTTCTAGGCTGACTGGTATTCAATCACTGACATTTAAAAATTCTTGATATTTTGATCTTTTTCTACGTAAATTATAGTTTCCTAGTTTATGGTATTTTAATTAAGAAAAGGTTGATAACAGTCCCTAATTAAGGTCAGAGCATACTTTGAAGTAATCATATTGTTACCAATAAAATATTGAGTTTGAGAGAGTAGTACTGAGGAAGTTCTTTTGAGAAAGAGGAAGCAAATTTATCTATGCCTTTAAGCATAGATATTTAAAGAGTTCAAGGGATTACAATTTCTAGAGGCATCATTCTTCAGCTTTCCTTTTCTCATCATTTACATAATTTGTGAGCTTTCCACAAGCTTATCTAATGAGCCAAAATCCTACCTAACGGCTACATTGAATGTCACAGTTAACCCAGGAATAATAAACCACTGACTAGTTGATTGATGGCCAGAATTCCAATCTGCAGGAACATTTTTTTTAAATCCAAATCTCTAGACTTTTTATTTAATAATTCCAAATGATCCGTCTCTACCCTTATGCTTATTTCTGATATTGTGTATAAGTAGTCACATGGTGTGGATTTGATGTTTCTTCTTCCCTCATGGCTGACAGATCACTGTTGACATTGAAAATGAGAATGATGAAGCACCTGTCTGCACACCCTCTCTATATAAGACAGTCATTTTTGACAATGTTGTTCTTGGGACAAATGTCAATGGCTTCACCCTGAACTGCCACGACGGAGAGTCACAAGATTTTGAAATGCGTTTTGAGATGGTTTCTGGTGCATAATTTTATTATTTCTTTTAATCGTGAGCATATGTCAAATTGACATTAGTTTTGCCCTGTTAGATATTATGTATAACTTCAGAAATAATTATGTTTATAACAGTTAAACTATTTAATATCTATAGCATTGTTTCCTCAAGGCATCTTTTTTACTTTCACATATCAAATCTAATTCCTCCCATAATGGAAGTATCAGTAATTTTACAGATGCTTTGACAACGGACTTTGAACCTGGATGGGAAATGTTGAAGGTTAAGTTACAAGGAATGAAGTCTGCTGTCCATGGTACTGGATAACAACAGCCACCTTTCCATTTGATGCTATTAGTACAGATTCAGTAGGATGCGTGGTTTCAAACTGTGTTATTTTTGGATTTGCACAGATCCATATCAACTTAAGCCATCTTATTTTTTACGAAAGGCATATATTGGGACCAACTATGTATCAGGCAATGTGCTCGGAAATGTGTACACAGAAGTATATGAGACAGATATTCACGGCACTCATTGTTTACTAAACTAGTAGTAACACCAGCAATTATAAAATTACATACTGTGATAAGTTCTATAAAAGAAAACTACTGGGTATCATGAGACAGCATAACGTGGAGACCTATTTAAATTATGGAGATCAGACCTGCTGTCATGTATCTGAAGGAGTAGAAGCTTGGAAATCAGTAAGGACATTGCCAATTGATTATAAAGACTAGTTTGATGTCTTATTCCCTTGCTGGGTGATAAGCTCCATGAAGGTAGGGACCCTGTGTATCAACAATGTCTCCAGGGCTATGGAGATAACTTAAAATTAGAAGGGGCTCAATAGATATTTATGATCTGACCGGCCCATTTGATATTGATCTAGACTAAGTTGAAGATGGGAATCAAATTGATCTGAGTAGAAGGAAAGGAGAATCAATTAGATAATAATTTGAGGCTTGCTGGCTATATATGGGATCAGATTCATGATCTTAATCTTCAAAATTTTTTTTTCCTAACCAACTGAAATTGTTGCTCATTTGATCTCAGCTTTATTATAAGCCATGTATAGATATAAAAACTCAGGGTGCAATGGAAATTTTAAAAAAATTTACGCCTACTGTGTTTTAATAGCAATTTAAGGTAGTTTGAGAAAATCTTTCAATATACCTTAAAATAATTCTAACTTCTCAATTATCACTTTTAAAGGAAAAGAGAACCATCATTTTGGATTTGACCCAACTCGAGGTTCAAATACTCCAAAATTAATTGTGAAGAATCCTTTCAACTTTGAATGTAGAGCTGAAGTACAGCAGCAGTACCATCTTGTTGTGCATATAATTGATGATAACTTGAAATATGGCAAATCCACCAAGCCCAGGACAGGCACCGCTGTTATAGATATTTATGTGAGAAGAGCCAATATGCCACCTCCTCCAACCACTAGTTGTGAAGTAAAGAGTTATAGAATTTAATTTGGGTCTCTGTATGGGAAATGTTCTACTGTAAGTTCAAGTTTCATCTAAAAAGGCTAAAGGGCTACTCAGGGCAGCACCTTCACCCATATGCTTTTCCACTTGGGCGCTACCCCATCCAGCCACAGGACCACATTTTAGAGTGTACATCTATGAGTATAAATTGAGAGGTGAAACAGAATTTATGAGAATTGCAAGTAGAGCATAGAGAACTCCTAAGAAACTAATTATGTCATCTGAATGATCTGAAAGTCCTGCCCATCAGAAGGGCCCACTACTCAGTGAATTTTATCAATTAAAAAATCTCTACAAATGGGTACTTTGAAAGTTTATTCTCGCGGCCGGGCACGGTGGCTCATGCCTGTAATCCCAGCACTTTGGGAGGCCGAGGCGGGCAGATCATGAAGTCAGGAGATCGAGACCATCCTGGCTAACACGGTGAAACCCCATCTCTACTAAAACTACAAAAAATTAGCCGGGTGTGGTGGCAGGCACCTGTAGTCCCAGCTACTCGGGAGGCTGAGGCAGGAGAATTGCTTGAAATGGGGAGGTGGAGGTTGCGGTGAGCCGAGATCACGCCACTGCACTCCAGCCTCGGTGACAGAGTGAGACCTCATCTCAAAAAAAAAAAAAAAGTTTCTTCTCTAGTAGCCATGATATTCACAGTCATGAGCACATACCATGTGCCAGGCACTGTACTGCATGTATTATATTCATCATTTCATTTTATCTTCAATCCAAACCCCATGAAGTTTAGCAGACCTTTCAGTATTTCATTATTTAAAAAAAATAGGTATGTAAAGCCTCTGCAGAATTCCAGAATGGCTCCTGAATAATGCACAGATAAACTGTTCAGTAAACATAATGGTTAGTTTATTTTGTTGTTTTCTATCCTTTGAAATAGAAGCATTGAAAAAAACATGGGTGGTAAATCCTCCCAACAGAATGCTTGGTTTTCAAGAACACATTGTTCTCTTAAACTGCACAAAAGCAGTTACTGTGTGTAGAGCAGATAATGGGGCATATAAACTTAAAAGGACCTCAGATACCACCTAGTGAAAACCCTTGATTTTACAAATGAGAAAACTGAAGACAAGGAGGAGAAATGGTTTGTTCAAGATCATAGAGTGGTCATTGCATACAATTCAAGTATTCACTTCCTTAATTTGGGGCCTTCTGTATGCAAGGGTGTTCCTCGGTATTTTAAAATACCTGTAGTGTTTTAAAATATATATATATGTTAGACAGTATCTTCCTGTCTGTAAAGGACTGTGGTTCTGTACCGATGCTACTATGTGTAAACAAATGCTTTCTGAAAACACAACTAATGCTCTGTTTCCTTTGAAACGATATTTCCCAGCAAAGAAAAGGTCTGATCGTCCTGTACACAGCTATAAACACGTACAAATCCAATGACTGGTACATTCCTCTTATCTTCACTCTGATGGCTATTTTCTTTGCTGGGTTGATTTCCTGGGTATGTTTCCTGCTTTGGAAATATGGGAACATTATGGAATGCTGTCAGAAAATGACCAAGGAAGTCTCCAAGGCCAAACCCAAGTATGTGATTTTTCTTTCTAAGCTTTTGATATAAAGAGCTAAAACCAGTTGAGGTTTGGTAAACTTACTCTAAGGACTTATGTATGCTTTTGAAGGGCAGAGGAAAGTACTTGGTATACGAAACCTGATGGTTCCTTTTACCAATGATCTCAAACCTACTCTATCCCAGAAAGAGTTGGGGAGCTTTCTTTGAAAAACAGCAACAACATGTTATTGAGTTCTACCTTAGAACACATGAAACAGATTTTCTGTGAGAGAGATTATTATTATTATTATTTTTTGATGGAGTCTCGCTCTGTTGCCCAGGCTGGAGTGCGGTGGCACGATCTCGGCTCACTACAAGCTCCGCCTCCCGGGTTCTAGGAATTCTCCTGCCTCAGCCTCCCGAGTAGCTGGGATTACAGGTGCATGCCGCCATGCCTGGCTAATTTTTTGTATTTTAGTAGAGATGGGGTTTCACCATGTTGCCTAGGCTAGCCTCGAACTCCTGATTTCAGGCAATCCACCCACCTCAGCCTCCCAAAGTGCTAGGATTACAGGCGTGAGCCACTGCACCCAGCCAAGATTATGTTTTAAACAAATAAATTTGTGAGCCAACAAACAAACAATTTTTCATATTATTTTAATGTAAGTGGTTTCATAGGTGTTTGAGAAGCACCATAAACTAGTTGAGGGACTGGTGATAAATGCAGGTACCCTCTCCACACATCTGACTGGTTTTAAGTCTATCTGAAGCATATCTGGAGCAGGGCAGAGAGGACAAATAAATGGGTAGAAAATGTAGCTACTTTCCTCACCATCTAAAAATATTTCTTCAGAGTGCAGAATATCATGACTTCAAAAATAGAGTTGGACATGAATGTTTATTAACTAAATAGAATTTATTTATGGTGCAGTGAAGGAGGTGGTGATGGTTAATGAAGACCATTTTATTCTTCTTATACAGTATTTCTTTTTTCTTGGAGATGGGATAATCATGTGCTGACTATTGAATGAAATTATTTTTGTCATGTGTTAACATAATAAAGCTGATATTTTGTCAAATTTTCTTTTCATACAGAGGAATTAAGTATATTGCAGGTAAGATACAGATTGCTAATTGTTACATGATTATGCTTGAATTGTGTGATTTTTAAAATGCCACTCATCTAGTACCTGACTTTTATTTCTTTATTTTGGAATAGGCGATGGAAATCAAAAGGAAAATATTGTCACAGGACACAGAAATAAAAAATTAGAAGTATTAACAGTAAGTACATTTTTGTGACCCTCTATAGTAAAAGAAAGAGAACTACATTTTTCCCTGTAATTGTTGTTCAATGAAAATTTCTTTCATGTAAACATATGGTAAATATACTCAATCACCATAGGAAGTAAAAGCATCTCAATTTATCTCCTTTTGCTGAATTTGTATGCATTACAAAACTGTAAATTCAGGTTAAGTTTTAGAATTTGGCTTAGGTCAAAATCTGCCTCAAGTACTACAAGTGCATTCAAGAAAAAAACAAACAAACAAAAAACTGTAGACAATGGGAAACTTAGCATTATTCACCATTCTTGAAAATAAAAATTAGGCCAGGCATGGTGGCTCACACTTTGGGAGGCCACTTTGGGAGGCCGAGAAGGGCAGATGACTTGAGGTCAGGAGCTTGAGACTAGCCTGGGCAACATGGCAAAACCCTGTCTCTACTGAAAATACAAAAATTAGCCAGGTATAATGGTGCACGCCTGTAGTCCCAGCTACTTGGGACACTGAGGCATGAGAATTGCTTGAGCCCAGGAGGTGGAGATTGCAGTGAGTCAAGATCATGCCATTGCACTCTAGTCTGGGAGACAGAGTGAGACTCCATCTCAAAAAGATAAAATAAAATAGAAATAAAAATAGACACTGTATTTGTAAATAGTTTCTACATGTTATTGAGCTAAATAAGTTTTCAGCCCTGGAGTTTCTTAGCAGATGTTAAAAAATCTACACCCTAGAGTATGCAAACCATCTTCAAATTGACTGAGGCTCATTTACTAAATGATCCATTTAAACGACTATACAAGGGTAAGGCTGGTTCCAGGAAAAGCAAATGTAGAATGGAACAAGGAAGGGCATTTTTAGTCTTCATTTCCTTTTTTCTCTCTGCTTGCCTCCTCATAAACCAAGAACATTTCTAGATGAATCCTAACTGACCCAACATTGTTTCATAAACTTCTTCTCTTTCAATGCTTCCTACCTCTGCCTCTTTAGTAAACTGAAGCCAGCTCATCTCCTGTATGAGTCTGCTCCATCTGCCATAGCAAAATATGACAGCCTGGGTAGCTTAGACAACATAAATTTATTTCTTACAGTGCTAGAGGCTGGAAGTCCAAGATCAAGGTGCCAGCAGATTTGGTTTCTTCTGAGGCCTGTCTCTTTGGCTTGCAGATGGCCACCTTCTTACTACGTCCTCACAGTTGTCCCTCAGCCTGTGCTGTCTGTGTCCTAGTCTCCTCTTCTTAGAAGGACATCAGTCATATTGGATTAAGTCTCACTCTTGTGATCTCATTTAACTTAATCACTCTATCTCCAAATACAGTCACACTCTGAGGTTAGGATTTCAACATACGAATTTTGGGGGACATAATTCAGCCCATAGCACCTCCCATACATGATAAGAGGGTATGGCAGGCAGACTGATGTGGGGGATGGGATTAGGAGGTGATACAAACAGTGGGAAGTCTTTTGTCTTGAGGCTGCTAGCCCTCTATAAATTAGAAAGATGAGGTAACTTATAATAAGTCATCTGCTCAAAGTCTTCAACACTTGTAAAAACAAATCTTATAAAGCTGATTTTACTGCTAATACACTGTGCTTTTTAAAAGGAAACCACTGTATATGAGACTGTGTTTGATGCAGAAGCCATTGATCCACATATGGTGTTTAAATATCTTTTGATTTAAGTGCATTTCACCTATTTAGATATTAAACTATGTGAATGAATTACTTATTCTTTTATAAAATGAGACTGGGTCCTAAGGCATACTATTTTAGGGCCAGGCAGGTAAATAAATGACTGTAAGGGGTCAGATAAAACAGCAAATTCAATCATCAATGGCAGCTAATACTTGGGGGACATGGCTGTCACTCAGCTCCATCAAATTACTGGGAAGAGGCCTTGTGTTGCCATAATTTTGATACTTCAAAAGGAAGATAGAAATCCAAATTGTTACATGAAATCCACCCACTTTTAAAAGTAGGCAAATAATTCAATTAAACTCCACTGTATGGGCCAAATAAAACACATCTGCCTCATTCCCTAGTTATATACTGTGCAACAAACTTCCCCCAAGTCTTACTAGCTTAGAATAAGCACCATTTTATTATATCTCACACTTTTCTGCATCAGGAATTTGAGCAGGTATTACCTGGACTTCTTCTTTTTTTTCTTTATGAAGGGTCACTTCAATGGTATTCAATTGGCAGCCTGTCTGGTCTTGTGGGTCCACAGTGGCTTCACTCACAAGCATGACAGCTTGGTGGGGACAGTTACAGTTTGGCCCTTCTGGGTTCCACTTCCTCTTCTTATAATCTCAGGGCCTGATATGGTTTGGCTGTGTCCCCACCCAAATCTCACCTTGAATTGTAATAATCCTCACATGTCAAGGGTGGGGCCAGATGGAGATAATTGAATCGTGGGGTCAGTTTCCCCCATACTGTTCTCATGGTAGTGAATAAGTCTCACGAGATCTTATAGTTTTATAAATGGGAGTTCCCTTGCACAAGCTCTCTTGCCTGCCGCCATGTAAGATGTGCCTTTTCTTCTCTTTTGCTTTCTGCCATGATTGTGAGGCCTCCCCAGTCATGTGGAACTGTGAGTCCATTAAACCTCTTTCATTTATACATTGTGCAGTCTCGGGTGTGTCTTTTATTAGCAGCATGAGAACAGACTAATACAGGGACTCTTCATGTAGTTGCTCCAGCAGGGATAGGTGGACATCCTATGTGGCAGTTTAGATCTCTCAGAGAAAGCCAAGAGATAGGAGGGAAAGTTGTGATTTCTTGAGGATCAGGCCTGGAAATTGGCATAGCATCACTTCTGCCTAATTAAAGCAGTCAGAGTCTATCCAGATTCAAAGAGAGGAGCATACACCCCTGTTCTCAAGGTATGGGAGTCAAAGAATTTGTGGCCATCTTTAATCAACCACATCTACAGTCCAAATGGGTCGTGGATTTGCAATACCTGGTCTAAATATTTATCTGTTATGATACCTGGAATTGCAGAGCAGATCATACCTCCATTTTACAAAACATTTTGAAGTTTTTTTTTTCATGCATTTCTTCCCTAAAGAAAGAGGCAGAAATAGAAAGTCATCAGAGTTATTGGAAAAGCCTTGGTGTAGAGTTAGAAGACTAGGGTTTGAGTGTTGACACAACTGCTAGCACTCCATGTGAACATGGAGAAAGCACTTAACCTCCCTGAGTCTCCCTTTTACTAGCTGCAAAGAAGGCATGACAGTGTGGGCTTTCTGTCTTTCATGGGGTGGTTGTGAAGTTTAAACATGAATATAATAAAGTAAAAGTCATTTTGTAAAGTGTCACTCAACATGAGATATTAGCCATAAAAGACTCATTGGTATGATAACAGCTTGTGACACTTTACTGCAAGTTAAATCCTGACAGCTCTGGATAGCTTGGCATGAAATTATTGATGCTTTATTACTGACTGCCAGGCTCTCCTTAAAGAAAGTCATTCCTTTAAAAAGTATTTTGTAAAATTAAAAACATACTGTTTATATCCTTATCTGACCTATATTAAATAATCTGGCTCTAATGAGTTCCAATTTCCAGGAATTCATTGAAAGCATACATGAACATTTATTGAGTGTTCACCTATGCCAAATATGACTTGTCCCATTGAAGTTCCAAACAATGAGAATTAACATTCTATTTTCATATTCTATCTTCCTGTGAAAGAAGTACCATTATTGTCCCCATTTTATGCATATTAAAACAAGGCTTAGAGTCTAGAGTATGGAATAAATGTGTCTAGAGTAACATGGCTTTCTTTCCTTTCAAAGACAGGGAGGAAAAGAGTTAGTGGAAATGTTTAGAGCAGAGATTGAATCTTAATAGTGGTAGAAAAGAGTCAGATAAGGAGTAGGTAGCTAGGTCCTTAGGTACAAGGGCAGCAAGATGACTGTTGTGTGACAGCCGAGGGTGGAGTGTCTTGTACCAGACTTCTTGGTGTAAGAATAACAGAGCAGCCTGCAATGAGAGCCGTGCCCTTCTCTGGGCTCCTTCCTCTACTTTCTTGTTATTATTGGAACTAACAAAAATTACTGTATGCCATTTTTTGTTTCCTTCTTTAAAAAAGTATATATGTATATATACACACACATATATATACACACACATACACACACACATATATATATATTTAAGTTTTTTTATTATTATACTTTAAGTTCTGGGATACATGTGCAGAACATGCAGGTTTGTTACATAGGTATACACGTGCCGTGGTGGTTTGCTGCACCCATCAACCTGTCATCTACATTAGGTATTTATTCTAATGCTATCCCTCCCCTAGCCCCCCACCTCCTGACAGGCCCTGGTGTGTAATGTTCCCCTCCCTGTGTACATATGTTCTCATGGTTCAACTCCCACTTATGAATGAGAATATGTGGTGTTCGGTTTTCTGTTCCTGTGTTAGTTTGCTGAGAATGATGGTTTCTACCTTCATCCATGTCCTGCAGAGGACATGAACTCATCCATTTTTATGGCTGCATAGTATTCCATGGTGTATATGTGCCACATTTTCTTTATCCAGTCTATCATTAATGGGCATTTGGGTTGGCTCCAAGTCTTTGCTATTGTGAATAGTGCTGCAATAAACATAGGTTTTTATGTGTCTTTATAGTAGAATGGCTTATAATCCTTTGGGTATATACCCAGTAATGGGATGGCTGTGTTAAATGGTATTTCTGGTTCTACATCCTGGAGGAATTGCCACACTGTCTTCCACAATGGGTGAACTAGTTTACAGTTCCACCAACAGTGTAAAAGCATTCCTATTTCTCCACATCCTCTCCAGCATCTGTTGTTTCCTAACTTTTTAATGATCACCATTCTAACTGGCATGAGATGGTATCTCATTGTGGTTTTGATTTGCATTTCTCTAATGACCAGTGATGATCCGTAAAAAAGTGTATTTTATAAATACTCATTTAGTACTTACAGTGTACCAGGCTTGTTCTAAGCAGTTCATAATTATTAAGTTATTTAAACCTTTATTGTGTTAAATATATACAACATAGAATTATCATTTTAACTATTTATAAATGTACAGTTCTGTGGCACTGAGTACATGCACATTGCTGTGCAACCATCACCACTATCTCCAGAATTTTTTCATCTTCCCTAACTGAAACTCTATACCCATTAAACAATAACTTTCTAATCTTCCCTCCCCACAGCCTCTGTTAACCACCATTCTACTTTCTGTCTCTGTGAATTTGACTACTCTAAGTACTTCATATAAGTAGACTCATACAATATTTGTTTTTGCGTGACTGACTTGTTTTACTTAGTATAATGTCTTTCTTCAAGGTTCATCCATGTTGCAGCATGTGTCAGAATTTCCTGCCTGTTTAAGGTGGAATAACATCGCCTTGTACTTACATACCACATTTTGTTTGTCCAGTCATCCATCAATGGATATCTGCATTGCTTCCACCTTTTGGCTATTGTGAATAATGCTGCTATGTAATCTATTTAATTTTAACATTATTATTCTTAGCAAACTGAAAATGTTTATATTTAACTATGCAGTTGCAGACTTATTGCAAGATGTTTTTAGGGTATTTCTAATATCAAAATAAAGTAAACATTTACTGAATTCTGAGTGTGGTCAAAATGCTTCTACATGAATTGCACATTCTCATAACTACTTATGAGGTACTGACTAGTATTATTATCCTCATTTTATAAATGAGAAAACTGTGGCCCAGAGAGACAAGGCAACTTCCCTACAACCATAGTTTAGTGAGAGGAAGGAGTCAGGATTAGAAGCTAGGCAGTCTGACACAGAAACCTTTATCCCTAACACTATTCATGACCTCTCCTATCATTGAATGGCCTGGCAGAAAACCAGTGCATCAACAAAGACTTGGCTTTAGGTACTTCCATTTTCAAGAGAAAAAAAACAAGTATACATGATCCAATAAAGACAACAAGCTATTGCAGTCACTTTCTGTTGATTCAGTGTTTGACAGATACTTGTCACCTTTGGTCTACTCAATAGGAGGATATTGTTACTGTATGTTTGGATGGATGCATTTGGCTTATTTTGAACCTGGATGTTTGATGTGTGCCTCAGCAATTTGTTTTCAGTTCCAACATGAACTGTTGAATGACGGTGTAGATTTTTTGGTGGTATAGATTTGTGTGTGTATGAAGGAAGGGAAGTGCATTATTCACTCTAGTACAGTGGTCCTGGCAGAAGAATCACCTTTCAATTAATGTATCTTTGAGAGCAGACTCAGTGCTGTGAAGTTTCACATGACATTTAAAGAAGAGAAATATTTTAAAATAAAAATAGGTTTACCTATATGTGTTAGAACATACTATCATTTATCAAATGTTCCGTGGAATCTAAAATATGATGCATAAGGCACTATTTTGTTCATGGAGCCCAACCTAAAGTGAGATAAGATGTGGCCCCCTACCCTAGGTCATTAGTATTTAGAGTCTGCAGCTGGACTGTTGGGATTCAAATCTAGGTCTGCCAGTTATAGATGATGTGGTATTGGCAGATTACTTAATGTATCTGTGCTCCAGCTTTCTTATTTCTAAAATGTGGCACATAATATTTACCTAAAAAGGACATTGAGCAGATTAAATAAATTGATATATGAAAACAGAGTCTGGCATATAGTAAATACTATAGGATCAGTTATTATTGTTATCATTATTCTTTTTATTCATTAATTAACACCTCAGTCACCTAAGAAATAATTGGTTGATTTCCTACTATATCAGGCCATTTTTTACCTTATTTCTTTTCTCTTGTATATTACTGTTATTACATTATTGTTTCTGGGAAGGGTTGGTTAATTAAACCTCAGATCCTGTACATGGCAGATTAATTTCAATTAAAAAAACCCATTTGAATTAAAAACACTTTTGCTTTTCAAATAATTACAAAACTCACAAAAAACTACAAAAAAAAAAAAATAATACAGAGAGGTACTGTGTACCCATCACCCAGCTTTCCCCATAGGTCACATCTTTCCTTACTGTAGGGCATTGCCAAAATCAGGAAATTGACGTTGGTACAATACAACTAACTAGACCACAGACTTTACTCAGATTTCCCCAGTTATTGCATATATTTATTTTTTATATGTCTATGTGTATGACATTTAATCACCTTTATAGATTCAGATAGCTACTACCACTGTCAAGATGCAACACTGTTCCGATACCACGAAATAACTCCCTTGTGTTAAAGGGGCAATTTTTAATGCATGTGAAACCACATACTGCTTCAGGTTCTGCTTCTAGTTTTTCCTTTGGTAAAAGAACAAGACTTGAGAAGATAAACTTGTCACTACGCCAGCTATCTAGCAAATGCTCAATAAACATTTCATGGGAAAAATAAGTGCTTTGCAAGTTCACTGTAATTCACTTTGTCTGTGTTTTGTTTTTTCCTTCCCACAGTCTCTGGGAACGTATATTAATATAATAGCAGAACAGGTGCAAGAAAGTGGAAGAAGACCTCCAGGCACCAGAAGGAGCCCTTGGCAAACATACATTCCCTCCTAGAGGTCCATCCTTTAGAGGAGTCCACATCCTTAAAAATTCATTTGCAAGGATAGCATTTTTCCAGCTCCTGAATGATTGCTTTTTTGTGTATATGATTGTCACAGGCAGTTTTTCTTGGCTACCTAAAATTATAGACATGAGGCCAGCTGCTTTGTCTGTGTTTATAGCTTTCTGTGGTCTTCCATTTCAGGGTGTCTGTGTGAAGGCGGCAGGAGTGGTGAGCTTTGAATCTCTGAATATGTTTTGCTGAAAACAAGATACTAAATTGACATATGTTCATTGTCTTACTTTGCCCAGTAGAGTATATGCTTTTTAAGATCAGAGACTATTTTGCTCACTGCTTTAGCCCCAGTGCATGTTTGGCACAGAGTGGGGGCTCTGTATACATTTGTGAATAAATAAATTTGAATATATGAATTCAGATCTCTTGCCTTTAATTCAAATTGCTTATTCCTCCATGACTCATGGAACAGAAAGGAGAATTATCTTTAGAAAATAACTTTTTTGGTGTCTGGTAGTCATAAAAAATTCAGGATTTTTTCAGCACTTTTCAAAACACAATTGATCTTGCTTTTAATTTTCTTTTTATAGCCCTATAGAGAATGACCACCTGAAAACTTTACTTATTAGTGAATTGCCAAGGAAATGTCAAAATCAAGTCTTACAAGAGCTATGTACTTAGACAATAAGTTTTAAAATACATATGGACTCTCTGATTATCTCCTGCCTTGGATATCAGAAGATATATGATAGAAGGAGGCCAGAAATGCTGTTGATGATAGAGGCTAAATTTACATTTAGTCCATGATGGAGTTCAGCTTGGAATAATTTTTTAAAAATTAATCTTATCCAAAGTAAAACATATAATGAGCAATGAACTATTTGACTCAGAGCATATTGGGGGCTTGGATGATAAGAAATGTCTTATTTGTCTTCCTTTGCATGTATACACACAGAGGATTCCTTTTCAGCTCAGAGACACCAGGCCTCCTAATGAAAGAGAGCATCTGAAAATAAACGACTCATTTTTTCTTGATGTCTACTTCAAATGGGTCCATTCTCAGGAGGCATTATGGTGCAGAGGACATCAGTGAATTTGAAGTCTAAAGCTTGTGGCAAATCACGTAGCCTCTCTAAACCTCGTTGCTTCTTCTTCTGGAAAATGTATACAATAATATCTGCCCCATTTGTATCTCATAGTTTTGCCATGAGAAACAACACAAAACAATTGTAGTTCCACCTTTGGCAGTGCTTTTTAAACTGTAAGCACTATTTAAGCATAAAGTAGGATCAGTTTCATTAAATTAAAATTGGTTGCTGAGAGAGCAGTGGCTTGGGACATGGGAATACAGAGGGGGTCACTCCATGGTTCTAGGCCAATCTAAGTTGGAATTGGTTGGTAATTAGCTGCATAACGTCTGCGAAAGGAGTATACTGTCTTTTTCCAGATGGCATGATAATTCTCCACCAGGGGAGAGATCAAAAATTGTCTGGGAAAATGCTCTCCTCTCTCCAGCAAGGCTCTCTCTGGATCAATTATGATTTGATGGATATAGATGTGTGAGTCTCCATCTGCCACCACCTGGGCTTTAAAAAAAAAAAAAGGAAAAGCATTGATTAACTTTCTTTTCAAAGTTGGATTGGATCAATTTGTATTTGATCTGCCTGTGCCCAAACCAAGAAAAATCGGTAAGTTAGTGTTTGTTTTCCCTTGTTTAGTTTTTTGGGTCTCAGTTTCAGATGTATCTGGGAGAATGCATGAACTGGAGATGACAGTGGTCACTGGAGAGAGCTACAAAGGGTGTCCACAGAGGCAGGACTGTGCAGCCTGACCCCTCTTTGTGTCATAATCAATTTGCCTCCAAACTCTAGATGCTCTTTCCTATCATACTGACCATCTTCAATTGAGTAATAATCATTGTATTAGTGTCCTGAGGCTGCCATCACAAATTAGCACAAACTTAGTGTCTTAAAGCAACAGAAATGTATTCTGTCACAGGTCTGCAGGCTAGAATTCTGGAATGAAGGTTTTGGCAGGGCCACATGACCTTTGGAGGCTCTAGGGGAAAATCTGTTCTTTGCCACTTTCAGCTCCTGGTTTCTGTCCCTGCTTCCTGGACTGTGGCTACATCCCTCTAATCTCAGTCTCCCCCTTCATAACTCTTTTCCCTTTATGTATCTGTCAAGTTTCCCTCTTATAAGAACACTTCTCTTTGGATTTAGGGCCCACTTACAAAACCAGGGTAATCCCTTCATCTCAAGATTCTTAACTTAATCACATCTGCAAAGACTCTTTTTCCAAATAAGATCATGTTCACTGGTTCTGGAAATTAGGAAATAAATATATCCTTTGGGGAGAGTCACAATTACACTATCACAGTTTAAAAATATTTTAATATTTGTGATAAATCAAGACAATCTTTCTGATAGACAATATAACTGTTTTAGTTTTAAAAGTATTTGAGTGCCTACTAAGTAACAGAAAATTTTCAAGGCCTTTAATCAATAAAAATGCAAATATCTTTGACTTGGCAATTTCACTGCTTGAAATTTCCCTGTGGAGGTGCTTACAGAAGATCTACAAAATGTATTTAGGTATTTGCTCATGGTAGCATTGTTTGTAAGAGAAAAACAACTTGCATAAAATAAAAGTGTCCATTAATAAGAAATTCGTTGAAAAAGCATATCATGTCAGTATTATGGAATGTACAATGTGGCTATTAGAAAGAATTAGGTTACATAAGCAGAATATAAAGAAAAAATAATTAAGCTTATATTTATATGAAAAATACATTAAGTAATAAAGTTGGATAAACTACAGAATTATTATTAATATAAATTTAAAAATAAAAGTAAGTATAGGTATATGTATGTTTTTTATTTATTTATTTATTTATTTTTTATTTTTTTACTATTATACTTTAAGTTTTAGGGTACATGTGCACATTGTGCAGGTTAGTTACATACCTATACATGTGCCATGCTGGTGTGCTGCACCCACTAACTCGTCATCTAGCATTAGGTATATCTCCCAATGCTATCCCTCCCCACTCCCCCCACCCCACAACAGTCCCCAGAGTGTGATGTTCCCCTTCCTGTGTCCATGTGATCTCATTGTTCAACTCCCACCTATGAGTGAGAATATGCGGTGTTTGGTTTTTTGTTCTTGCGATAGTTTACTGAGAATGATGATTTCCAATTTCATCCATGTCCCTACAAAGGACATGAACTCATCATTTTTTATGGCTGCATAGTATTCCATGGTGTATATGTGCCACATTTTCTTAATCCAGTCTATCATTGTTGGACATTTGGGTTGGTTCCAAGTCTTTGCTATTGTGAATAATGCCACAATAAACATACGTGTGCATGTGTCTTTATAGCAGCATGATTTACAGTACTTTGGGTATATACCCAGTAATGAGATGGCTGGGTCAAACGGTATTTCTAGTTCTAGATCCCTGAGGAATTGCCACACTGACTTCCACAATGGTTGAACTAGTTTACAGTCCCACCAACAGTGTAAAAGTGTTCCTGTTTCTCCACATCCTCTCCAGCACCTGTTGTTTCCTGACTTTTTAATGATCGCCATTCTAACTGGTGTGAGATGGTATCTCATTATGGTTTTGATTTGCATTTCTCTGATGGCCAGTGATGGTGAGCATTTTTTCATGTGTTTTTTGGCTGCATAAATGTCTTCTTTAGAGAAGTGTCTGTTCATGTCCTTCGCCCACTTTTTGATGGGGTTGTTTGTTTTTTTCTTGTAAATTTGTTTGAGTTCATTGTAGATTCTGGATATTAGCCCTTTGTCAGATGAGTAGGTTGCGAAAATTTTCTCCCATGTTGTAGGTTGCCTGTTCACTCTGATGGTAGTTTCTTTTGCTGTGCAGAAGCTCTTTAGTTTAATTAGATCCCATTTGTCAATTTTGGCTTTTGTTGCCATTGCTTTTGGTGTTTTAGACATGAAGTCCTTGCCCATGCCTATGTCCTGAATGGTAATGCCTAGGTTTTCTTCTAGGGTTTTTATGGTTTTAGGTCTAACATTTCAGTCTTAGTCCAACTTGCATTAATTTTTGTATAAGGTGTAAGGAAGGGATCCATTTTCAGCTTTCTACATATGGCTAGCCAGTTTTCCCAGCACCATTTATTAAATAGGGAATCCTTTCCCCATTGCTTGTTTTTCTCAGGTTTGTCAAAGATCAGATAGTTGTAGATATGCGGCATTATTTCTGAGGGCTCTGTTCTGTTCCATTGGTGTATATCTCTGTTTTGGTACCAGTACCATGCTGTTTTGGTTACTGTAGCCTTGTAGTATAGTTTGAAGTCAGGTAGTGTGATGCCTCCAGCTTTGTTCTTTTGGCTTAGGATTGACTTGGCGATGCGGGCTCTTTTTTGGTTCCATACGAACTTTAAAGTAGTTTTTTCCAATTCTGTGAAGAAAGGCATTGGTAGCTTGATGGGGATGGCATTGAATCTGTAAATTACCTTGGGCAGTATGGCCATTTTCACAATATTGATTCTTCCTACCCATGAGCATGGAATGTTCTTCCATTTGTTTGTATCCTCTTTTATTTCCTTGAGCAGCGGTTTGTAGTTCTCCTTGAAGAGGTCCTTCACATCCCTTGTAAGTTGGATTCCTAGGTATTTTATTCTCTTTGAAGCAATTGTGAATGGGAGTTCACTCATGATTTGGCTCTCTGTTTGTCTGTTGTTGGTGTATAGGAATGCTTGTGATTTTTGTACATTGATTTTGTATCCTGAGACTTTGCTGAAGTTGCTTATCAGCTTAAGGAGATTTTGGGCTGAGACAATGGGGTTTTCTAGATATACAATCATGTCATCTGCAAACAGGGACAATTTGACTTCCTCTTTTCCTAATTGAATACCCTTTATTTCCTTCTCCTGCCTAATTGTCCTGGCCAGAACTTCCAACACTATGTTGAATAGGAGCGGTGAGAGGGGGCATCCCTGTCTTGTGCCAGTTTTCAAAGGGAATGCTTCCAGTTTTTGCCCATTCAGGATGATATTGGCTGTGGGTTTGTCATAGATAGCTCTTATTATTTTGAAATATGTCCCATCAATACCTAATTTATTGAGAGTTTTTAGCATGAAGGGCTGTTGAATTTTGTCAAAGGCCTTTTCTGCATCTATTGAGATAATCATGTGGTTTTTGTCTTTGGCTCTGTTTATATGCTGGATTACATTTATTGATTTGCGTATATTGAACCAGCCTTGCATCCCAGGGATGAAGCCCACTTGATCATGGTGGATAAGCTTTTTGATGTGCTGCTGGTTTCGGTTTGCCAGTGTTTTATTGAGGATTTTTGCATCAATGTTCATCAAGGATATTGGTCTAAAATTCTCTTTTTTGGCTGTGTCTCTGCCTGGCTTTGGTATCAGAATGATGCTGGCCTCATAAAATGAGTTAGGGAGGATTCCCTCTTTTTCTATTGATTGGAATAGTTTCAGAAGGAATGGTACCAGTTCCTCCTTGTACCTCTGGTAGAATTTGGCTGTGAATCCATCTGGTCCTGGACTCTTTTTGGTTGGTAAGCTATTGATTATTGCCACAATTTCAGATCCTGTTATTGGTCTATTCAGAGATTCAACTTCTTCCTGGTTTAGTCTTGGGAGGGTGTATGTGTCAAGGAATTTATCCATTTCTTCTAGATTTTCTAGTTTATTTGCATAGAGGTGTTTGTAGTATTCTCTGATGGTAGTTTGTATTTCTGTGGGATCCGTGGTGATATCCCCTTTATCATTTTTTATTGCATCTATTTGATTCTTCTCTCTTTTTTTCTTTATTAGTCTTGCTAGCAGTCTATCAATTTTGTTGATCCTTTCAAAAAACCAGCTCCTGGATTCATTAATTTTTTGAAGGGTTTTTTGTGTCTCTATTTCCTTCAGTTCTGCTCTGATCTTAGTTATTTCTTGCCTTCTGCTAGCTTTTGAATGTGTTTGCTCTTGCTTTTCTAGTTATTTTAATTGTGATGTTAGGGTGTCAATTTTGGATCTTTCCTGCTTTCTCTTGTGGGCATTTAGTGCTATAAATTTCCCTCTACACACTGCTTTGAATGCGTCCCAGAGATTCTGGTATGTTGTGTCTTTGTTCTCATTGGTTTCAAAGAACATCTTTATTTCTGCCTTCATTTCGTTATGTACCCAGTAGTCATTCAGGAGCAGGTTGTTCAGTTTCCACGTAGTTGAGCGGTTTGAGTGAGATTCTTAATCCTGAGTTCTAGTTTGATTGCACTGTGGTCTGAGAGATTGTTTGTTATAATTTCTGTTCTTTTACATTTGCTGAGGAGAGCTTTACTTCCAAGTATGTGGTCAACTTTGGAATAGGTGTGGTGTGGTGCTGAAAAAAATGTATATTCTGTTGATTTGGGGTGGAGAGTTCTGTAGATGTCTATTAGGTCCGCTTGGTGCAGAGCTGAGTTCAATTCCTGGGTATCCTTGTTGACTTTCTGTCTCGTTGATCTGTCTAATGTTGACAGTGGGGTGTTAAAGTCTCCCATTATTAATGTGTGGGAGTCCAAGTCTCTTTGTAGGTCACTCAGGACTTGCTTTATGAATCTTGGTGCTCCTGTATTGGGTGCATATATATTTAGGATAGTTAGCTCTTCTTGTTGAGTTGATCCCTTTGCCATTATGTAATGGCCTTCTTTGTCTCTTTTGACCTTTGTTGGTTTAAAGTCTGTTTTATCAGAGACTAGGATTGCAACCCCTGCCTTTTTTTGTTTTCCACTTGCTTGGTAGGTCTTCCTCCATCCTTTTATTTTGAGCCTGTGTGTGTCTCTGCATGTGAGATGGGTTTCCTGAATACAGCACACTGATGGGTCTTGACTCTTTATCCAATTTGCCAGTCTGTGTCTTTTAATTGGAGCATTTAGTCCGTTTACATTTCAAGTTAATATTGTTATGTGTGAATTTGATCCTGTCATTATGATGTTAGCTGGTTATTTTGCTCGTTAGTTGATGTAGTTTATTCCTAGTCTCAGTGGTCTTTACATTTTGGCATGATTTTGCAGCGGCTGTTATTGGTTGTTCCTTTCCATGTTTAGTGCTTCCTTCAGGAGCTCTTTTAGGGCAGGCCTGGTGGTGACAAAATCTCTCAGCATTTGCTTGTCTGTAAAGGATTTTATTTCTCCTTCACTTATGAAGCTTAGTTTGGCTGGATATGAAATTCTGGGTTGAAAATTCTTTTCTTTAAGAATGTTGAATATTGGCCCCCACTCTCTTCTGGCTTGTAGGGTTTCTGCCAAGAGATCCGCTGTTAGTCTGATGGGCTTCCCTTTGAGGGTAACCCGACCTTTCTCTCTGGCTGCCCTTAACATTTTTTCCTTCATTTCAACTTTGGTGAATCTGACAATTATGTGTCTTGCAGTTGCTCCTCTCGAGGAGTATCTTTGTGGCGTTCTGTGTATTTCCTGAATCTGAACATTGGCCTGCCTTGCTAGATTGGGGAAATTCTCCTGGATAATATCCTGCAGAGTGTTTTCCAACTTGGTTCCATTCTCCCCATCATTTTCAGATACACCAATCAGACGTAGATTTGGCCTTTTCACATAGTCCAATATTTCTTGGAGGCTTTGTTCGTTTCTTTTTATTCTTTTTTCTCTAAACTTTCCTTCTCGCTTCATTTCATTCATTTCATCTTCCATTGCTGATACCCTTTCTTCCAGTTGATCGCATCGGCTCCTGAGGCTTCTGCATTCTTCACGTAGTTCTCGAGCCTTGGTTTTCAGCTCCATCAGCTCCTTTAAGCACTTCTCTGTATTGGTTATTCTAGTTATACATTCTTCTAAATTTTTTTCAAATTTTTCAACTTCTTTGCCTTTGGTTTGAATGTCCTCCCGTAGCTCAGAGTAATTTGATTGTCTGAAGCCTTCTTCTCTCAGCTCGTCAAAGTCATTCTCTGTCCAGCTTTGTTCCGTTGCTGGTGAGAAGCTGTGTTCCTTTGGAGGAGGAGAGGCGCTCTGATTTTTAGAGTTTCCAGTTTTTCTCTTCTGTTTTTTCCCCATCTTTGTGGTTTTATCTACTTTTGGTCTTCGATGATGGTGATGTACAGATGGGTTTTTGGTGTGGATGTCCTTTCTGTTTGTTAGTTTTCCTTCTAACAGACAGGACCCTCAGCTGCAGGTCTGTTGGAATACCCTGCAGTGTGAGGTGTCAGTGTGCCCCTGCTGGTGGGTGCCTCCCAGTTAGGCTGCTCGGGGGTCAGGGGTCAGGGACCCACTTGAGGAGGCAGTCTGCCCATTCTCAGATCTCCAGCTGCATACTGGGAGAACCACTGCTCTCTTCAAAGCTGTCAGACAGGGACATTTAAGTCTGCAGAGGTTACTCCTGTCTTTTTGTTTGTCTGTGCCCTGCCCCCAGAGATGGAGCCTACAGAGGCAGGCAGGCTTCCTTGAGCTGTGGTGGGCTCCACCCAGTTCGAGCTTCCCGGCTGCTTTGTTTACCTTAGCAAGCCTGGGCAATGGTGGGCGCCCCTCCCCCAGCCTCGCTGCCGCCTTGCAGTTTGATCTCAGACTGCTGTGCCAGCAATCAGCGAGACTCCGTGGGGTAGGACCCTCCAAGCCAGGTGCGGGATATAATCTCGTGGTGCACTGTTTTTTAAGCCCATCGGAAAAGCGCAGTGTTCGGGTGGGAGTGAGCCGATTCTCCAGGTGCCTTCTGTCACCCCTTTCTTTGATTAGGAAAGGGAACTCCCTGACCCCTTGCGCTTCCCGAGTGAGGCAATGCCTCTCCCTGCTTCGGCTCGCGCACGTTGCGCGCACCCACTGACCTGTGCCCACTGTCTGGCAATCCCTAGTGATATGAACCCGGTACCTCAGATGGAAATGCAGAAATCACCCGTCTTCTGCGTCACTCAGGCTGGGAGCTGTAGACCGGAGCTGTTCCTATTCGGCCATCTTGGCTCCTCCCACCAGGTATATGTATGTTACATGCATAAACTTTAGAGGGCTGTGAGAAATTCAGGAAACTATATTAATCATTATTAAATGATTCCATTTTCCTAGAAAAGTCTCGGGGAGGAAAATGCAGAGGATAAAGTAAGATTTTTACTTTCCCTTTCATAGTTTTACGTATCATTGAATTTTCTAACCTTGTATAAATATTATTTCTATACTTAATAAAATAAGTAGGGATTTTTTTGGTGGTGATAATTTAGGGCGTGGTTTTCTTTTTAAATACTTTATTCCTGGAGTTCTGGAATTTTAATACAGATCTGAGACTCTTCTTTTAAATCAGATTGAACCTAGGTTCAGGTCTCTCTACTGCTTGGGGTATTTTAATCCCCCAATTTGTATAATTAGTGTGACTCTTCCATCTGTCTCTTTCTCCTTGTGAAACTGATTCTTGGGTCTCCTGGATTTAGTAACTGGATCTCTTCTCTCTTCTCTCATAGTTTCTAATCCATCAAATTTGTGCTCTGCTATTTCAGAGATTTCTTTCACTTGATCTTCAGTCACTAATTCGAGTCTCATCAGTGGTGACCACCTTCAGTTTCAGCTCATCTACTGATGTTTTAAGTTTTAAAATAATATATATTTTTAAAAATACACATTTATTCAGCATCTTGATCAGACTATTACATTTAGCAGTCAACAGCATAGGTGCAAAAAAAAATCTGTATTAAACTCTTTATTGGAATGCTTTATACTTTCCACAGAAAAGAAACTAAAATAACCTGTTATAAGATTAGTCACAAATACAGTCCTTGAGTGTTGTGCCTATACACATGAGTATTTGTCTAAAACATGTCTTCTTTGTAGCAGATAAGCCTTGCCACCACTGTGTATGGTTGAGTAGTATATATGGTATATATAAAATTTTCTTTATCCACTTGTTGATTGATGGGCATTTGGGCTGGTTCCATATGTTCGTAATTGCGAATTGTGGTGCTATAAACATATGTGTGCAAGTATCTTTTTTGTATAACGACTTCTTTTCCTCTGAGTAGATACCCAGGAGTGGGATTGCTGGATCAAATGGTAGATTTACTTTTAGTTCTTTTAAGGAATCTCCATACTGTTTTCCATAGTGGTTGCACTAGTTTACATTCCCACCAACAGTGTAAAAGTGTTTCGTTTTCATCACATCTCCAACAACATCTGTAATTTTCTGATTTTTGGATTATGGCGGTTCTTGCAGGAGTAAGGTGGTATCACATTGGGGTTTTGATTTGCATTTCTCTGATCATTAGTGATTTTGAGCATTTTCTCATATGTTTGCTGGGCATTTGTATATCTTCTTTTGAGAATTGTCTGTTCATGTACTTAGCCTAGTTTTTGATGGGATTGTTTGTTTTATTCTTGCTAATTTGTTTGAATTCCTTGTAGATTCTGGATATTAGTCTTTTGTCAAATGTAAAGATTGTGAAGATTTTCTCCCACTCTGTGGGTTGTCTGTTTACTCTGCTGATTATTTCTGTTGCTGTGCAGAAGCCTTTTAGTTTAATTAAGTCCCATCTATTTATCTTTGTTTTTGTTGTGTTTGCTTTTGCGTTCTTGGTCATGATGTCTTTCCTTAAGCCAGTGTCTAGAAGGGTTTTTCTAATGTTATCTTCTAGAATTTTTATGGCTTCAGGTCTTAGATTTAAGTCTTTGATTCATCTTGAGTTGATTTTTGTATAAGGTGAGAGATGAGGATCCAGTTTCATTCTTCTGCACGTGGCTTGCCAATTATCCTAGCACTGTTTGTTGAATAGGGTGTCTTTTCTCCACTTTATGTTTTTGTTTTTATTGTTGAAGATCAGTTGACTGCAAGCATTTGGGTTTATTTTTGGGTTCTCTGTTCTGATCCATTGGTCTATGTGCCTGTTCTTACACCAATACCATGCTGTTTTGGTGACTATGGCCTTATAGCATAGTTTGAAGTCAGGTAATGCAATGCCTCTAGGTTTGTTCTTTTTGCTTAGTCTTGCTTTGGTTATGTGGGCTCTTTTTTAGTTTCATAGGAATTTTAGGATTTTTTTTCTAGTTCTTTGAAGATTGATGGTGGAATTTGATGGGAATTGCATTGAACTCGAAGACTGCTTTTGGCAATATGGCCATTTTCACAATATTGATTCTACCCATCCATGAGCGTGGGATATGTTTCCACTTGTTTGGGTCATCTATGATTTCTTTCAGCAGTGTTTTGTAATTTTCCTTGTAGAGATCTTTCACCTCCTTGATGAAGTTTATTCCTAAATGTTTTATTTTTCTTTTGCAGCTATTGTAAAAGGGGCTGACTTCTTGATTTGATTCTCAGTTTGGTTGCTGTTGGTATACAGCAGGGCTACTGATTTGCATACATTAATTTTGTATTCTGAAAATTTGCTGAATTTATTTGCCAGTTCTAGGAGCTTTTTAGAGTAGTCTTTAGAGTTTTCTAGGTATACAATCATGTCATCAGCAAATAGTGACAGTTCGACTTCCTCTTTACTGATTTGGATGCCCCAAATCATGTTTTTAGTTCCAGAAAAGTGTACATGTCTGTCTGTGTGTGTGTGTCTATGTGTGGGGGGAAGATATGCACCAGTGCATGTTATATATGAATCTAGGTCATCTTGTTTTGTTTTTATTGAAGTTTTTGCCTGTCTCTTCCAGCAGTTCCTTTTCAGTATCGGTCTGTTCTTATTGTTTTATTTGTTCTTCCTCGGGGCTCTTGGCTCCCTTGGATTAATTATCATTTTTCTTTGTTTACTTTGAGGCTGAGGTTGAGTCGTGATGGATCTTTCTGAGGCAGGAGTGGAGGCACTTCTGACTCCCCTGTGTGGATTGATGGTGGAGTGAGGCAGGCCATCAAATCTGTCATAATAACAGGGTGTTCCTTGCTGTCTCAGTTCCAGGGACAGAGGAGCTTTACCTTATAACTGTCAAGTCCTACTCTTTTTGTGAGGAATGGGGTAGGTGATGGAGTAAACTCTATCTAAGTCTCTTCCGCAAAAATGAGACTCTTTCATATCTACGCAGTAAGGCTCTCCTGTGCAGATCCTAAAGTTCCTTTTGGTTCAGACGAAAGAAAATTGTGATAGCTTTTCAATCACTTTCTCCAGTCCTTATCTACATACTATTTGGAGCTGCTCCATTCAAGCCTAACCCACAGCAAAATCTCCAGGCAACCTGCAGATACATGAGCCCAGCCAAGATGAACAGAACTGCCCAACTCAGGCCATCCTAGATCACCTATCCTTTAGCTGGCCCACAGACAAGTGAACTACAATAATAAATAATGGCTGTTCAGAGCCACCTCTTTGTTATATAGCAATAGCTAACTTACACCAGGAAAAAAGGTGAGATGATATGTTCCTGCATTTCTCTTTATATTAAAAAAGCACAAAGAAGTATTATTTTAAAAATTGTCCCTAAAGAAAATATTTAAAAGTGGAAAATAGAGATCTGATATAAATTTTATTAAGATAAAGTTATAGAATCTCAAAGTTAAAAGGAATTACTAGACTGTGTTTTACTTAAAGATAGGAGCTGCAACTTACACACAGTTTCATCCCATAATGCTAGGCTCAAGAGAAAGGCTCAACACTTTTCTTTTACATATTTACTGTGTGTAAAGTTTTTATATTTATAAGGAACATGTGATATTTTGCTACTTGCATAGAGTGTATAATGATCAAGTCAAGGTATTTGGAATATCCATCATCTTGAATATTTCTACATGTTGCAAACATTTCAAGTCCTCATCACTACTTTGAAATATATAATACATTGTTGTTAAGTATAGTCACCCTAGTCTGCTATTGAACATTAGAACTTATTACTTCTATCTAACTGTATGTCTGCACCCATTGACCAGCCTCTCTTTATCCCCACTCCCACCCACATACCCTTCCCAGGCTATGGTATACATCATTCTACTTTCTACCTCCATGAAATCAATTGTTTTAGCTCCCACAGATGAGTGAGCACATGTGAAATTTGTCTTTCTGTGTCTGGCTTATTTCACTTAACATATTGACCTCTGGTTCCATCTGTGTTGTGTGTTGCTACAAATGATATGACTTTATTCTTTTTTATGGTGGAATAGTATTCCATTGTATATATGTACTACATTTCCTTTATCAGTTTGTTCGTTGATGGCCACATAGGTTGATTCCATATCTTTGCTATTGGAATAGTCCTGCAATAAACATGTGAGTGCCGGTATCCCCTTGATATATTGTTTTCTTTTCCTTTGGATAAATACCTAGTAGAATTAATAAATAAATTACCTTTGAAATATTGCTAGCCAAATCCTTGTTTGATAGACTGAGATGACTTTCTCCTACAATGTTTTCGGTGTTGATCCTAGGTCTGCTTAAATATCCTCAAGATAGGAAGCTCACTATCTACCAGGCAGCTTTTTTTTTGTTGTGAAGCAAAAGTAATCATTAGAATTATATAATTGAAGCAAAGGGGAAATCTAGTTGACTCTGAAATCTGACCTAGATATTTCAAAAACATTAGGTTTTTCCTCATTAAGAAGGCTCCTTGGACCAGACCAGCATATTTTCACCAGTTGAAAATAAAGCTGCTATGGACCGAGACATATGCATAATGGCTTCCATGAAGTATTGTTACATGATATTTCATCCAGCTCCAAAATTATACTCCTTCATCTATAATAAATGATTTACTTTCAGTTGGAAAAAGCAAAATGATCCCTTTTGGATCAAAATTATCAAGGAATGTAATTAACAACATCTCATTTTGTTAGCTCATCATCTAAACTCTCTGTGGATCGCTTTAAATAGGAAAAATTGGCAGTTTTATTGTGTTCTTGATATATTGCACACATTGTTCCTAGTGCACCTGACTGTAGGGCCAGTCTAGATGTCCCATTGGACCTAAAACAGGTTTAGTTTGCGTTTATTGTAGTGAATAATAACATTAGGTTTACACAGTTCTTTATTTAACATTATGCAGTATCTTCAAAGGCACCAACCTACCTGATTGCAGGTAATGCTTGTGGATAAAGACTATCAATTTAACTTTTTTTAAAAAAAAATCCCTCTTCTTATTTTAATTAAAAAATCAACATGGAACACAGTAATAAATTTATTTAAAATGATTAGCATAACATCTAACCAATAGTGTTTGAAAAGTCATTAATTATATTTATTATAATAACCCAAGTCACTAGTACTATTCTTGTTATTAGCTGTGTGAGCTGTCTAGCTCCTCACACAAAACACTGCATCTTCAAATGATTGCCTACTAGAAAAGGAAATAATTCTCTCTTTCTCAACAGTTTTGGACCATGTTAATCTAATCCACAAAAATAACGTAAGTATGGCAAAACCCTCTTCTTACTTACCTTCCGAAGTCAAAGCTAGTGGTGTGGATGCTTAGCAGAGAAGGTTAGGTCGACTCTTAAAGGCCACTTATTATAATACTAGGCTTTTCTAGTTAGGGCTGCAGAGACTGAAGAAGCCCATGGGGCTGAGGGCACAAATTTAATGAATTGGGTAAAAGCCAAATTCTTCACATAGTGGGTGTGTAATAAGTGACATGGAATAAACAAAGGAAGGGTAAGCAATTTATCATGAGAAACCAAAGGAACACTTCCATTTTCAATCCAGCCCAATAGATAGACAGTTAACTAGATGGCAGGCAGGTTCCATTTCTCATTGGCATACCTGCTTTTTGGTTTTCTTCCAGACCCAGTTGATTTTCAGGTACCACCATGATATTGCAATTATAGGTCTTACTCATTGGCCCCTGTTTCTAATGTAGGGTTGCCAAATACCTAGCACAGATGCTGCTGTTCTGCACATGGACCATGGCAGGCATTGCTAATGGGCTGTAGCATGCCTATTTGCTGAGTATGGATGCACCCTGTGGTATATATGTGAAGGTGTGAAATCCAGATTCCCTTTCAAGGAAGGCCTTGATGTCCAGCTGTAGGGAGTGTGGTTAGCAGCCATTCCAGATGTCAGCAACTTTAAGTTTAGCCTCAGCTACAGTGCACTCCCTGACTGAAAGTCATGCCTCTCCTGGAACAGCATTCACCTAGTGACTGAGCCAGGTGGCTGCTAGGTGAGGGGGTTTATAAAGACCCAGCTCTTCCTTCTAATGGGAAATACCAGTACCAGCTCCAGAGCTCTTCTCCAGGGTGGCCGCGGTTTTGTCAGACTTGAATTGTGTTTGTCTTCTCCCTCTGCCAAAACTTCTCCCTTTGCAACCATTGATCCCTAATAAACATCTCCTACCTCAAACACCATCTCAAGATCTGCTTCCAGAGAACCAATCCTAGAAGTCACTACCAACAGATTGGAGCTGGCTTGCAGAAGGAAGCTCACTTTGCCTGCCTGTCCTAAGGCGAGGGTTCACTGATAGGTGATACACTGATACAAGATACTAAGAACATTCAGAGAATTCCTTTTGGCCTGTTGGCCAATGGGGGGAATACAGCCAGATACCAGTGATATGGCTCACTTTAGCAAAAAAAAAAGTAGGCCTTCTTTCAAAGCATCGAAGAATTTCTTTCATTGTCGAATATACAGTTTCTCAACCTTGGCACTATTAACATTGGCCTGACTGTTGTAGTGGGCTGTCCTGTGCCTTGTAGGAGGCTTAGCAGCATCCCCGGACTCTACCCACCAGCTGCCAGTAGCACCCACTTCCCACCAGTTGTGACAACCAAAATTGTCTTCAGGCATTGCCGAAAGTCTCTTGAAAAGCAAAGTCTACCTGGTTGATAACCACTGGTCTAAGAGTTCTGCCTGCAGTAGCAGCCTCTTGGTAAAGTAATCTAAACCCTTAGAATGTTTGTTTGTTTGTTTCTTTTTTTGAGACGGAGTTTCTCTCTTGTTACCCAGGCTGGAGTGCAATGGCGCCATCTTGGCTTACAGCAACCTCCGCCTCCCGGGTTCAAGCAATTCTCCTGCCTCAGCCTCCCGAGTAGCTGGGATTACAGGCATGTGCCACCATGCCCGGCTAATTCTGTAGTTTTAGTAGAGACAAGGTTTCTCCATGTTGGTCAGGCTGGTCTTGAACTCCCGACCTCAGGTGATCTGCCCACCTCAGCCTCCCAAAGTGCTGGGATTACAGGCGTGAGCCACTGCACCTGGCAACCCTTAGAATGTTTTGAAATGCTACTTGGCAGGCTTAGATCCTGATCTGAACTCTTATCTCAAGAAAGTGGGAAATGGCTACTTGAATTAATCATCACCAAAACAGAAGAAGGTCAATTACCTGTTTAACACCTTCTTTGGCAACCTACCCCAAAACCTGTTTCCTAGTTAAGGATGTTGAATTTCTAACAAGGCTGCTGGCAGCTGTGCCAAATCTCAGGCTAGCTCTCCGACTCCCATATCTCCATCCTGGGGAAGGCCCCCTCACCCCCAGTGGCTTGCAGGTGGGTGGCGGTTTCTGTTTACACATTGCAGGAGGCTACATTCCTCATGCTGTTGATAGCACTGAGGGCAGCAGATTTTCTGTCCTTGGGACTATGTGAGCTTGAAAGGGCCAAAGTCATTTACTGAAAAGCTAAAGAAATAATGGGTTTCATGGGCACTTCCCAAAATAATTAGCACTTAAAGACTGTTGGAATGTTTGGGATCATATATGAGTGTATGTATGTGTGCACAGGCTTATTTAAATATTCAGTCATTACTTTTCTGTACAAGTAATACATACCTACTGAAGAAAATTCAAAACTATGAGTGAACTAAGAGCAGAAAAATTAAAAATCATGCATAATTTTACCATCTAATGATAAATATAATTTATATTTTGAAAAGCAATCTTCTGAATTACTTTCCTTTAATATAAATATATGAAATATGCATTTTATGATGAAAGTAGGATCATATTGTGATATTGTTTTGCAACTCTCTTTGTTCTACTTATAAGTTTAGGCTGAGCCTATATTTTTTGCATCTCTACATTCTTTTTTGATGGGGGGTGATTGCTGTGCCTTCATTTACAATGAAACCTTCTGAAGGAGGGAGATTTTTCTTATGACTAACCCCACTCTGATTTTCAGAGGGGGTAAATCAAGGCTAGGAATGTGAAGTATGCTGACCACATTTCTGGCTGCCTCACCAGCACCCACACACCCAACACCGCTCCTCACACCCTCGCAATCCTGGGGAGGGAGGGCTAATGCTGACTCACTTAGCTCTGCCTAGAATCCTGAATCCTGAAGGAAATCACCACTGATAATATAATAGCTGTACAGGAGCTTCAAAACAGCATCCGCAGTAGTCAGCACAGAGCCTGTTAATGCCATTACATAATACCTATCAATTGATAGGATTTACAAGGTAATAGAATGACAACTTTTCTCATAAAACCAAACTTTTCCTATCTTTCAAGGTAAAGCTTTTAATAAATGTGCTTTGGGCTGAACTTTGAGAGCCTGTTTGCATCAAGAATGGCAGATTGACCTGTGAGATTGTTGCAAAGAGTTTCCATGAGGCACAGGGGCGATACAGTTCCTTTTCACAGTTGGCAGTTGGGAGCTAGAATTGCTTTAGCATTAATTATTCCTGTGACCTTGGGCCAATCACTTCCTCTCTCTGTACCTCCATTTCTTCCTCAGTACAAATATTCTTCAAAAAAGCGAAAAAAAAAAAAAAAACCACCCCAAAGCGAGTACTTATCTGGCTCTTTCTCTGAGCAAAACAGTCTGGTGCTGGAGACTCAGCAGTAAGATAGATGTGCTGTGTGTCTTCAGGGAGTTAAGTGTCCACAGCTGGGCTGTCCATTACGAAGCCATTGGCTGCGTGACAGTACCGAGCCTTGAAATGGGGTTGGTCCAAATTTTATTGCGCTGTAAAGTGTAAAATACACACTGGATCTTTAAAACTTAGTGTGAAAAAAATGTAAAATATACCTTTAATAGTTTTTTAATATTGATGACACATTGAAATGGCAACATTTTAGATATTGGGTTAAATAAAGTAAATGATAAAAATGAATTTCATCGGCTTCCATTCATTTTTTAAAAAATGTGACCATGAGGACATTTAAAATTACATTTATGGCTCACATGACAGTTCTATCGGGCAGTGCTGGTCTAAAGGGGAGACACAAGGAATACAACATAGGCATCCAAGTGCTTGGTTCCAATGGTGCTAAGTGCTGTGAAGTACAGGGTGCAGTGGAGGTAGTCAGGAGAAGCATGGGACCTCCTCCCAGGGGTTCCTCAAAGATGAGAGAGTGAGCCAGGTAAAGAGAAAGCTAAGGGTAGGAGGGGAGGGACCTTCCTGACAAAAACAATAGCAAATATGAGTCGGTAAGTTTGAGAAAGAGAAGGAGGGCTGGGGTGGCTGAGTACAGCAGGGAAAGGGAAGACATGGAGAGGGCTGTGGAGGCCCATTTTCTTTCTTTTTTTTTATTTTTTATATTTTTAAGTACTTTATTTCTTCTATACAAACCAGCCAACTTCTTCACACTATGAGAAACAGATAATTAGTCTTTGCCTGTATACAGGATTCATGTAATACCTTTCAATTAAGAGTTAGTGTTCTAAGGAGGAAGCTCACCTATGGAGGAACTTGTATGTATCCATTTTTCCATTAATGAAAGTTCAGCCTCTCATTAAGTTTTAAAATTTTGATTGCCTAGAAACCCACTACTAAAATTAGTGTAAAACTGTGTTAGTTATTGTCAGTATTAGTTTAGACTTATTTCATATAGTACGTAAGTTTTAACTTTTTATCTCTGTTATACAGTCTAATTACTTACATTTCTTTTATTTATTTATTTATTTATTTTGCCTGTTGAAAGCATCTATTTTAGAAAAATTTTTTTCAACTTTTACTTTAAGTTCTGGGGTACATGTGCAGGATGTGCAGGCTTGTTACATAGGTGAACGTGTGCCGTCATGGTTTGCTGCACAGATCATCCCATCACCTAGATATTAAGCCCAGGATCCCTTAGCTATTCTTCTTGGTGCTACCTCATAACCCCTCAACCCCTGACAGGCCCCAGTGTGTGTTGTTTTCCTCCATGTGTCCATGTGTTCTCATCATTCAATTCCCACTTGTAAGTGAGAACATGCAGTGTTTGGTTTTCTGTTCCTGTGTTTGTTTGCCGAGGATAATGGCTTCCAACTCCATCCGTGTCCCTGCAAAAGACATGATTTCATTTGTTTTTATGGCTGCATAGAATTCCATAGTGTATATGTACCACCATTTTCTTTATCCAGTATATCATTGATGGGCATTTAGGCTGACTCCATGTTTTTGCTATTGTGAATAGTGCTGCAATAAACACATGTGTGCATGTATGTTTATAATAGAGTGATTTATATTCCTTTGGATATATACCTAGTAATGGATTCCTGGGTCAAATGGTATTTCTGCCTCTAGGTCTTTGAGGAATCACCACATTGTCTTCCACAGTGGTTGAACTAATTTAAACTCCTATCAACAGTGTAAAAGCATTCCTTTTTCTCCACAACCTCACCAGCATCTGTTGCTTTTTGACTTTTTAATAATAGCCCGATAGGCATGAGATGTTATATCATTATGGTTTTGATTTCCATTTCTCTAATGATCAGTGATGTTGAGCTTTTTTTCATATGTTTGTTGGCCACATGTATGTCTTCTTTTGAGATGTGGCTGTTCATGTCCTTTGCCCACTTTTTAATAGGATAGTTTGCTTTTTCCTGTAAATTTTCTTGAGTTTCTTGTAGATTCTGGATATTAGACCTTTGTCAGATGGATAGATTACAAAACTTTCTTCCCATTCTATCGGTTGTCTGTTCATTCTAATAATAGTTTCTTTTGCTGTGCAGAACCTCTTTAGTTTAATTAGATTCCATTTGTCAATTTTTGCTTTTGTTGCGATTGCTTTTGGCATTTTCATCATGAAATCTTTGCCCATGCCTATGTTCTGAATGGTATTGCTTAGATTTTCTTCTAGGGTTTCTATAGTTTTGGGTTTTACATATAAGTCTTTAATCTATCTTGAGTTAATTTTTGTTTATGGTGTAAGGAAATGGCCCAGTTTCAATTTTCTGCATCGGACTAGCCAGTTCTCCCAGTACCATTTATTAAATAAGGAATCCTTTCCCCATTGGTTGTTTTTGTCAGGTTTGTCGAAGATCAGATGTTTACAGGTACACAGTCTTATTTCTGAGTTTTATATTCTGTTCCATTGGTCTATGTGTCTGTTCTTGTAACTGTACCATGCTGTTTTGGTTACCATAGCCTTGTAGTATAGTTTGAAGTTGGGTAGCATGATGCTTCCAGCTTTGTTGTTTTTACTTAGGATTATCTTGGCTATTTGGGCTCTTTTTTGGTTCCATATGAATTACATTTTTTTTCCTAATTCTGTGAAGAACGTCAAGGGTAGTTTAATAGGAATAGCATTGAATCTATAAATTACTTTGGGTAGTATGGCCATTCTCACCATACTGATTCTTCCTGTCCATGAGCATGGAATGTTTTTCAGTTTGTTTGTTTCCTCTCTGATTTCTTTGAGCAGTGGTTTGTAGTTCCACTTGAAGAGGTCCTTCACTTCCCTTGTTAGCTGTATTCCTAGGTATTTTATTCTTTTTGTAGCAATTGTGAATGGGAGTTCATTCATGATTTGGCTCTTTGCTTGCCTGTTGTTGGTATATAGGAATTCTAGCCATTTTTGCACATTGATTTTGTATCCTGGGACTTTGCTGAAGTTGTTTATCAGCTTAAGAAGATTTGGGGCTGAGATGATGAGGTTTTCTAGGTATAGGATCATGGCATCTGCAAACAAAGATAATTTGACTTCCTCTCTTCTTATGTAAATACCAATACCCTTTATTTCTTCCTCTTGCCTGATTCCCCTGGCCAGAACTTCCAATACTATGTTGAATGGGATTAGTGAAAGAGGGCATTCTTGCCTTGTGCTGGTTTTCAAAGGAAATGCTTCCAGCTTTGGCCCATTCAGTATGATACTGACTGTGGGTCTGTCATATATGGCTCTTATCATTTTGAGTTGTGTTCCTTCAATACGTAGTTTATTGAGAGTCTTTTTTAACATGAAGGGATGTTGAATTTTATCAAAGGCCTTTTCTGCATCTATTGAGATAATCATGTGGTTTTTGTCTTTAGTTCTGTTTATGTGATGAATCACATTTATGGTTTGCATATGTGGAACCAGCCTTACAACCATGGGATGAAGCCAACTAGATTGTGTTGGTTAAGTTTTTTGATGTGCTGCTGGATTTGGTTTGCCAGTATTTTATTGAGGATTTTTGCATCAATGTTCATAAAGGATATTACCCTGAGGTTTTCTTTTTTTGTTATGTCTCTGCCAGGTTTTGGTATCAGGTTGATGCTGGGGAGGCCCATTTTCTAAGGAAAAGAGTTAAGTTTGTTGCCTAAGGTTACATGAAAACTAAGTGGCAGGGGCCAGGGTTCTGACCATGTTCTTTCCTTCTGACTCCAGTTCCCTGTGCTGCTTCTTCAGCTTGGGTTGTGGTAATGAGAATCTGTGTTCCAGGTCTTTTCTTAGGGGGCTGATTTGCGTGCTTTACATCAGAATGTTAAAAAGAAATCCAAAGTGCCCTGTCCCACCTTTCCTCTTCTTGCTATGTTCGTCCCTTTCAAACAAAAATGGTGGGAACTCTGACATCCCAGTCAAAACCACCCAAGCCTTAATTCCTTTTTTCTCTCCTTCCTGACATTGCGTGTTTATACTTAATATCTGAGAAAGACTCTCATGAAGCAAACTAGGGAACATGTGAGGTGTGAAGAGAAGACCTGGATTTCAAACATTTGCTCACCTCAAGTAACTGCTTAGATGAACTACAGCAGAGACCAGAAAAAAGAAGACAAGACCAATTAAACAAAGGAAGGCCTCGATCTTCTCCCCAGAAAATGAGGCAGCTTGGCATGGAAAGTGGCAAGAATAGTGAATTTTAAAGATATTTATTCATCTGCACAATTTAGTTGAGAGTCTACTCTAGGGATCTGCAAACTTTGTCTATAAAGGGCCAGATAGTAAAAATTTCAGCCTTTGTGGGGCCATTACTGTCATTGTGTTGCAATTACACAACTCTGCCATTGCCATTTGGAAAGCAGTCATAAAAGGTAAATAAACAAATGGGCGTGGTGTATTAAACGTTTATGGGTGGACACTGGAATTTGAATTTTATATTCTTTGTGTCATAAAATATTGTGTTTTCTATTTTTTTTCCCAAATATTAAACATGTAAAAACCATACTGAACTCATGAGCTAGATCTGGCCTCCAGATCGTAGTTTTCCAGCCCCTCATTTTACTCTGTACCAGGCACTCTGTGAACAAACAGACACGACCTTTACCCTCACAGAGTTTATATGAAGTTGTTCAGGTTGCTCAAAGTGTGTTCCTTGAAACACACTTTAAATGATGTCTCACCAAAAAAGATATCTATGCTCAATGATATTTGGAAATACTGAATTTAAGCAAAGTGCTTAATTTGCTGCAGGACTTCTCAGAGTCTTTAATATGCTAATGGACATGGTGAATTTCTAAGACGGGAATATGGCAAGACAAACATGCAAGGCCAAATTTATTTGACTATAGACAATTTTACATACATAATACTTTTCACACCGGGTGTTACATGAAACACACTGTGAGAAAACACTCTTCTCTTTTTGACAGGAAAATGAAGTCATTTGCCAAGTTCCCCAGAGCCTGAGCTAAAAGATTAGGTCTGAATCGGAGGTCTCCTTCCTTCCAGCTCCATACTCTATCTCCCAATGACCAGGCAATGTTTTAGAATTACATCCATTTTTTTGATAAGATGGTGGAAATAATAAAGAGAAAGTTCCATTCCGTAATTTTGTAAAGTGCATTGTATTTGTTTTCATTTGCTTATGCAAATCTCTGTTTGGTTGTGTCTGTGGCTTTTAGTCCTTACAGTTCCCCTGACTCCCCTCAAACTCACCCCACTATCAGCTGCTGGATTCATTTTCAATTTCATTCTTCTCAGTTGTATAATTGCTGCTTTAATAATTAAACTTCAAGGCCCATCTGACCCTAAGCTCTTTAGGGCCTGGGCCCAGGATGCTAAAAGCAGTCAAAATAAGACTGGAAACAGCTCCTCTGCATTAAACCAAGGTGTGAGTTGTTTAAAAGCAAACATGAATACTAGGATTTAGTGGGGCCGATTTCTATTAGAATCAGAGAGCCTTTGAAGAAACTAATATAATATGAATGACTTTTGAGGCCTGAGGTGCTAAAAGACATAAGGGTAGCGTCATATCTTATGTGGGAGTTAGTGTTTAAAGTCAGCACATATGGCAAAAATTGTGTAGCATCAAAATTACCCTTGAAAATCCTTTAAATTATCAATAAAGTGCCAAAAAAAGCATCATGTACACTGTAGTCTCTCTCACTAAGCCCAAAAAGCTAAAAAGTGATTTTTCCCTTTCTAGTGTTGAATAAGTTTCTTATTTTTCAGTTTAATAACAGATTAAGTATTGTCTTGCATTTAGGGGCCATGCTGTATAAAAACAATCTTTCCCTCCTTGGTGGTTGACTTACCCTGAGAGATATGCTCCTCTGATGTGGCCTGTTTGCCCTGAAATGTCTTCTCATAAATGACTTTAGATAAATCACCCTGGAAAATGTGATTTTATTTTCCATCTGTCCTCATTGGTAGGGTCTTACATTTCTTTTGTGTTGAAGTTCATTTATCACTATCATAAAGTCCTTGGCATTGTTGTGACATTGTGTGTTCATAGACCCTTTCTGGATGCTCTACCCAGGCACTCAACAAAGATCCTGAGAAGGACATAGGTAAATGTAAGGATAAAGAATATTAGCAAGGTCCATTTCATCTAAATAGAAGAGTTACAATAAACAAATCAAATAAACAAGTTGAAATGAAGTAAGTATCTTAATAGTCACATGGACCCTTCTTAGCCCCCACTCTTCTCTCCACACATACACACAACAGAGAGGAGGAGAAAGAGATTCCATTATTAAAAGGTAAAGTCATTTCTTATGGGATTCAAACACAGGCCTTCTGACTCTAGAGTCCATGTTTCTATTCATATGCCATAGCCTGTACATATCCTGTCTCCCAGAGTCACCAAACGGGACACCTAGATGTGGCTGGAAACATCTCTGGAGCTGCAGCCAAATGCTCCACCATTGACCACCATCTGATTCTGGAGTGATCTCAGACATTGTCTGGTGGATTTGTTGCTATTTGAACAGAATTTTTAGGATTAGAATTAAAAGATAAGGTGTACTTAGGTTGGGCTATGGGTGGGGCTTAAAATGCTGTTTGTGGAAAAGGGAACATCTAAGAAACAAGGGCCTGGAGAAGAGGTCCTCTAGAGAGGGGCCTGCTCTAAATGTATTTTGTTTCTCTAGGGTTGAAGAGCATAGAAGATGTTTTAATTGTGTTTGTTGGATTGAATGGTATTGCTGGGGGACAGTGAACGTTTTTGTTTGGCTGGAGCACAAGGAATATAAAAAAGAATTCAAGGGAAAAAAAAAGGCTGAAAAACAGATGGGGTCAGATCACGGAGGGAATGCTGCTTGTGGGAGGCAGAAAATGACCTCCAAAGATGTCCATGTCCTAATCCCTGGAACTTGTGAACATGTTTGGTGACAAGGCAAAGGAGAATTGAGTTTGCAGATAGAATTAAGATCACTAATTAGTGGACCTTGAGATGGACATATTATCCTGGATTATCTAGGTGGGGACACTGCAAACTGTAATCACATGTTCTTATGAATGGAAGAGGGAGGCAGAAGAGGGAGAACCAGAGAGAGAGCAGCGTGGGGAAGATGCAGCTCATGGTTGGTGACTTTGAATATGGAAAATGGGGCTGCTAGCCAAGGTATTAGGGACTTTTCGAAGATGGAAAAGGCAAAAAAACAGATTATCTCCTAGAACCCCCAGGAGGAACACGGCTCTGCCAACACCTTAATTTTAGCCCAGTGAGTCCCATTTCAGATGCCTGACCTCCAGAGCTACAACGCAGTAAATTTGTACGATTGTAAGCCATTAGAGTTGTGGTGATTTGTTACAACAACAAGCAGGACACAAAACACTGTCCTAAAGTGAGCTTGTTTGTTCTATGAGGTAGAAGTTGGGATAAGCTCAAATTTTTAATAGTCATAGAATCTTACACAAATTACTTTGCCAATTAGAGCAACATGTCCAATGAAAGGTTTTGTGGTGATGAAAATACTCTAAAGCTGTGTTGGTCAATGTGACAGTCACTAGCCACATATGTTTAAAATGTGGCTAGAGTGACTGAGAAACTAAATTTTAAATATGATTTAATTTTAATTAATTTAGATTAAAATTAAAAATAGCCTCATATGGGTAGTGGGTATCATACCAGACAGCATAGTCTCACAGCCTTGGTTCTGTCATCTACAAAGAGGAGGTAATAATAGAACCTATTATATATGGCTGCTATTTATTGATCAATATATGTAAAATAATATTTGGACTATTTTAAGAAGGAAAGAAAGCATTTGCATCCACTTGTGCAAAGACATTTCATTTTATGGAGAGTTGGAGTTAGGCAATACATCACTGGAAAACAAGAACTTTTTTTCATGATTTTCCATGACATTCCCTTTAGCACGCTGAGTAATTTTGCTAGTATGTTGGCTTTTTTCATACATGTCCCTTTCTAGCTTTTAAAATAACACTTGAACTTCTATTCCAGCCGTGTGCATGTGCAGCATTTTTAAGTTTCCCTAAACCGATATCAAGATTTGTCTCCGTTCATATTTACGTTTGGCTGCTGGTCACAAGAGGCAGGCCGCCTACAGCTTGTGTACCAGATCCATGGTGTTTTCAGTGTTCCAGGCTCTCTGTCTTGTTCTGCTCCATCGTCTCCCACATCTAGATTTATTCTTCATCCTCCTTACTCTTTCCAGATACTTGTTCCACTTCCGGCCTTGTGTCATGTTTGGGCAGGCAGGAAGAAGGAGAAGTGCACTTCATTTTGAGACTTTGCTGTTTATTTTGGGAGAAAAGCCCTAACTAGGAGTTTTCATTTCATTGACCAGAGATACATCACATGGACACCATGAGATGCTGAGAAGACTGGGAAAGCATGCAAGCATACATTGTACTTTCTAGCCTCTAGAGCAGAGGAAGGGAAGATGGTTGGGGTGGGTGTTGAATAAGTGAACTTACAATATCTGGCACAGGGCTTAAACAATTAATTCAAGCAATAGTCACCAAATGTTTAAGATGTATTTGAATATGATGAGTTTAACCTCTTTGAGCCTCAGTTTATCCACCTCAAAAAGGAGAAGGACAATATTAACCTCCTTTCAGTATATGTAAAAGGATTTTTCAAACTATATGGTGATGGAAAATTAAGGAGTAATGATGATCTGATTTACTATTTTAAATATCTCCTTTTAAAATACTTTTTACATTATCCTCATGAGCTAAGATTAGCCTCTTTTACAATCGTCACATTAAGCCTATTAATAGCTGGTTTAATTAGAGTCCAGTATCTTAATTTGGGCTCCTTAAAAGCAGAGTCTAAGATGTGGATTCTTGTGCAAGAGGTTTATTACAGTGGTGCCTCAGGTGGGATCTGTAAGGGAGGGAACGAAGGGTAAGTGTATTAGTCAATTTTCATAGTTCTATGAAAAATATCTGAGACTGGGTAATTTATAAAGAAAAAGAGGTTTAGTGGACTCACAGTTCCATATGGCTGGGGAGGCCTCACAATCATGGTGGAAAGCAAAGGAGAAGCAAAGTCACATCTTACAAGGCAGCAGGCAAGATAACGTGTGCAGCAGAGCTGCCCTTTATAAAACCATCAGGTCTAGTGAGACTTATTCACTATCAGGAAACAGCACAGGAAAAATCCGCCCCTATGATGAAATTACCTCCCACTAGGTCCCTCCCCTGACACATGGGGATTATGGGAGCTACAATTTAAGATGAGATTTGGGTGGGAACACAGCCCCCCCATAGGTGCATAGATTATTATTATTTTTTTTTGGCAACGTCCAGCCTGATTTCAGGATATGCTCTTGAGTGTAAGTTGCACTACAGAGGTTGTTCTGCCTAGGTTCTCAGGGCCTGGCTTTTATATCTCCACCTAGTCAGCCATTGGCCACACACTATCCTTGGGAGTGGAGGTCAAAACTCCCAGATATGTTTGGACTAGGCAACCCTTCAGCATCTGGAGACAGACACAGGTATGAGCAATCAGCATCCAATAACTGCAGAAGCTGGGGGATGGTATAGGCCAGAAACAGAAAGATCTGGAGAGAGCATCAATAACCTCTGTGAAAAACGACCTGGGAATAGAGCCATTGTTTACTCTTGTAAGTTGAGAGAACCAGTCTTCTCCTCATTTGTCAGAGAGAGATTTCTTCACCCTTCTTTGCTTTTATGCTTGTGATAAAAAAAATCAGAATTTGATTACTGGAACTTTTGGAACAAAGTTGGGGAGGATGGTCTAATTGCATGAAAAATTATATAACATTCCCAGTGGCAATAATCCTCCTTTTCTACTTTGGCTTTTTCCCTGACCTGAGGATAATATGAGAATCCGGGAAAGTTTTTCTTCTTGCTAATATAGTTCTAGAAATTTGTTAGTATGTGGTGCTTAAAAGAACTGGTGAATAGGCTAGTGAAAAGCAAGGAAGCCTTGTTCTGTAAATACAGGAGGGTGGAGGATGAGTTCTTCTTACTGAGGGTATAACCTGGAATCAAATACAAAAACAGTCATAATAATATTAGTAGTAGATCACGCATTTGGAGCACTTAGCTGTTCTAGGCCTTGTGCACAGAACTCTGCACATCTGTTCTCACTTAACATTTATGACAACTCTACAGAGTAGAATGTATCATTATATAATTGTCCTCATTCTACAGATAAATACATTGAGGCTTAGACAGGTGAACCTGCTTGCCTGAAATCACACAGCTAGTAAGGATTCATTGCAAGAGCCCCTCATATACCAAAGTGTGCACATACTCAAGTCCTGCAGTCAGCCCTGTAGAAACTGCACATACAAAAAGCCCTCTGGATACTGGAGTTTCACATCCCCCAAATACTGTATTTTGCATCTCTGGTTGAAATAAATATACGTATAAGTGGACTCTCACAGTTCAAACTTGTGTTGTTCAAGAGTCAACTATATTGATTGTGTGCTAAGCCCTAGCCTGGGCACTGGGGATAAGATCATAAAATGCTTCCCGTCCTTATGGGGCTTAGAGTCTGGTTTGAGGAGATCGACATTAGGTTTGTGACAATGATACAAAGAAAAACACCATGGTACTATACTATAAGAGTATCCGAGCACACGCTGCTCATCTAGTGTAAGGCTAGAGTGTTTCACGGTGAGCTTCCCTGGGGAGGTAACCTTTTAATTTTTTTTTTAACTTTGTTGAGGTATAATTGACAAACACACTTTTTATACATTCAAAGACTACAATGTGATGTCTTGACATACATAAACTTTGTGAAATCATGACCACAATCAAACTATTTAACACATCCATCACCTTACATATTAACATATTACCCCCTTCTTTTGGTGATGAGACTACTTAAAATTTACTGTCTTAGAAGATTTCTTCTTTTTTTTTTTTTTCTTTGATGCAGAGACTTGCTCTGTCGCCCAGGCTGGAGTACAGTGGCACGATCTTGGCTCACTACAACTTCCGCCTCCTGAGTTCAAGCTATTCTCCTGCCTCAGCCTCCTGAGTAGCTGAGATTACAGGTGCACACCACCACACCCAGCTAAGTTTTTGTATTTTTAGTAGAGATGGGATTTCACCATGTTGGCCAGGCTGGTCTTGAACTCCTGACCTGAAGTTAGCCACCTGCCTTGGCCTCCCAAAGTGCTGGGATTATAGGTGTGAGCCACTGCTCCCAGCTTGTCTTATCAAATTTCAAGTATACCTTATTATTAACTATAGTCATCATGTTTTACATTAAGTCTTCAGAACTTATTCATCTTACAATTACCAATGTAACTTGGCAATTTCCAATAGCCTTTGACAAATATCTCTCCTTTTCTCCCACTCCACCAACCCCTGGTAAGTACCCTTATGCTCTGTTTCTATGAGTTTGAGTATTTTCAGGTTCCGTTTATAAGTGACATCATGCAGTATTTGTCTTTCCGTGTCCGGCTTATTTCAATTAGGATAATGTCATCTGGGTTACCCACATTGTCACAAATGGCAGGATTTTCTTCTTTCTGAAGATGGAATAACATTTCATTGTATACGTGTACAATCTTTTCTTTATCTATTCATCCACTGGTGGACACTTAGGTTGTTTCCATATTTTGGTATTGTGAATAAGGCTGTAATGAACATGATGCCAGGTGTGGTGGCTCACGCCTGTAATCCCAGCCCTTTGGGAGGCCAAGGCAGGCAGATTGCTTGAGGTCAGAAGTTCGAGACCAGTTTGGGCAACCTGGCGAAACCCCATCTCTACAAAAAAATATAAAAATAAGCAGGCATAGTGGCACATGCCTGTAGTTCCAGCTACTTGGTGGGGCTGAGGCAGGAAAATTGCTTGAATATGTGAGTCTAGATTGAGCCACTGCACTCCAACCTGGGTGACAATGTGAGATCTTGTTTCAGAAAAAAAAAAAAAAAACTGTAATGAACATGACAGGGCAGGTATCTCTTTGAGATACTAATTTCGTTTTCTTTGGATATATACTCAAAAAAGTGGGATTGCTGGATCATATGATAGCTATATTTTTAATTTTGGGGGGAATTTCCATATTGCTTTCCATAATGGCTTTACCAATTACATTCCCACCAACAATGTAAAAGGATCCCCCTTTTTTTTCATATCCTTGTCAACACTTATCTTTTCACTTTTTTTTTTTTTTTGAGACAGGCTTTCACCCTGTCACCCAGGAGTGCAGTGGCATGAACACGGCTCACTGTAGCCTTGACCTTCCAGGCTCAGGCAATCCTCCCAACTCAGCCTCCTGAGTAACTGGGACCACAGGTGTGTGCCACCATGCCTGACTAATTTTTATTAGAGACAGGATCTTGTCATATTTCCCAGGCTGGATTTGAACTCCTGGGCTCAAGTGACCCTCCTGCCTTGGCCTCCCAAAGTGCTGTGATTATAGGCATGAGCCACTGCGCCTGGCCTCTTTTGACTTTTTGATAATAGCTATCCTATCTGGTGTGATATGTTACTGCATTATGATTTTATCTTGTATTTCCCTAATGATTGGTGATGTTGAGCACATTTTCATATACTTGTTGGCCACTTGTATGTCTTCTTTGGAAAAAAAATCTATTCAAGTTCTTTGCCCATATTTCAACCAGGTTATTTGTTTTCTTGTTATTAAGTTGTTTGAGTTCCTTATATATTTTGGATATTAACCCTTTATCAGATATATGATTTGCAAATATTTTCTCCTTTTTTATGAGTTGTCTTCCCATTTGGTTGACTGTTTCCTTTTCTGTGCAGAAACTTTTTAGTTTGATGTACTAGTCACACTTATTTACTTTTACTTTTGTTACATGTGCTTTTGGTGTCATATCCAAAAAATCATTGCCAAAACCAATGTCATTGAGTTGTTCACCTACGTTTTCTTCTAGGAGTTTTGAAGTAAACTTTCAATTGTGATGTGAAAGATGAAGACAGAAGGAAGAATGTTCCAGCAAGAGGAAATAGAGAAGACCCTGAGGTGTGAATAGTATGCTCACGGCAACACCTGAAATGTCTGCTTTTGCCCTTGTAGTACTGGGGACCAATAATTTGAAAAAGGTTCAGACCAGCTGAATCCATTCAAAGGAGAGTAATTCAGATGTTCACTATGCATATTGATTTTGTAATCAATAATCATGTAGTGATACCAAGGAGTAAAATGTATAGACAGTATTTCAATATGCCAGATTCCATGCTATGTGCCTTACATAAGGAATTAATTATGCTTCCATAAGTTAGATTACTATTATTGTTCCATTTTACTGATGAGAAAACTGAGGCACAGAGAGGCTTAATAATTTATCCAAGGAAACAGAACTAGTATATGGAAGAGTCATGATTAGACACTAAGCCTTCAGATTAAAGAGTCCACTCTCCAAACCTTTGATCTGAAACCACTTGGTGACTGTGTAGCATGAAAAATAGAGGGAGTGGGGCATAAAGACTGAACTTTACACCAGTCCACTCTTGTTTCACATTTCCCTTCTTAGTAAATGGTGCTGCAATTTGCTTAAATAACCTGGATGTCACCCAGGACTTCTCCATTTACTTGTATACTCATAGTCAACCACTGTCATGACCTGTGGGTTCTATCTCCTGAATTAAAGAGAATTTCCTTATTTCTTTCTATCCCCAGTGCGGCCAGCTGGTTCAGGCCACCATCGTCTCTCTCCTGGATTCCTGTAGCAGCCCTCCAACACATATTCCCACCTTCAATTTCATCCTTCCAGTCCATCCTCCACCCACCCTGATTCTCAAGTGATCTTATTAAAATGTAATTCTCTATGGGCCAATCTTCTATTTAAGTTTCAAACCAATCTTAAACTAATACACAGCACTTACTAGGTGCCAGGCACTCCTTTATGAATCATTCAATTAATTCTTATAACCTCCCTATGATACAGTGCCTTTTTCTTCTTTTAACACAGAATTGGTTTATGCCAGAACCTAGGCAGAAGCTGTAAGCAGGAAATATTTTTCTCTCAATATAAAAAAATTAAAAAATTATTCAAAGGCCTGCCTCTAGTTAAGTATCACTGTGTATTTCAGAGGGTGTAAACATCAAGTCTAACTTCTTGTTGCTTAGATTATTCTAGGATGTAATTCTTCCATCTTGCTAACACATTTCCAGCTCCCAGTGCCACATTTCCCACTGCAAAAGTAAGGTGTTCTATCTTTACTTTTCATCACATGCCTGAATTTCTAGGTTTTAATAGAGGGGGCTGGAAAGAGAGGTGCAAACTCTGGAAAGAGGGCTGAACCAGTCCTCTGGCCTAATAAATGTACAAATTGAGGAAGTAGAATTTTGTAAGTAGTAAATTCTCTCTCTCTTACTCTCTTTCTCTCTCCCCCTACCCCACCCCACATACTGATCTTCCAACTCTTCTCAGCTTCTCCTATATTAGCAGTTCCTTCAACTTATTAAATATTTATTGTTTCTTTAATGGATGTTACTTGTAATTGCCTGGATATTTTCTTCCATCTATCCTCTTCAGAAATATTAATCTTTATACTTACCAAAATCAATAGCCTCAATGTTTGGGGATTTGAAATTAAACATCAGTCTATCGCTCAAACTTAAAAACAGACTCACCTTCAGGAAAGGTGAAATTTAATTTCATTTAGCTGGGCTTGTGGGTTGGAGGAATGTTGGAAATATTTTGGAAATTATTTTTTGCTGATTTTTCTGGGGAAAGAATATGTATTCTCCAGGGCTGTGTCACAGGCAGGAAGCAATGCCTTTTGAAATGAAGACAAGCAGAGCCATTCATCCTGGGCAAATCACAAGCAATCATACTGCTTCCAGCATTCAATTAGATCTGTCACAGCTTTGGTTTAGTAGAAAAATTTGTTATCTTCCCCAATTTGTTGAGTGCTGAGTATTGTTCCAGAGCCTCAGGCTTAGAGACTGGTTGACAACTTTGCGTCACATATTGGAGATCAACCTAAAGTTCTGGCAGAGCCCTGGCGGTGGGGGCATCATAACCCCTTGTGATTAAACAGAGGAGTCTGCTTAATTACGATTAAACAGAGGTCTACCTCACTGTACCACTTGGCTGCATGACCTTGTACAAGTAGCTTAATCTATCTAATCTTGGGTTCTCTAACAAGGATGACAAAATGGTCAACTTCATGGAGGTGCTGTGAGAATATTAAATGGGACAATGTATATAAAGCATTTGGAATAGAAGCTGGTTAGAGTAAATGTTCAACAAATGTTTAATTATTACCAATGTTAACTGTGTTAGTCTGTTAAATACTTGTCTTATTTTCTACTGTATTTCCTGAGCCTCCTCTGATAACATCACATTGTGTCAGCACTCAATAAATATTAATTGAGTGAGTGGATAAGTGAACTGGACAGAGGAAAAGACCTGAGGGACTAAAGCCCAAACAACAACAACAAAAATAATAACAATAATAATTGAGTACTCTCTGTGAGGCATGGTAAATGCATTTGGTCATTCACTAACTCATTCATTCCTCAGAATCATCCTAGGAGAAGGTTATTATTATTACTTTCATTTTACAAATGAAAAAAACTGAGGCCTAGAGAAGTTAAGCCACTCATCTGAGGCCACCCAATAATAAATGCTGGAGGATCTTTTGAACTCAGGTTTGTCTAATTTCAGAGCTGGACTCTATTGCCAAGGCAATTGATGGGCAATAATGGAGCCTCAGGTGTAAATTGGCAAATCGGCCATGTTTTTTTTTTTTGAGATGGAGCCTTGCTCTGTCACCCAGGCTGGAGTGCAGTAGCACGATCTTGGCTCACTGCAACCTCAGCCTCCTGGGTTCCTCCTGCCTCAGCCTCCCAAGTAGCTGGGACTGCAGGCGCGTGCCACCATGCCTGGCTAATTTTGTATTTTTAGTAGAGATGAGGTTTCACCATGTTGGGCAGGCTGGTCTTGAACTCCTGACCTCAGGTGATCAAGTCTGCCTCGGCCTCCAAAAGTACTGGAATTACAGGTGTGAACCACAGCACCTGGCCTCGACCACATATTTTTACAGGGCCTCTTAGTCCTCTCTTCTCCCTCCACCTCTTGTCATTTTCTTCTTTCTCAGGCAAATTCCAGTGAAAGATGCCCAGTTTTGTGTCCTTTCCTTTCATTGTCACATTTGTGTTTAGCTGCAGAGAAATGGCAGTAAAACTGTTGGTGATGGTTTTAGAGTGGCAACACCCGCTTCATTTATTTTGACAAAACAAACCATTTAGTTGAGATGATGCCCTGTGCAGACCTGCAGTGCACATGTTCATATTTGCACTTCTGCTATATATATTATTTAATGCTACAACAACAAAAAGACGATGACAGTAATCATCATAATATTAATTATTTTATTCAACAAATATTTCCTGATCTTCTGTGCCAGGCACTGTTTTGTGTTCAAGGTATATGTACAGAGAGCTGTCAGGGGCCAGGAGTACACATCCTATCAAGGTTACTCTCAGCTAGTGACTGACTAGTGGAGGGCATTTAAAAGCCTGGCTTCCTTTCTTTTGGCAGGGCAAATTCTGAGGAGTAATAGGATCAGTCTAAAACTGCAAGTTTGCTTGATATTGTACCCTATTTAGCCTTTTCTTCTCCCTTTTCTTGATTTCCCTATTCCATTATCAGTTTCTCCTGGGAACACTTTCTTAATAAATCACTCGCAAGTGAATTCTTGTGTCAGGATTTTGTTCTGGAGAATTTGACCTAAGACACACTTTGTGAACTCTGGCCTCATCTTACTGTTTGCCCTGCCACAGATGATAGAAAATTCTTAAGGCAAGGAAATTTCCAGGGCCAGACTCCCTGCTTGAAGCTGAGGAGGAGAAAATTCAGTAAATTATCCCATCCTTTGCAAATGTCTGAAGCCAGCCATTTTCCAAGTGAACTGTCAGGGAGAGGCTGCTGAGTTCAACCATGAGTCAGGGGAAGAGTGTGACATCCTAGCTTGACTGTGTTTGCCATCAAGCCTTAAAGTTATCAGTTAGAAATGGAGAGGAGACCTCTCAATGGTAGGGAGGAACTGAGCTAGAGAGCTTCAAGGGCTTCTAGGAGTCCACACAGGACCCAGATTTATCCCACGATCAAGAACAACCTCATGGGGCCACAGCATTTCACTGAGGGAGAGGAGGCCTTGGGAAGATGCCTATTTTTCTCGGAGGAGGAGTAACTTCAGAATGATAATTATGATTCTTGCAATGCTTCTTTATGCATATCCCTGTGCTTTTTTTCCACCGCGAAATAGCTTTTTACTCTTGAGTTGGTGATGTAGATCACAGATAGGAAGGGAGGGGAAAAAAGCCAAACCTCACTTCTCAATGCAGTGATTTTAACTGGAGCTAAGATACCCTTGAAATTGAAAATGTCACCGGTAACTGACTGTCTGGAATTCATTCCTGTCTTTAGTTCTTTATCTTGTTCCAAGGCTTGCCTGTTCCATAAATAGTCATGTTCTCCAGGGCTTAGTCCCTAGCTGCCAGAGGCACAATGATGGTCACCCAAAGATATCCATGTCCTGATCCCCAAAACCTGGGAATATGTTACCTTACATGGCAAGAGGGCTTTGTGGGTATGATTAAGTATCTTGAGATGGGGGGATATTTCTGGATTATCTGAGTGAGCGAGATGTAATCACAGGAGCCTTTAAGTTGTGTGTGAGAGAGGCAGGAGAGTCAGAGAAGAAAATACGACGAAAAAAGAAGTTGGAGTGAAGCCATTGCTGGGAGGAGACCATGAGCTGAGCAATGCAGGCACAGTCTCCAGATGCTGGAATAGGCAAGGGACAGATTCTCCCCTAGAGCCTCGAAAAGGAATGCAGCTCTGCTGTTGCCTTTATTTTGGTCCCATAAAGCTCATTTCTGACTTCTGACCTCCAGAGCTTTGTTGTGATAATAAATATGTGTTGTTTTAACCACCAAGATTGAGTTGATTTGCTACAGCAGCCATAGGAAACATACACAGGATTTCTGTTCTTCTCTTTCTGGGTGAGCTATTAAAGCCTTGTGGCTTAGATTTCTACCTGTGTGTTGATGATTCCTTACTCTTCATCTCTAGCCTTGGCCTCTTTCTATGACTAAGGCATGTCTCAACTGGGCTCTCCACCTCCATTTCCCCCAGGCACTGCTGACACCACCACATGCATTCTTCATTCCATTACTGGTTGGCCAAATTGTTGAACTGGAAAACCACATTTCTAGCAATGTGTGTTGCATGAGATGGTCTCAGTGGCTTTTGAGGATTTGGGGGTGTGCCTTTGGGAAATGCCAACTTAGTTGTGATTTTTAAATTTCAGAAGAACTGTGAGTTGTGAATGTCATGGAACATAGTGAAGAGCAGTGTGGGTCTCTCTCTGCCAGTTCATTTCCAGTGAAGTCGTCTGCTTCCATGCAATAGAAACCTGGGTATTTTCCCCAATTCCTCACTTTCATCCATTCTTCATACTCAGTGGTGTCTAAGTTCTAGTAATTTTACCTTGTAAATATCACTTGGGTCTTTTCTCTCTTCTTTGTCAGCTTTGCTCTCCCCAGGTCAGGTTCTCATGATAGCTCACTAGAGTTACTGCAGTGTCTTCTATCTGACCTCCCAGTCCCTGGTTCCGATGTCCTCTGATCCATTTGCTCCTGTGGCCTAGGCAGTGAGGACCTGATTTTGTTCTCTTTCCCTAAAACTCCCTAAAGTCTCCTCAGTGTCATATGGAAAAGATTCAAATTTCCTAACAGGTTTTGGATGATCTGGTTCTAGCCCTTTTCCTTCTAATATATTAGGTTGGTGCAAAAGCAATTGCTGTTTTTGCCATTCATTTTAATGGCAAAAATCATTTAGCTCAAAAACTAATTTCCCACTCATACCCTCTTACTTCCCACCCTAGTGTCCTAAACTCTATCCACTTGTTGTCCTTGCTTACACTGAACAGGGATAGCTTTCCCTTCCTCCTTGCCTTTGCTCACACCATTTCTCCTGGTTAATGTGCATTTTCTGGCCTTCTCTGCCTATCTAACTGCTACTAATCCTTCAAGACAGTTAGTCTAGATCATCCAAAAAATGCCAAGGCAAGATTAAACATTCAAATATATATATTTTTTCTTTAGGGGGAAATGCCTGTGTGAAATGAAATTCGGAGGAAGCTGGAAAGGACTGAAGGAGTCATCAGACTGCAATGCAACTCTGATCCAGAGTGAAGGAGACAAGGAGAGAACATTGGATAGTGGGAGTATCTGGCCTGTCTCACAGTTTAAGAAAGGTTAAGCAAAGGCATCATCCCTGAGCCAGCCTTGGCTTCCTGGAATGGGCCTGCCTTAGTATCCCTGCTCTTTTGAGTTATGGGAATGGAGCAGCTTGTGGAGACATGACCTTGGTGTGAGTGCTAGAATGGAGCTCAGAGCAACAGCTGCTGCAGCCTCTGTAATAGGTGTGTAAGGCCACCACAAAGATCGACTTTGTGTCACCTCCTTCAGATGTGCTCTTTCTCTCCCGCGCATTAATTGATTACTTTTTGTTGTTGTTGTTGTAGCTCTTTTAGCCTTATGTGATTGCCTTTGTTATAGCACTATTTTCATTGTATGGTCATTGTTGGTTTACTTATTTGTCTTCTAGGCAGGAAAGTCTTTTAAAACGAGAACATTGTCTTATTTATCTTTCAATTCCTATCCTGGAGTGGGGCACATAGTGGGGGCTTAGGAAAAGCTTTGTGTTTACATAGAGGGAGATGGTGTGCAGGCATCATTCTTAGGTAAGGAAGCTGAGGCTTGGGTGGATGTGCAACGATGCCGGGGTAGTTTTGGGTACACTGTGGATTTGAGCACTGGTTGCCTCACCACCTCAAGCCAAGAATCCTTAGGTTGACCTGGAGGTGGAGACTAATGGATAGCCTTTCTTCACCAGATCATTTCACTCTGGAGTCCAGGAAATGGAATCATGCTTGGAAATATTCAACAAGGAAACGTTGGTACAAAATGAAATAGACTTGGGGTTTATCTAGACATTCTGGGCTCCTGATGAAGTTAAAAAAAAAAGTAAATCTCTTTTCTTTGCTTCTTTGTCTCAGAATCCAGTTCTTGTCTCAGTGTTGTAGCAGCTGCTATTGGTACCCTGGCCATAACTCTCAGCACCCACCTTTATACACAGAAAGTTCCTTACCGTGAATGTCTCCAAATCTATGCCTGAAGGTTTTTTTTTTTTTTTTTTTTTCCTCTGGTTTTGGGAACATGCTTGGCCAAGAGCAAGCCAACAGCAACAAGCTAATGCTCTCAGAAGCTGTTCTCAACCAGTGATGGACAGGGAGCTGGTGGATGAATACTCCCACCTCTCAGTTGGGGTAGCTCTAGGCATATTTTACGCTGTCTCCTGTGGTTTCCCAGCAGGAGTGTGCTCCAGTGGTCGAGTGATGACTTGTTTGATAACATACCATTTATTGGCTTCCTTCCAATTCCTATCTCATTCCTCACTCTCTTATATTTTGGGGACTACTTCCCAAATAAACTACTTGTGTTTGAATCTTTACCTCAGGGTCTATTTCTAGGGAACACAAACCAAGACAAAACTCTAGTTAAAGTGTTACCATGTTTTATCAACATGTCTCTTGTCTAAATTCCCTTGTGAATCTGAAGGGTAATTGTTCTTATTTCCATTTACAGGTGAAGAAAATGAGGCTCAGACAGAAGTGGTGGGGAGTTTGGAGGTCTGGAAGTGATGGTCTGCTTGGTTTCAGACTCGATATTCTTAACCACTTGGCTACCATGTGCACTTTGACAGTAGGTGGACCCAGCTTGAATCATGATTGTGACTTTGGGCATGTTGCCTCATTTTTCTGGCCTTTAAAATGAAGTTAATGATATCAACTGCATAGGGCTTCTTTTTGACTGGGTGGGCAAATATCTATAAAATTTTGAGTATCAGGCTGGGCGCAGTGGCTCGCCCTTGTAATCCCAGCACTTTAGGAGGCCAAAGCGGGCAGATCACCTGAGGTCAGGAGTTCAAGACCAGCCTGGACAACATGGTGAAACCCCATCTCTAATAAAAATACAAAAATTAGCTGGACGTATTGGCGGGTGCCTGTAATCTCAATTACTTGGGAGGCTGAGGCAGGAGAATTGCTTGAACCCGGGAGGCAGAGGTTGCAGTGAGCTGAGATCACACCACTGCACTCCAGCCTGGGTGACAAAGTGAGACTCAGTCTCAAAAAATAAATAAATAAAATAAATAAATAAATAAATAAAAGTTTTGAGTGTCACTTTCAAACTTTTGAAAACTTTTTCTTTTGAATACAGTGAGTAGGCTCTATTATTGTTGTTGCAAAATAAACATAATGAATAAAATTTTCCATGGATATTCTAAGTTCCACGGTAGTCAGATCTTTTTGTATATTTTACCAGAACTTTGCACAGTGATCCAAATACATTATCTAGAAGTTGATTGATTATACTTTACAGATGGATTGCCACTGATCATCCCACTCAGAATGAAGGGACTCTTGCAGTTGCATTTAATTCTCAGAAAGAGAAGAAGCACCTATATAATTTGAAATTTGCATGTATCTCATTTTTTCCTGATTTTTCTGAGCCACCATAAAAAACCTGTAAGGCTAATAATCTTCAGCACAATGTGCCCAAATTAGAGGGTCTCCTGAAGGGATTCCTGTATAAACACATTATTATGGGAAACCTTGGTGATGTCTCTTAGAGTCCTCCATAAACATCCCTCTTTTCAGTAGCTGGTTTCACTGTCCTGGACACTGAATCTGATTGTCATATTTGTCGGTATTAAGTTGTTCACAATATTCTTTAATTTTTCTTAATTTCTTTAATTTTTCTTTTAATATCTATAGAATTTATGATCTTTTAATATCTATAGAATCTTGTTCACTTCTGATGTTGGTGATTTGTGTATTCTCTTTTACCCATGATTAGACTTGCTATGGGCTTGTCAATTTTGTTAATATTTTTGAAGAACCAACTTTTGGCTGTGTTAATTTTCTATGTTTTTTGTTAGTTTTCTTTTTCATTGATTTCTGCTTTTATTTCTATTTCTTTTCTACTTCCTTTGTTTTACTTTGTGTTTTCCTCTTTCTCTAGCTTATAAAGGTGGAAGTTTAAGCAATCAATTTCATAGTATTTCTTCTTTTCTCATATAAGCATTTGAAGAAGCTCATTTCTTTATAATCATTGTCTTCACTGCATCTAACACATTGTTATGTTGTATTTTTATTCCCAATTCAGTTTAAAATATTTTCTGATTTCTCTTGTGATTTCTTTTTTTGACCAATGAATTATTTAGAAGTATGTTATCTAATTTCCAAATATATCTATTGGCTTCTAGTTTAATTTTGTTGTAGTCAGAGAACACGGATTCAATGATTTTAAATTTATTGAAACTTTCTATGGTTCGGAATACATTCTATCTTGATAAATGTATGATAGGCTCTTGAAAAGAATGTGTATTGTGTCATTTTGGGATGTAATTTGTATAAATAGTATAAATATCAATTAGGCCAAAGAGTTTGGTGATGTTATACAGATCATCCATGTCTTTAATGATCTTTTGACTAGTTGTTCATCAATTGCTGAGAGAGAAGCGTGAACACCTTCTACCATTATTGCAGAACTGTTGATGTCTACACTTGGTTCTGTCATTTTTTTTTGTTTCACAGTAAGCATTTGTTTCTCATGTTTCTGCAGGCTGGCTAGGATGATTTTACTGATCTCAAATGAACTTGCTTAAGTACCTATGCAGAGTCCAGGGTTCATCTAGTCATGGCTAAGCTCATCTTGACTTGGCTGGGTGGCTCTGCTTTAAGCTGCAAGTCTGCTGGTTAGCCAGATATTTCTCCTCTATGTGTCCCTTACTATATTTGGACCAATGGCCAGCCAGGTCATATTCTTCTCATGGATAAGGCTGAGACACAAGAAAGCAAGCAGAAATCTGCTATGACTCTAAAGACTTAGGGTTGGAATTGGCACTCTATCTCTTTCACTTTCAAGTCATTGGTCCAACTAAGTCATTTGGCCGAAGTCAAGATGTGGAGAAATACACTCAGCTCACACCAAGACCATAGAAAAAGCATGCTTGCAGGGGTTCTGTCACTTTTTTTACTTCATTTTTTTTGATACTCTATTGTTAATATGTTTATGTTAACATATTTATGATTGTTATATCTTCCTAATGCATTGATTATTTGATCCTTATGAAGATTTTTATTTCTGTAATACTCTTTTGTCTTGAAGTCTATTTTATCTGATATGGCTACTCTAGTCTCCTTATGTGACTGAGCATTGTATATATTTTTCCATTCATATACTTTTAAGCTATATGTGTCTTTCTATTTAAAGTGTATCTCTCGTAGGCAACATACAGTTGGGTTCTACATTTGTATTCATTCTGATAATCTCTGCCATTTATTTATTTATTTTTATAATGTCAACTTTTATTTTAGACTCAGGGGTACATTTGCACGTTTGTTACATGGGTACATTGTGTGTTACTGAGGTTTGGGCTATGATTGATCCTATCACCCAGGTAGTGAGCATAGTATCCATTGGTTAGTGTATCAACCCTTATCCCTTCCCTCCCTTCCCCCTCTAATAGTCCCCACTGTCTATTGTTGCCATCTTTATGTCCATGAGTACCCAATATTTAGCTCCCCCTTATAAGTGAGAATGTGTGGTATTTGGTTTTCCATTCATGTATTAAGTTGCTTAGGATAATGGCCTCCAGCTGCATCCATGTTGCTTCAAAAAACATGAGTTTATTCTTTTTATGGCTGCATAGCATTCCATGATGTATATGCACCATATTTTCTTTATTCAATCCACTGATGATGAGCACTTAGGTTGATTCCATGCCTTTGCTATTGTGAATAGTGCTGAGATCAACATATGAGTGCCTGTATCTTTGGTAAAACAATTTATTTTCCTCTTGGTGTATACTCAGTAATGGGATTGCTGGATTGAATAGTAGTTCTCTTTCAAGTTCTTTGCAACTCTGCCTTTTAATTGTAATGTTTAGGTTACTAGCACACACACATATATATATGTAAAGAGCTCAGCATGGGCTAGGTATAGAATAAGAGTTCAATAAATCTCAGCACTTATATTTCTTATTAAAAATTTCACTGAGCTTTGATAACTGTATCAGTAAAACAGGACTAATGACACCTACTCCTTAGGAGATGTAATGGAATGTTAATAAAAGTATGTAAACTCCTGACAAGTAAAAAGGGCCAATATAGTTGAATATCTTTTAAAAAATGTATTTGTTCCAAGTGTCTTTTTTTTTAATACTTGAAGTTCGAGGGTACATGTGCACAATGTGCAGGTTTGTTACATACGTATACATGTGCCATGTTGGTTTGCTGCACCCATTAACTCGTCGTTTACATTAGGTATTTCTCCTAATGCTGTCCTTCCCCCTGGCCCCCACCCCAGGACAGGCCCCAGGGTGTGATGTTCCCCGCCCTGTGTCCAAGTGTTCTCATTGTCCAATTCCCACCTATGAGTGAGAACATGTGGTGTTTGGTTTTCTGTCCTTGTGATAGTTTGCTCAGAATGATGGTTTCCAGTTGCATCCATGTCCCTGCAAAGGACATGAACTCACCCCTTTTTATGGCTGCATAGTATTCAATCATGGTGTATGTATGCCACATTTTCTTAATCTACTCTATCATTGATGGACATTTGGGTTGATTCCAAGTTTTTGCTGTTGTGAGTAGTGCCGCAATAAACATACGTGTGCGTGTGTCTTTATAGTAGCATGAATTATAATCCTTTGGATATATACTCAGTAATGGGATTGCTGGGACAAATGGTATTTCTAGTTCTAGATCCTTGAGGAATCACCACACTGTCTTCCACAATCGTTGAACTACTTTACACGCCCACCAAAAGGGTAAAAGCGTTCCTATTTCTTCACATCCTCTCCAGCATCTGTTGTTTCCTGACTTTTTTATGATTGCCATTCTAACTGGTATGAGATGGTATCTCATTGTGGTTTTGATTTGCATTTCTCTGATGACCAGGGATGATGAGCTTATTTTCATGTGTCTGTTGGCTGCATAAATGTCTTCTTTTGAGAAGTGTCTGTTCATATCCTTTGCCCACTTTTTGATGGGGTTGTTTGTTTTTTTCTTGTAAATTTGTTTAAGTTCTTTGTAGATTCTGGATAGTAGCCCTTTGTCAGATGGGTAGATTGCAAAATTTTTCTCCCATTCTGTAGGTTGCCTATTCACTCTGATGGTAGTTTCTTTTGCTGTGCAGAAGCTCTCTAGTTTAATTAGATCCCATTTGTCTATTTTGGCTTTTGCTGCCATTGCTTTTGGTGTTTTAGACCTGAAGTCCTTGCCCATGCCTATGTCCTGAATGGTATTGCCTAGGTTTTCTTCTAGGCTTTTTATGATTTTAGGTCTAACATTTCAGTCTTAGTCCAACTTGCATTAATTTTTGTATAAGGTGTAAGGAAGGGATCCAGTTTCAGCTTTCTACATATGGCTAGCCAGTTTTCCCAGCACCACTTATTAAATAGGGAATCCTTTCTCCATTTCTTGTTTTTCTCAGGTTTGTCAAAGATCAGATGGTTGTAGATGTGTGGTGTTATTTCTGAGGCCTCTGTTCTGTTCCATTGGTCTATCTCTCTGTTTTGGTACCAGTACCATGCTGTTTTGGTTACTGTAGCCTTGTAGTATAGTTTGAAGTCAGGTAGCGTGATGCCTCCAGCTTTGTTCTTTTGGCTTAGGATTGTATTGAATATGTGGGCTCTCTTTTGGTTCCATATGAACTTTAAAGTAGTTTTTTCCAATTCTGTGAAGAAAGTAATTGGTAGCTTGATGGGGATGGCATTGAATCTATAAATTACCTTGGGCAGTATGGCCATTTTCATGATATTGATTCTTCCTATCCATGAGCATGGAATGTTCTTCCATTAGTTTGTGTCCTCTTTTATTTCGCTGAGCAGTGGTTTGTAGTTCTCCTTGAAGAGGTCTTTCACATCCATTATAAGTTGGATTCCTAGGTATTATCTTTGTAGCAATTGTGAATGGAGTTCACTCATGATTTGGCTCTCTGTCTGTTATTGGAATGCTTGTGAATTTTGCACATTGATTTTGTATCCTGAGACTTTGGTAAAGTTGCTTATCAACTTAAGGAGATTTTGGACTGAGACAATGGGGTTTTCTAAATATACAATCTTATCATCTGCAAACAGGGACAATTTGACTTCCTCTTTTCCTAATTGAATACCCTTTATTTCCTTCTCTTGCCTGATTGCCCTGGCCAGAACTTCCAACACTATGTTGAATAGGAGTGGTGAGAGAGGGCTTCCTGTCTTGTGCCAGTTTTCAAAGGGAGTGCTTCCAGTTTTTGCCCATTCAGTATGATATTGGCTGTGGGTTTGTCATAAATAGCTCTTATTATTTTGAGATATGTTCCATCAATACCTAGTTTATTGAGAGTTTTTAGCATGAAGGGCTGTTGAATTTTCTCAAAGGCCTTTTCTGTATCTATTGAGATAATCATGTGGTTTTTGTCTTTGGTTCTGTTTATGTGATGGATTACATTTATTGATTTGTGTATATTGAACCAGCCTTGCATCCCAGGGATGAAGCTGACTTGATTGTGGTGGATAAGCTTTTTGATGTGCTGCTGGATTCGTTTTGCCAGTATTTTATTGAGGATTTTTGCATCGATGTTTATCAGGGATATTGGTCTAAAATTATCTTTTTTTTGTTGTGTATCTGCCAGGCTTTGGTATCAGAATGATGCTGGCTTCATAAAATGAGTTAGGGACAATTCCCTCTTTTTCTATTGATTGGAATAGTTTCAGAAGGAATGGTACCAGCTCCTCTTTGTACCTCTGGTAGAATTTGACTGAATCCATCTGGTTCTGGGCTTTTTTTGGTTGGTAGGCTACTAATTATTGCCTCAATTTTAGAGCCTGTTATTGGACTATTCAGAGATTCAACTTCTTCCTGCTTTAGTCTTGGGATGGTGTATGTGTCCAGGAATTTATGCATTTCTTCTAGATTTTCTAGTTTATTTGTGTAGAGGTGTTTATAGTATTCTCTGATGGTAGTTTGTATTTCGGTGGGATCAGTGCCGATATCCCCTTTATCATTTTTTATTGCATCTATTTGATTTTTCTCTCTTTTCTTCTTTATTAGTCTTGCTAGCAGTCTATCAATTTTGTTGATCTTTTCAAAAAACCGGCTCCTGGATTCATTGATTTTTGAAGGGTTTTTTGTGTCTCTATTTCCTTCAGTTCTGCTCTGATCTTAGTTATTTCTTGTCTTCTGCTAGCTTTTGAATGTGTTTGCTCTTGCTTCTCTAGTTCTTTTAATAGTGATGTTAGGGTGTCAGTTTTAGATCTTTCCTGCTTTGTCTTGTGGGCATTTAGTGCTATAAATTTCCCTCTACACACTGCTTTAAATGTGTCCCAGAGATTCTGGTACATTGTGTCTTTGTTCTCATTGGTTCCAAAGAACATCTTTATTTCTGCCTTCATTTTGTTATGTACCCAGTAGTCATTCAGGAGCAGGTTGTTCAGTTTCCATGTAGTTGTGCGGTTTTGAGTGAGTTTCTTAATCCTGAGTTCTAATTTGATTGCACTGTGGTCTGAGAGACAGTTTGTTGTGATTTCTGTTCTTTTACATTTGCTGAGGAGTGCTTTACTTCCAACTATGTGGTCAATTTTGGAATAAGTGTGATGTGGTGCTGAGAAGAATGTATATTCTGTTGATTTGGGGTGGAGAGTTCTTTAGATGTCTATTAGGTCTGCTTGGTGCAGAGCTGAGTTCAAGTCCTGGATATCCTTATTAACCTTTTGTCTCATTGATCTGTCTAATATTGACGGTAGGGTGTTAAAGTCTCCTGTTATTATTGTGTGGGAGTCTAAGTCTCTTTGTTGGTCTCTAAGGACTTGCTTTACAAATCGGGGTGCTCCTGTATTGGGTGCATATATATGTAGGATAGTTAGCTCTTCTTGTTGAATTGATCCCTTTACCATTATGTAATGGCCTTCTTTGTCTCTTTTGATCTTTGTTGGTTTAAAGTCTGTTTTATCAGAGACCAAGATTGCAACCCCTACTTTTTTTTTGCTTTCCATTTGCCTTGTAGGTCTTCCTGCATCCCTTTATTTTGAGCCAATGTGTGTCTGTGCACATGGGATGGGTCTCCTGAATACAGCACACTGATGGGTCTGGACTCTTTTATCCAATTTGCCAGTCTGTGTCTTTTAATTGGGGCATTTAGCCTATTTACATTTAAGGTTAATATTGTTATGTGTGAATTTGATCCTGTCATTATGATGTTAGCTGGTTACTTCATCTGTTAGTTGATGCAGTTTCTTCTTAGCATTGATGGTCTTTACAATTTGGCATGTTTTTGCAGTGGCTAGTACCGGTTTTTCCTTTCCATGTTTAGTGCTTCCTTCAGGAGCTCTTGTAAGGCAGGCCTGGTGGTGACATAATCTCTCAGCATTTACTTGTCTGTAAAGATTTTATTTCTCCTTCACTTATGAAGCTTAGTTTGGCTGGATATGAAATTCTGGGTTGAAAATTCTTTTCTTTAAGAATGTTGAATATTGGCCCCCATTCTATTCTGGCTTATAGAGTTCCTGCCAAGAGATCTGATATTAGTCTGATGGGCTTCCCTTCGTGGGTAACTCGATCTTTCTCTCTGGCTGCCCTTAACATTTTTTCCTTCATTGCAACCTTGGTGAATAGACAATTATGTGTCTTGGGTTGCTCTTCTGGAGGAGTATCTTTGTGGTGTTCTCTGTATTTCCTGAATTTGAATGTTAGCCTGCCTTGCTAGGTTGGGGAAGTTCTCCTGGATAATATCCTGCAGAGTGTTTTCCAGCTTGGTTCAATTCTCCCCGTCACTTTCAGGTACACCATTCAGACATAGATTTGGTCTTTTCACATAGTCCCATATTTCTTGGAGGCTTTGTTTGTTTCTTTTTACTCTTTTTTCTCTAAACTTCTCTTCTTGCTTTATTTCATTAATCTGATCTTCAATCACTGATACTCTTTCTTCCACTTGATCGAATCAGCTATTGAAGCTTGTGCATGTGTCATGTAGTTCTCATGCCATGGTTTTCAGCTCCATCAAGTCATTTAAAGTCTTCTCCACACTGTTTATTCTAGTTAGCCATTCGTCAAATCTTTTTTTTGTTTGTTTGTTTGAGACAGAGTCTCACTGTGTCGCCCAGGCTGGAGTGCAGTGGTGCGATCTCTGCTCACTGCAAACTCCACCTCCCGGGTTCACCCCATTCTCCTGCCTTAGCCTCCTGAGTAGCTGGGACTACAGGCGCCCGCCACCACACCTGGCTAATTTTTTCTATTTATTAGTAGAGACGGGGTTTCACCGTGTTAGCCAGGATGGTCTCAATCTCCTTACCTCGTGATCCGCCCGCCTCGGCCTTCCAAAGTGCTGGGATTACAGGCATGAGCCACTGTGCCCGGCCTCATCTAATCTTTTTTCAAGGTTTTTAGCTTCCTTGCAATGGGTTCAAACATTCTCCTTTAGCTCGGAGAAGTTAGTTATTACCGACCTTCTGAAGCCTACTTCTGTCAGCTCGTCAAAGCCATTCCCCATCCAGCTTTGTTCCATTGCTGGCGAGGAGCTGCAATCCTTTGGAGGAGAAGAGACACTCTGGTTTTTAGAATTTTTGACTTTTCTGCTCTGGTTTCTCCCCATCTTTGTTGTTTTATCTACCTTTGGTCTTTGATGATGGTGACCTACAGATAGGGTTTTGGTGTGGATGTCCTTTTTGTTGATATTGATGCTATTCCTTTCTGTTTGTTAGTTTTCCTTCTAACAATCAGGTCCCTCAGCTGCAGGTCTGTTGGAGTTTGCTGGAGGTCCACTCCAGACCCTTTTTGCCTCAGTATCACCAGCAGAAGCTGCAGAGCAGCAAATATTGCAGAACAGCAAATATTGCTGGCTGATCCTTCCTCTGGAAGCTTCGTCCCAGAGGGGCACCCACCTGTATGAGGTGTCAGTCAGCCCCTACTGGGAGGTGTCTCCCACTTAGGCTACACGGGGGTCAGGGACCCACTTGAAGAGGCAGTCTGTCCGTTCTCAGAGCTCAAACACCAAGCTGGGAGAACCACTGCTCTCTTCAGAGCTGTCAGACAGGGACTTTTAAGTCGGCAGAAGTTTCTGCTGCCTTTTGTTCAGCTATGCCCTGCCCCCAGAGGTGGGGTGTACAGAGGCAGCAGGCCTTGCAGAGCTGTAGTGGGCTCCACCGAGTTTGAGCTTCCCTGGCTGCTTTGTTTACCTACTCAAGCCTCAGCAATGGCAGATGCCCCTCCCCCAGCCAGGCTGCTGCCTCGCAGGTTGATCTTGGACTGCTGGGCTAGCAGTGAGCAAGGCTCCATGGGTGTGGGACCCACCGAGCCAGGTGCGGGATATAATCTCCTGGTGTGCCATTTGCTAAGACTGTTGGAAAAGTGCTGTGTTTGGGTGGGAGTGTCCCAATTTTCCAGGTACAGTCTGTCATGGTTTCCCTTGGCTAGGAAAGGGAAATCCCCTGACCCCTTGCACTTCCCAGGTGAGATGATGCCCTACCCTGCTTTGGCTCACTCTCCATGGCCTGCACCCACTGTCCAACCAGTCCCAGTGAGATGAACTAGGTACCTCAGTTGAAAATGCAGAAATCACCATCTTCTGCATCAATCACACCGGGAGCTGCAGAGTGGAGCTGTTCCTATTTGGCCATCTTGGAACGGGACCCAAGTGTCTTTTTTAAAAATGTATTTATTTATTTTAAATTGTATAAAATATACATATCAAATTTATCATTTTAGCCATCTAATATTCAGTGGCACTAAACATATTCACATTGTTGTGCAACCATCACCGCCATCCATCTTCAGAACTTTTGTAAACTCCTGAAAAATCTTCAGAAATGTCAGAAATTAGAGATAAAGAAATAAACAAAAAGTTTCCATAACTTTAAACAACTCCTCATTCTCACCTTCCCAGCCCTATCATTTTGCTTTCTGTCTCTATGAATTGACTACTCTAGGTTCCTTATATGAGTAGAATCATTCAGTATTTGCCCTTTTGTGACTAACTTATTTCACTTAGCATAATGTCTTCAGGTTTAATTCATGTTGTAGCATGTGTCAGAATTTCCTTCCCTTTTAAGGCTGAATAATATGTTATTGTGTGTATATGCCACATTTTGTTTATTCATTCACCTATTAATGGACATGGATTGCTTCCACCTCTTGGCTGTTATGTATAGTACTGCTATAAACATGGGTGTTCAAATGTGTCCCTGCTTTCAATTATTTTGAATATATATCCAAAAGTGAAATTACTGGATCATATGGTAATCTTTTTTAAATTTTTTGAGGAGCCACACGTTATTTTCTAAAGCAGTTCCACTATTTTGTATTCTCATCAGAGTGTGCAAAGTTTCCAACTTCTTACATCTTTACCAATACTTGTTATTTTCTGTTTTGATAATATCCATCCTAGGGGGTGTGAAATGTTATCTCTTTTGATTTGCTTATCTTTGAATCAAGTTGTTTGTTTGTTTTGTTATTGTTGAATTTTAGGAGTTCTCTACATATCATGGATACTAATCCATTATCAGATATGTGATTGGCAAATATTTTCTTCTATACTGTGGGTTGCCTTTCTACTCAGTTGATAATATCCTTTGAAGCATGAAAGTAGACAGACCACTAGCATTTAATGTACTTATTATATGATTAGCTTTAGGTCTATAATTACAATTTTAATTTCCTGTGTTTCCTCTTTGCTTTTCATTCCTATGTTCCCCTTTTTCTGCCTTCTTTTGAATATCTGAATATTTTTTAGAATTCTGTTATAATTTACCTACTTGTTTTCTGGCTATACCTCTTTGCATTTTTTAGCGATTAATCTAGGGATTAAAATATATATTCTTTACTTTCACAATCTATTTACAGTTAATGTTATATCAATTTATGTAACATGTAGAAATCTTTTAATTATATAGCTCCCTTTACTTTTCCCCCACTATCTGGTAAGCTGTAATTGTCATATTGATTACATCTCCATACATTATGACCACCACATAATGTGTGTATATTGTTTTTTTCTTTAAACGGTCATTTATAATTTAAAGAAATTTAGAGAAAATAGCCATTTATTGTTTTTGATGCTCTTCATTATTTCTTGAAGCTCTGTTTCATATTGATATTACTTCTCTCCATCCCGAAGAACTTCTTTAGCATTTTTTGTAGTACAAGTCTGTTAGCAGTGAATTCTGTTATTATTTTTTAAATCTGAAGACATATTTTTTTCCTTCATTCTAGAAGGATATTTTTGCTGAAACAGAATTCTGGGATTTTAGTGTTTTTCTTTCAGCCTTTTAAAACGTTCCACTCATTTTTGTCCTCCACAGTTTCTGATGAGAGTCTTTTGAGTCTTGCCTTTCAGTCCCTCTGTATGTAATATATTGTTTTTCTCTGCCATTCAAATAATTTTCCTATATTTATTGTGTCATTTTAATCTTACTGATTCACATTTTTTTCTTTTTTCTTTTTTCCCTTTCCAATATCTTCACTAGGATGTCCCTGGGTGTGGTTTTCCTTGTATATATCCTGTTTGGAGTTTGATGCTTTTTGACTTTGTAAATTTATATATTCACTATTTGGGAGGTCATTTTGGTTAATATTCCCTTAAATAACTTTTGTGGCTCATTTTCTCTGCCCTCTCTAACTGGGACTCCAGTGACATATGTTAGAGTTTTTGATGTTGTGTCACAGGCTTAATGTTTGATGTTGCCCCTGAGGCTCTGTTTATTTTTCTCTCTTTTATTTAGGTTGAATAACTTGTATTGATCTATCTTCAAGCTCACTGAGCCTTTCTTTGTTCATGTCTATGCTGTTGATAATATTAAGCCTATTCCCAGTGATTTTTTTCAGATATTATATGTTTTCTTTCTAGAATTTTCATTTAGTTCTTTTTTATTGTTCTTATTTTCTGCTGACATTTTCTTTTTGATTCATTTTGCATATATTTTCCTTTATTTTCTTTAGCATAGTCGTAATAGCTGTTTTAAGTCTTTGTCTGATAATTCCAGCATCTAGGCAATCTCAAAGTTGACCTCTGTTGATTACATTTTCCTTGATAATATATCACTATATCCTGACTTGTTACGTGTTGTGTAACTTGGGATTGTATGCTAAACATTGTGAATACAGTACTTTGGCAATTCTGGGTTCTGCTATATTCTTCTGAAGAGGGTTGCTGTTGTTTTTGTAAGCAATTAACTTGGTTAGATTCAAACCACAAATTCTCTCTATCCTGTTGTGGATGTGAGAATTTCAAGTTGAACTTCATTTCTTTTAGCTTTCTCTGAAAACTGCTTTGTGTTTGCCCCATGTGTGCATGACTTATTGGTTTCCCAGAGACTTGGGTAGAGTTTGAAAACAGAATCTGGGACTCCCTTTCTTTGGATTTCTCTTTTACAACGTTAGTCTCTCATTTTCCATAAGCTATGGTTGCCCTGAGTTCTGTCATCTGGTTCTTCAGGCCAGAGAAACAATGAGTTTTCTGTTGAAGTTTTGACCACTTTAAGCCAGCAATGACTACAGTCAGCTCACAGGATAGACCCATAAAAATAAGAATCTCACTCTACATCATTCTTCTAGGTTTTGACTTCCTTCCAAAATCTTCCTATTTTGCTCATTCTATACAGCTTTGGGTAGTTGTTTTTGTATTTTTCCCAGAGCTTACAGTTGTTATGTGAGTGTTCAGTTTGTTAGGAGCTTACACTGCCATGCCAGAAGTGGAATTCCAAGTAACTCACCATGATCCCTAACTTCAGAGGTTGTTGATCTGAGAATATATTATCTCATGGTTTGTTCATCCCTATTTTGATTATTTCACAGGGATAAGAGAGAGAGGATGTCAAACTGGCCCTTTAGGGTGTCAGTGGTAAGAAAATAATTGGCAGTGGAAGAAGTGGGGAATGGGGGTGTTAGCTATTTGCCTAAGTAAAATTTGTGTATTATGTATGGATTTCACTTTTCACATACTGGTTGGTCACCTGACACAATTCTGAGAGTTATGCAGGAGGCACCCCTGACTGTCATCTGTTAGCCACAAATAAATCAGAATTGAGCTGCACCAAACATAGACACACCTGATTATAAACAGGATGATTTTTGTAAAGTACACAGAAAGTTCCTACTGATCTCAAACATCTTCCTACATCTAGGCTTGTGAGTGATGTCACACATCTACCATCAGAATAGAGGTTTTTGGCCTGTCGGCCTCCATAATTGTAACAAGACTTTTTGGTTTTGTGCATTTCTTTTTGGGAAGGTAGTCCAGAGTGCTTGTTAGTGCCTCAAAGGTATTTGGGAATGCTCCCCTAAAAAAATTATTTATTATTTGATAAGTGATTAAAAACTAAAGTATCATCACCTTTTATTTGAATTCAAATTTCCTGGAAATATATATCTTGAAACTGTATTAGCTATTCAATAATGAGACTTAACAAGATACTTTTAAAGTGATGTCTGTGAAGCTGCTGGTTTGTATAAGTTCTTCAACACAAGTTTACATTCTTCATTTCTTTTTTATTTTATTTTATTTTATTTTATTTTGTTATTATTATACTTTAAGTTTTAGGGTACATGTGCACAATATGCAGGTTAGTTACATATGTATACATGTGCCATGCTGGTGTGCTGCACCCATTAACTCTTCATTTAGCATTAGGTATATCTCCTAATGCTATCCCTCCCCCCTCCCCTCACCCAACAACAGTCCAAGCCCTGAAGATCCCTAGGAGACACAGGGCAGGAAAATGCTCAGGCATTAGTATCTAAAAGATCTGTGTTCGATTCCAGGCAAATTACTTACTAGCTGTGTTACTTCAGAAAAATTACTGAACCTTTTTGTAACTCGATTTCTTTTTCCTTATAAAAACAGTTATTTATTTATTGTTAGTAATAACACTTGTTTATTATAGAACATTTAGAACAATCTGAAAAGAATTAGAAAGAAAAAAATCAATTGTAGTCCTGAAACCTAGTGATAATTACTACTATCATTTTGTATATTGAGAGACTGAATATACAAATGAACAATGGTGCAATCAGATATAAAAATAGAACTCTGACCCAAAACCTAACAGCAACCAGTTCAAGAAGCTAAACCACAGCCTTTGCAGTAATTGGTCCCAGACTGTCAGGACATGGTCAACGACTGTCAGCTTCCCAATTTGCATCTCTGTTTCCCACTTAGGACAAACCAGAGAAAGCCAAATATGTTCCCCTAACCAGTCACATAGGATGTCCTGCTTCTGGTCAGCCCCATCAAGCTTCCTTGTGCCAACAGCCTCCAATAAAGGCACACCTGAAGCCTTCCCTTTTTTTTCACTGTAAAGTGTTCCCATTCCTCTGCCCGCCTTTCATCCTTTGTCAAATGCAAGTGATGGTGGCTGACTCCCTTGTATAGCAGGCTCTGAATAAATAGACTTTGCTTGTTCTCATTTGGGTGATCTTCAGTTATTTCCATAGTATTATTCTCCATAATTTTGTGTCTAGGGCTATTTATTCATCCTATATATCTTCTATGGATATGTTATTATTATTATTATTAATTTTAGACAGAGTCTTGCTCTGTCGCCAAGGCTGGATCTTGGCTCACTCCAACCTCTACCTCCTGGGTTCAAGTGATCATCCCGCCTCAGCCTCTGGAGTAGCTGGGATTACAGGCATGCACCACCATGCATGGCTAATTATTTTTGTATTTTTAGTAGAGATAGTAGAGATAGGGTTTTGCTGTGTTGGCCAGGCTGGTCTCAAACTTCTGGGCTCAAGTAATCTGCCCACCTTGACCTCCCAAACTGCTGGGATTACAGTTGTGAGCCACTGCGCCTGGCCTGGATATGTTATATTGTGCAGTTTTGCCTTCTGTTTTCTTTCTCTTAGCGATATGCCAAGGTGAACATGTCATGAAATGTCTTTCAAAAATGTGACTTTAGGCTGGGCACAGTGGTTCAAGCCTGTAATCCCAGCACTTTGGGAGGCTGAGGCAGGCAGATCACCTGAGGTCAGGAGTTTGGGGCCAGCCTGGCCAACATGGTGAAACCCCGTCTCTACTAAAAATACAAGAACAACAAAAAAATGTTATTTTAAACAGCTGCATAATAATCCATCTTATGCACATGTTCTTATTTAGTGAAGCTTGATCTGTCGTTTGGCCTTTTAGCCTCTCTTTGCTCATCCATAAAATGCACAGGCTAATATTAATACTACAGGATAGTTGTGAGAATAAGATAAATCAAATTTGCATAGTTTGTAGCAGAATTCCAGACACATGACAGATACTCCATAAATATTATTTCCCCTGTCAATGAAACACTCAAGATGCTTCATCCGAAGGCTCCATCCCTTCTTGCTCTCTCACCCCTCCCCATAGACGATGGGTGCCTTAGCAGACTCCTAGTCTTCCCCACTGGGGTCAAAATAATTCCAGTGCCCAGAGAAGCAATCTGGAAGTCAGAGATCAGATTTCTTAGCTTTTTTCATGGCTAAGAGCTACACAAACTGAGAACTTGGTGATGAGTAAACAAAACCCCAGTAGGGTATTTTCTTGTTGACATGGCAACCTGATCACGAACTGTCTAGGCAGTGCTGTCAGACTGTGCATTTGGGAGACTTTCCCACTAGTACCGGATGAACAATTCTCAGCTGGCGAGGTAGGTGAAGGATGTATAAAAGCACTTGTTCTACAGGCTTCTACAACCAGCCCCTCAGCCAAGCCAAAGTCCCCCTTTGAAGCAGGGTTTAGGGTACACTCTTTATTATCCTCCTACAGCCAGAGCAGCTGCTTAACTAAAGGATGTCAATAATATCTGCTTGAAGACCTTTTGTCTTGAATTTTCTGCCTGGCTGGCTTTCAAAGGCTTTCCCAACCCATGCTCAGCCCACTGTTTGAAGGCACATTCTGCAAGTAGAGCCACAGGAAGACACAATAGGTGAGAAACAGCCAGTTGTCAAAAACACAAGCAATTGAAAGACAGAAATCACTTCCGAAGGAGCAACTTACTGCCCTGGGGTCTGAAGCAATTAGATTCACCCCATTCATTATTCCTCCAACTTTAGCAAAAGGGTCTGATTTCTTCCCTGGAAGTCCGGACAGCTGTCTCAGGGTAGCTCTGTATAGCGGTGCAGGTTATGCACTGCACAAAGCTGCCCGACAGAGGAGTCAAATAGGGACTGAGGTCCTGTCTGTACATCACTCACCACTGTGGCATGTGATCTTGTCCTCCCAAAGTGTACGCCTTTCCTGATTAAAAAAGGCCCTGCTGAGGCTGTGTTACTATATCAAACTCTTTTGGAGGGGAGAGCATGGGCAAGGAGCACAGGAGAAGAGGAGAACTTTTTTGCCTGGGCCTCACATTTCTAGCAGGCCTCAAATTTAGACTTTTCTCATGAAGTCAAATTGAATTTATAAATGTAATCACAGAATCGAACCAACAGGATTGAACAAATGAAATTGCTCGCAATATTTATAAAATGATTTTAGGATGTTTGCATTTGCTAGTACCACAGAAATCTCTAGAGTTTTTCACCTCTAGATGCTAAAGGTGCTTGGATTACTCTGAAAGCCCTTACTCTGCTCCCTGGGCCTAGTGTTCCAGCCCTGGATCAATCCTCGGGGGTGGGTAGGGTGGGTGTGGTGAGACTTTGGTTCAGTCACCTTGCATTTTGGGAACTTTTACATGTTTACTCTTGCTGCTCTGCCTTTGACGCTTAGAATCAATATTATGCACAGTACTTTACTGTGTAATAGAACAATCTGTTGAGGTGATAATTTGGGCTTTTTCCTTCAAGCACTTTCCCCTGACCTTCTGCACTTGCCAGGAATGAGTTAGGGGAGGTGTGTATCTTAAACCAAGGATAGGAGTTGTGGGCAAAGGCACTTGCCTTCCCGAAGACCATACCAGTTTCATAATGACAAATACTTTGTCTCATTTACTCCTGAACCTTTGTTACCTGGCGCTTAATAGGTTGGGTGATCAATGCTCTTGGTTTGCTTAGGACTTTCCAATTTCAATACTTAGAAATCCCACATCCCATGAAACTCCTTAATCCGAGGCAATCTGGGATGATGGACAGTCACCTTATAAGGATTTGTTAACCGAATGAATGAATGATGAATAAATGGCCTTTATTTTCAAAAAGTCCACACTCATGAAACAAACTATGTTAAGCTTTTTGAAGATGAGAAGAGGATAGAGCAGTTTGGCCATCTCTGGGATGTGTGCCAAATCTGGCCCATTGCCTATTTTTTTAATGGTCTGAACATTAGAATTGGTTTTAAAACAATGACATGAAGAGGCCGGGTATAGTGGCTCATGCCTGTAATCCCAGCACTCTGGGAGGCTGAGGTGGGTGGATCACTTGAGGTCCAGAGTTTGAGACCAGCCTGGCCAATATGCTGAAGCCCTGTCTCTACTAAAAATACAAAAATTGGCCGGGCATGGTGGCAGGCGCCTGTAATTACAGCTACTCGGGAGGCTGAGGCAGGAGAATCACTTGAACCTGGGAGGCAGAGGTTGCAGTGAACTGAGATTGGGCCACTGCACTCCAGCCTGGGCTACAGAGCGAGACTTCATCTCAAAAAAGAAAAAAAAATGTAAATAATATTATTTTGTGACACATGCACATTTTACAAAAATAGATTTCTGGGGTTCATGAATATAGTGTCATTGGAATGTAGCATGCTCGTTCATTTATGAGTTGTCTATGGCTGCTTTAGCACTACAGCAACAGAGCTGAGTAGCTGTGAAAGAGATAGTGAGGCCTGTGATGCCCCAGCATATTTGCTACCTGGTCCTTTACAGAAAAAGTTTGCAGACGCCTGGGATGGAAGGAGCTCTGTGGACTCCAAGAGAGATCAGAGGTGGAAGGTGAGAGATGGCAGGACCTTCACATTGCGTAGCTGGCAGTACCTCTCAGAGCACCAAGACATCAAACAGTGACTGGACTCAAGACACAGAGCTGTCTGCCTCAGCAAGGTTTCTGCACCCACCAAAGCTGAGAGCTTCTTAGAGTGGGGAGGTGCCACTGTCAGCTGTGACAAAGAGGAAGTTGGCCATGATGGAGGATAGGGGCTGAAGGATGGAAAGTCCTAGATTCTAAAATGACTCAGAGAGATAGGTGCTCAATGGTGACTAAGATGAAATTTCTGCCCACCGTGGTGGGAATAAGCCTTGGAAACTGATTTAAACTGAGCTTCATGAAAACAAAGAAATAGTGATTTCTTACACATCTGAGTGTGTGGCTAAGCCTGGTCACTACAAGTTGTCTAGAGGATTCTGTTGTTGTAAAACTATAGAAGCACAGAATCTGAGCATGTACGGAACCTAAGAAGTGATCTAAACCAAGGCATGAAGGATGAGAACCATGAGCCTGGCAGTTTATTACAGGCCAAGAAAGGAACATTTTCAAAGTCCATAGGCTTGTCTTTGTCCCTGCCCCCAAACTGGTGCAAACCTGGCATATAGTTGGTGCTAAATAAATGCTTAATAAGTGAATAGGCAAATGTTTTCTTTCTCCCTTATAGTAGTCCTCAGAACCTGTTATAATCTGACATGGATCATTTGTAGTTTAATACGAATTTAAGGAAATTGCTATCACACCCAGATGTTTATAGTAAAGCCTTATCTATAACAGTAAAATGAAAGCATATTCTTCAACTGAAGGTATTTAAACGTTAGCAAATTAGTTGGGGAAACTGGAGACCCAGGCTCTTCCAAGGTTCTTGAAATCAGCACCCCAGTAATAATGCTAACAGCTGTTGTGCGTCTATTATGTGTCAGGTTTTAAGAAAACCACACTTTGTGGGCCGGGCGCGGTGCCTCACGCCTGTAATCCCAGCACTTTGGGAGGCTGAGGTGGTCGGATCACAAGGTCAGCAGATCGAGACCATCCTGGCTAACACAGTGAAACCACATCTCTACTAAAAAAAAAAATAGCAAAAATATTAACTGGGCATGGTGGCGGACGCCTGTAGTCCCAGCTACTAGGGAGGGTGAGGCAGGAGAATGTCATGAACCCAGGAGGTGGAACTTGCAGTGAGCCAAGATCACGCGACTGCACTCCAGCCTGGGCGACAGAGCAAGAATCTGTCAAAAAAAGAAAAGAAAAGAAAAGAATACCACACTGTGTGAGTTATCTGGAGTCCTCACATCCTCACATCCTCACAGAAATGCTGCCGGGTGGGTATTCTTACTCAACAGGTGGGACAAATGAAGTTCAGAGAGGGCAATAAGCCACATAGCTACTCTTTATCTTTCTCAGCCTTGTTAGTCCCCAGAGGGAGGTCGGTGGCTGGAAGAAAATGTTTTAATCATCATTTTCCAGAAGAACAGGTTCCCAGAACTATTCTCCTTGCGTTTTTTTCCACATATTGAATTTCTGAACAGTAGCAATTTCGTGGCCAGGACAGACTCTTGCTTGTAGGAGACATACTAAGCGTTTCTCTAGATTGCTTCTCTAGTTATTTGCAGCTGATTTTTTCGCAAATCATCTCTGAAGAAACACAGACAAATCTTTCCTTCATTAGCTTCGTCTACAGCTCCGTGAAGTTTAGCAAGGGAACTGCATTATTTTGAATAATTCAGCTTTCCATCCCAACAGTTCCCCATATATAAGAAAGTACCTGTATTAGAGTACTATGGGCCTGGCTGGCCCCCTTGTTTATATAGATGAAGGTCTGTCTCATGTGGAGTCAAGTTTGGCGATATTTGCAGCAATATAATGAGGTATGAATTGAGGATTAATTCCCAGCCCTGTTACTAGACCTGTTACTGAACAGACTTCAAAATCCAATTATAAATTATAATGCAATATAACATATTTCCAACTCTTACAGAACCTCAGGGACTTGAAGAAATCATTTACCTTGGAGTTATTTACATTTATTGGTTCTTGTTTTCACAATGCCCAATACTTCCAATTTATTATTTCAGGATTCTATTTTTTGCTGAATCCTTGCTCTAATGCTTCCTGTGTTATCAGCTTATGGAAATGAGGAGCTTGTTTTCTATGAGGGGGGCATGGGGGTTCTCTCCGCAAAGGCGCATCCCCAAAGGGAGTTTGTATGGGGCTTAGTTTTTGATTTTAGAATATTTTGGCATTACTGACACACTTAAGACCCAGAGTTTGAAAAAATTAACCATCTTTTCCCCTGAGTATAAAAACCAAACAAACAAAACAAACCATTGTGAACAATGTGGAAAATTTCAATTTGAACATTTAAATGAAAAAAATTAAAATACATATAATTACACCATTCAGTGATTAGAACTATCAATATTTTTGCATATTTATAGGTGCAGTGTTTTTTAGTGTTAAGCACTATGCTGTTTTGCATGGATTGACTTACTTAAGCTTTTCAGCCATTTCACAAGATAAGTAATATTATCCACATTTTCTAAATGAGAAACCAGCACAGCAAGGTTAAGTAATTTGCACAAGGCCATCCAGAGAGAGTTAGAGGTAGGTGTGGGATTCAGACCCACCTAAGCAGTCTAATGCTAGATTTCTGATTTCAGACTCTTCCTTCAACTTCATCAGTGTCATGTTTCCATGTAGATGTACAATGGATGTCATATCAGTGGCTATACATATTTTGTACTTAATGCAGTTACTTATACTGTGTATATAGTTTAGTTTCCCTTCTGGTTGTTTTTTTTTTTTTTTTTTTTTTTTTTTTTGAGACGGAGTCTCGCTTGTGTCCCCCAGGCTGGAGTGCAATGCCATGATCTTGGCTCACTGCAACCTCTGCCTCCCGGGTTCAGGAGATTCTCCTGCCTCAGCCTCCCAAGTAGCTGGGACTACAGGTGCCTGCCACCACGCCCGGCTAATTTTTGTATTTTTAGTAGAGACAGGGTTTCACCATGTTGGCCAGGCTGGTCTCGAACTCCTGAACTCAGATGATCCGCCTGCCTCGGCCTCCCAAAGTGCTAGGATTAATGGTGTGAGCCACCTCGCCCAGGCTTCCATTTTTTACTTATCATGTCATGTGTATTTTTCTCTCCGTTATATTAAGTTGTTTAAAAAAATCATTTTAAATTGTGATTGCATTTTCAGAAAACAAAATATTTATGTCTCACTTCACATCATGTTCCTAATTAAATTTTAGATGAATTAAAGATCTTTAAAGTTTGTAAACAAATTAATGTTTTGGAAAAAAATTAGGAAAATGCAAGGGAATCAACTCACTTGAGTTTGAACCACAGTCCAGCTAGTTAACAGCTCTGTTTTTTGGACAGATTACTTAACCTGTTTGAGCCTCTGCTTCTTAATCTGTAAAATGAAAATGAGATAGTTTCTAAACCAGAGGTTTGTTAAAGGATTAAACAGAATGTTTAGTACTGTGCCAGGCATATAGTAAGCTCTCAGTAAATGTTGGATGCTGCTATTACATGCAGGAATAGAAAAAAACTTTGTCCACAATTTCGAAGGACTACCATCCCTACTTTTCATTTCAAAGGCTGACTCTCAATAACCCATTCTGTTTAAATGACCAGATCCCCTCAACCGTCATCCCATCTTGATAAGAGAGGTTTATTTTAATTGGTATCTAATGAGGAATTGCTATTATTCTTAGACGTAGCTTGGGATGAATTAAGTCAGCTTCAAGTCAAGTTCAGAAATGATAATGTCTTCCTTCCTCTCAGCTTATTTTTTTCTTTATCATAGAATCACAAATGACAAGTTTGAACTATGAGTCTGCATGTTTAGAAGAAGCAAAAAATCTGATTTCCATAACCAGTCTCCATCTCCAAGGGAAAAAGCTGGCAGAATGGCTAAGCAGAAAGGGTGGATGAATTTGATTCCAGAGTCCTGGGTTAGATTTAGCCCAGACCACCCATCCAAATGAAGCCAGAATTGTATGAGATTCAACACCAGGCCACTGACACTTAAACATTTTAATTTGCTCAATCTCCAGGATGGCAAATCTGCATGTAAACCCTGCTATATGCTCAACTTGTTTAGGTCTGAATGATAAAGTCAAGACAGCAGCATTTAATCAGAAGGCAGGGAACAATGTGTGGGAGATTAATGAAGCACTCAGCACTTCCAAGAAATTCTGAGTGACTATTCCAGCAAGGGTGAAGCACAGTATTTTAGGGTTCAAGAATACCTTTGAGATAACTCATGCCAAGCTTCTCTTCATGTGCTTATTGTCTATCTCAATATCTTATTTGATAAAAATATCTGTTCAAATCTTTGTCCATTTTTCTTTCAGTTGGATAGCTTCTTTTCTTGTTCTCCTGTTGTAAGAGGTCTTCACACATTTGAGATGCAAGTTCTCTGTCAGACACATGGATTGTGAATATGTTCTGTCGCTTGCCATTCTGCCTTCTTTATGTTGTTTTTCAAAGAGCAAAATTTTAAAATTTTGATAAGGTTCAATTTATCAGTTTTGAAAAAAAAAACCTTTTGAGAAATGTACAGTTTAAAGAAACAGTCTCTTCACCAATCCATTGATAGCCTAACACAGTCCTTGAGGAAATAGGAAGTCATTGTGAAGAACAGGATAACGTGAGAATAATCTAAAATTTGCTGAATATTCATGTAACAAGATATATAAAAAATAACTTTAAATAAATTGGAATAGATTTTCTTGAGAGCTGCTGTCAGTTCAAACATTTGATTGAGCATATATATGTGAGAAGGGAAAACATGTATACATGCACATATATAGTATATAATATGTTTATATACACACATATAATACATAAGCATATGCATATTTTGGTATAAATATATATTGGTTTTTATCTGTTTATTTTTAGTGTGGACCCATGCATTCTTTTTTTTTTTTTTTTTTTTTTTTTTTTTCAAATGGAATCTTGCTCTGTTGCCCAGGCTGGAGTGCAGTGGCAGGATCTCGGCTCACTGCAACCTCCACTTCCCGGGTTTAAGTGATTCTCCTGCCTCAGCCTCTGGAGTAACAGGGACTACAGATGCCTGCCACCACACCCAGGTAATTTTTATATTTTTAGTAAAGATGGGGTTTCACCATGTTGGCCAGACTTGTCTCAAACTCCTGACTCAGGTGATCCGCCTGCCTTAGCTTCCCAAAGTGCTGGGATTACAGGCGTGAGCCACCGCGCCTGGCCTGCATTCTTATTTTGAATTGTTTATAGTTATTTTGATGCCAGAATTGTCTCAGATCTGGCCATCAGGAGGCCCATGCAGCTGCCCGCTGTGTCCTCATGAAATACCCCTTTATTTATTTACTTTTTGAGCACTTCTTTTCTTTCTGGCACAAAATATTCCAGTCTCATCTTGTACTTCCTTGGCGCTGCTCTCAAATTGAGCATTTATTTCTCCTTGGACCCCTAGTTCCTTTTAGTTTCCCTAGACTCTTAATCTCCAAATGCTAATAATGGTTACTTCTGAATAGTGGACTTTGGAATAATAATAATGTACTTTTTTTGCTTTTCTGTTTGCTTGACTTTTGTTTATAATGAGCACATATCTTCCCCTTGCCCCACCCCCAAAGCCACAAAGATACTAGTAAAAAACAAAACAAAACAAAACTGCAACTACTATCCACCAGATTGCTACCAAGGTGTAATTTCCACATGGTGCCCTTCTTCTTACATTTTTGGTTCTTCTTTTAGTCCTCCTTCTCTATTGACTGCACTTTTAAGGACAGGAGAAACAGGCTTTTGGGCTCACATCAGATCTTTAGTCTAAGGAACTCCATGCAGGAACTTTGAAGGTGGGTTGGGAGTTGACACACTGCAAACATGAAAACATCAGGTCTAAAAGTTAAATAAAAAGGAGGTTTTATTTCTCCCCCCTCAGGGCTGAAATGGGACATGGAAGGCCTTCTTGAGGTAGGCTATACACTGAGGTGACCTTTCAGTAGGTGGCAGAAGGAAAGAGCAGCTGCTTGGTGTTGGAGAGCTTTGGATCACTGTCCACTAAAGTTCTCCACAGAACCCCATTATGGCCCCTTTTGGTTGAAGTGTGGGGCAGATGCTAAGAGCAGTCTGTTTTATTCTGTGGCTGATGGGCAGGGGAGGCTTGAGACAATGCACAGAAAATTTAACCTAGAAAAGGCCAGAGGCATCCCGGTGTGGTTATCTGAAGTTCAGAGATTTTATTAAAATCATTTAATCTAACTTTTCCATTTTAAACAGATAAGGAAACTGAGGTCTAGAAAGAGAAAGTGGTTTGCTCAATGTCCCAGAGCTATTTAAGGAACTCATTGTGATCAAACCATGGGTTGCTTGATTCTTGTGCAATGCTCATTCAGTTAACTGTCCTGTCTTGTGTGTATGTGCATGTGTGCATGGTCAGAACCCACTTCTCTCAGCAGACATTAAAAATATGTATAATGGAAAATTTCAAACATATAAAATAATCAAAAGGCTATAGTGAACTTTCAGGTACTTATCACTCAGCTTCAGCAATTACCAACTCATGGAGAATTTTGTTTAATCTCTATCTTCATCCACTTCTCTGCACCTTTATTATTTTGAAGAAATCCCAGACACTATGTCATCTCTTCCTCAAATATTTCGGTATGTATCCTAAAAGATATGAGCTCTTAAAAATTCATCTCAATAATGTTATTCTTTACAAAATTAACATTAATTCTTTAATATCAGAGGATCTTAAAGTTACACGTTAACTCAGATGTGACAGGTGTCAGCTCCTGACATAGGCCAATTATAATACAGAAAGAAAAACACTGCACAGGAGAGTTGTGACACACTGCAGAGGAGCGTATAACTAGGACTGTGGATAAAATGCCTAGTTAAATTTGAATTTCAGATAAACAAAACATGCTTTTTTAGTATAAGTATGTTCAAAATATTGCTTGGGACATATTTATACTGTAAAAGGTATTTGCTGTTTATCTGAAGTTCAAATTTCACTGGGTGTTCCATATTTTTATTACGTAAATCAGGCAACTCTTAACACCACTGGGGGAAGGAGGGTCCAAAGACTTCCTGGAGAAGGATGCATGCCTGTTAAAAGATGGAGACATATACATGTGTGTATGGGGAACAATAGGTAGTAGAGGTGTGGAGTAACGGGATTCTTTATCTTTCCCCCATTTCCCTGTAACTCCTCTGGAAGCTTTTTTGGCTTTCAGTCATCTGAAAAACAAGAGATTTCGATAATAATAAATATAGCTACTACTGCTGGAATAATTGCTATATGCAAGATACCATTAGTTTACTACGGTCAGTGCTAATTCTCTCCATTCTCTCATCATTTTTCTGAGGTAGGCATTCCCCAGTTGATGCAATTTGCCGAAAGTCACCCAGATTGTGAAAGAGTCAGAATTAAGACCCAGGTGGATTTGACTTCAAAGCTGTATGCTTCGATGATGCTTTAGGTTGCTTCTGGGCCCTAAGGAAGCATTGGATATTTTGGGGAATTAACTTGGACGTTCTGAAGTAGGAATCAGGCTTTGTTCCTCCTAAACTTTTGGGTATGAACTCTATGATTCAGGTGCCACCATATTTCTCAGGCCCCAAAGTGATTCTGTGAAGATGCTTCTGTGCTCAGCCTGACATGAAGCCACATGGTATATCAGGGGCCAGGCCTGGCATAAGGAGGTGAGACGGGAAAATGCTTAGTCCTATTTCCTTGCTCTGATAGAGTTCAAGCAAAGGCAGAGTCAAGAATGGCATGTCAGGATAGGGAGTTTTATTCAGGAAAATGAAGAAGTAGAAAGAAAGGCTTGGGGGCTATTCACATGATGGATAAGAGCATGGACTTTGGAGTGAATATTCTGTGACTGCCACTTCTAGCTGTGTGACTTTGGATGAGTTGCCTGAAATCTCTGAGCCTCTGCTTCCTGATGAGAAGCATGGTCTAACACAGCTACTTGAGGTGGTGGTTCTGATGATGTAATGAGAAAATGTTTGTAAAGCCCTTAAAGGTGCAATCCTCAATAAATGGTAAATGTCATCATTACCATTATCATTACCACAACTACCACCTAGTGGTGGTGGTCATCATAATCAACATCATCTTCCTTATTACCTTATTAAGAAACTAGGAATACTGAACTACCTTGTCTTGGAACCCTGACTCTTGTATTGCTTGCTTTCCATATTTGTTAAACACTTACAAACTTGCACCAGGCCCCAGGTAAAGAGGAAAAGTGAAAACTCTGAGTCTAGTGGGGGAGTCTGATTCCCATCCCCCGCAAAAAATAAATGGCACTGTACAAAGTGATTGATAGCACTGTAGGGATGGACTCAGGGAAAAGGGAGCCTAGATGAGCAGTATTGCAAGTGATAAAAACTAGCTTCAACTAGCTCAAGCCAAAAAAGATGACAAACTGGCTTACATAATTGAGAGGTAGAGGGAGAATCTAGCTTCATGAATTGCTGCACTCCAACAAGACTGGAGCCAGGTGCTTGTACAGCGTCAACATGAACCCCTCTTTCTGCCTCTCTCACCTCCGGTTTCTTCTGTGTTGCTTTCATACTAGGTCCAGGGTGCTTCATCATACCTTGCTGGTTCTCTCAAACCCTGTCAGCACTTTGTAGATGGTTCTCTTGTTATGTCTCCTCAATTAGCATGTTTGAATGTGTTACTTGTATCTTGTAGGTCCCTTGATTGGTAAAGGAGCATATAGGGTTAAGGGTAATGTGCAGTAGAATTGGTTCCAAAAACTCAGGTATTTCTTTGAGCAGAGCCCTGCCTTATCCTCCCTCAAAATGCTGAAAGGCACTGTCAAGTAACATTTATGTGTATCTTGCAGCATTTTGGCCAAATGTCAGTAAGAGAAATGAATTGCAGGCTATTTGTCACCAGCAGGCTATCCAATCAAGCCCCTTCATGATTTGTAATACAAAGCAGACTTCAACAGGAAACATTTATTTTAGCTTCATCATTCCCTCCTCCTAATTTTACTTTGCAAAATGCTTCTCATAATTTCTTTTTTCAACTATATCCTCCTGTCTGCATCCTCTTTTGTGCCAAGAGCACAAACAGCTCAGAGATTACAACTTTGTTGGAAGAAATATGACTCTATTAATTACCCCCTGAAATGGGACTTCTAAAACTTAGCCATAGAACTACATAAGAATCTGAGAGGCTGGGTGTAGTGGCTCACACCTGTAATCCCAGCACTTTGTGAGGCCAAGGCAGGTTGATCACCTGAGGTAAAGAGTTCAAGATCAGCCTGGCCAATGTGGTGAAACCCCATCTCCACTAAAGATACAAAAATTAAGCTGGGTGTGGTGGTGTGCACCTCTAGTCCCCACTACTTGGGAGGTTGAGGCAGGAGAATTGCTTGGACCCGAGAGGTGTAGGTTGCAATGAGCCAAGATGGTGCCACTGCACTCCAGCCTGGGCGACAAAGTGAGAATCCATCTCAAAACAAACAAACAAACAAACAAAACCCGGAGAAGTATCACAGAGGATGAACAAATGATTCTACCCAAATATGTACTAGAAAGTCAAGGTCAAGCCACCTAATAGTAACATTCAGAGGCCACTGATTTTATTCATTCATCTTTCCTTTTGTCCATCTAGCCATTATATGTTCATGTTCCTCCACCACTAATCATCTACAAGGTCATTGGCCTAATGCAATGAGAAGCCAAAGACAAGATTGCCTGTTGATGCAGTCCATGCAGGTCAGCCTTTCTGGAAACAAGGCAGGGTAGAAAAGAGTAAAGAGATCTGTAGAAATAAACAGAATAAATACAACATCTCCTCCTACTTCCACAATTCCTTATTCATTATACGAATACATTCGTTAGTCGAGACCTACCATAAACACCCACCCACCCAAGATTCCTCTCACCTGTGCCACTCCCTACCTTCACCTGGAATAAGCTTTCCTCATCTCTGAATAGGCCTGATACTTTCTCAGGATCTCCACCAACTCTCATTTTGTACCTTAGTCCTTATCATAGTCAATTTGGGCTACTATAACAGCCCACCATAGATGAATGGCTCAAACAGCATCTCACAGTTTTGGAGGCTGGGAAGTCCAAGACCAAGGTGCCCTTCAGATCCAGTGTCTACTAAGGGTAGACTCTTCCAGCTTTGCAGATGGCCAACTTCTCCTTGAATCTTCACAGGGCTGAGAGAGAAATCATCTCTTCTTATAAAGGCAATAATTCCATTCATGAGGTCTCCACTCTTATGACCTAGTCACCTCCCAAAAGCCCCATTTTGGGAGTTAGGATTTCTTTCTTTCTTTTTGAGATGGAGTCTCGCTCTGTCACCCAGGCTGGAATGCAGTGGCTTGATCTTGGCTCACTGCAACCTCCATCTCCCAGGTTCAAGCGATTCTCCTGCCTCAGCCTCCCGAGTAGCTGGGACTACAGGCATGTGCCACCATGCCGGGCTAATTTTTTGTATTTTTAGTAGAGACGGGGTTTCACCATGCCAGCCAGGATGGTCTCCATCTCCTGACCTCGTGATCCACCCGCCTCGGCCTCCCAAAGTGCTGGGATTACAGGCGTGAGCCGCCGCACCTGGCCGGGATTTCAACATAAGAATATTTTTGGGTCACAGACATTTAGTCTATTAACAATCCCCTATAATTTATATGTGTGTTTTTTGATTGGGTTCCTCAAAAGCAGACTCTGAAATAAAAATTTGTGTGTGGAAATAATCTATTAGGAAGTGCTCCCAAGAAGAACTGATAGGGAAGTGGGGAAATAGGAAGGGAAGGGATCCAGGCTGGGGTGTGACTTAATCCTATGGAGAAGGTTTGGGACCAATGCACATCTGGCCTCAGGGCTGACCCAATCAGGGGCAAGGAGCAAACCAGATGGACTCGCACACAAATCATTCGTGAAGGACTTCTAGTTCTCTGAGTTCCCTGAAAAAGTGGCACCAGCAGCCTGTGGCCAGATGCCAACAGAGAGATGCAGGTGCTGGCTGTTGAATGTAGAAGCTCACTGGGATCTGATATGCATAAAAGTGGTGAAGCATTTGAAAAGGAAGATATGAAGCTCTGATAGTCTTATTACACATATTTTCTCTCCCTTCTTGGATAGTAGCTTCTCTAGAGTGAAGACTGAAATCTTCTTTGTAACCATGTATATCTTTGTAACACCAATGTCTAGCCAGGGTTAGCTTCTTGGGTATGTGGCCTATGCAATTGCACAGCAGTCAGAAGGGCCCCAGGCTTGGTATAGTACTCTGCTGTCATCATTTTGAAATTCCTGATACTGTAATTGCTGAAAAGAAGCCCTGAATTTTTGTTTTGCAAAATTCAGGGCCCAACAAATTATGTAGCCCGTCCTGTCTAGCACTGTGTCTGGCAAAAATTAGGCATCCAATATATTTTTATTGAATTAAGGAATGAATGCCCAGCATTCACTAGGTGGCTAAATGCATGTGTCAGGAGAAAGTGTTGTCCTTATGTCTTCAAGCTAGAAAATAAAGAAGCTGGAGTTGGGTCTTGTTCTCTGACCCCTTTCCCTCCTCCACCACCAGTCTTTATATCTCTTTAAGATCCTAGGGTGAGCAGAACTTTGTTTATTTTAAGCCACTATTTATTTTTCTCTTCCTGTGACACAGAAAATTCTTGGCATCAGGCAGCTTCAGGCAACACTATTTTTATTTCCCTAGCAGATTAATTAAATTTAGGCTCATTTGCTTTTCTTCAGCAAGATGGAATGAACAGGACTACAGCAGAGGACTGGCTGGGATGGGGTTCTGTAGTGGTTAGGTACATCGATTTGAAACACGATTTACTATGAATCCACATGAGAGAAGAGAGTTAAGGCTTTGCTAAGATCAGTCAATCTGACCTCCCTGCTGTGTAGGGCAACCACACACATGTCTTAGAATCCTAGAGCTGGATGGAGCTATAGGAATGGCCAGACCAGGGGTCAGCAAGCTACACCTGGTGGGTGAAATCTGGCTGGCCACCTAATTTTGTGAATAAAGCTTTATTGAAACACAACCATGGAAATTCATTTGCATATTGTCTCTGGCTGTTTTGGGGATGTCACAACAGGGTTGAGCAGTTGTGACAGACACCATATGTCATGTAAAGCCAAAAATATTTACTATCTTTACAGATAAAGTTTACCTTTACGGATAAAATTTATTGACTACTGATCTAGAAGGAGCCCTCAAAGTTTATTATGTGAAACATTATCAGCCTTCAGGATTTCCTAGTCAAAGAAGATTCTGTGGTCAAATATACTGGGAAAACGCAAACTTAATCCACCTCTCAGAGCTTCACAAACCACGTTACCTATTGGAGGAGTTGCTGTTCTTGCTTTACTAGTATTCTCTGCACTGTCTGCATAGTATAAGCTCATGTGACTTTTGCTCAAGGTTCTTGTTTTGTTATTTGTGTTCTTTCACTGGTGACTCAAGAAGTACATGTTGTGGCCTGCAGAGCAAGTTGGAAGTACCTGAGAGTCAACGCCTTTGAAAGCAGACTTCAACAAATGAGAGATGGTAGTTGGGAGAAAGTTTCCCAGCTTTCTTGCCTGTTGGTTGGGATAACTCTGAGGTGTGTTCTATATTGTCTCTCAGATATCACCAGTGGGATTGAGCTCCAGGTCCCCGTAGTGGTAAAACAGCTCATTAATGTACCCTGTATTGACTGGCTTCCCTTCTCCTAGTGAAGTTGCCTGAAATAACATCCCACATAAACGAATTATATTCGAATTCTTATTTTATAGCATGCTTCTGGGGGAACCCAAACTAAGATATCTACTAATAAAGGCTCAGAGAAGTCCTGCAATAAGCATACAGATGGTCCTCAACTTAACAATGGTTCAACTTATGAATTTTTTTTTTTTTTACTTACAATGGTGTGAAAGCAATATGCATTCATTAGAAACTGTACTTTGAATACCCATACAACCATTCTGTTTTCTTTCTTTCTTTCTTTTTGAGACAGAGTTTCACTCTTGTTACCCAGGCTGGAGTGTGGTGGTGCAATTTTGGCTCACTGCAACCTCTGCCTCCTGGGTTCAAGTGATTCTCCTGCCTCAGCCTCCCGAGTAGCTGACCATGTTGGTCAGGCTGGTCTCGAACTCCTGATCTCAGGTGATCCATCCACTTCAGCATCCCAAAGTGCTGGGATTACAAGTGTAAGCCACCACGCCCGGCTTCTGTTTTCATTTTCAGTATAGTATTCAATACATTCCATGAGATATTCAACACTTTATTATAAAATAGGCTTTGTGTTAGATAATTTTGCCCAACTGTGGGCTAATGTAAGTATCCTGAGCACATTTAAGGCAGGCAAGGCTAAGCTATGATGTTCGGTAGGTTAGGTGTATTTCATGCATTTTCAAATTATAATATTTTCAATTTACGATGGGTTTATTGGGATGTAACCTCATCATAAGTTGAGGAGAAGTTATATATATATATCTTTTTAATGTGGTTCTTGAGGCTTTTTCTGATTTGGCCTCTATCCATTTCCCAGCCTAATTTCTCACGTCTCTCCCACATCTTTGCCTCATGCTGCATTTGGGTCATATCATGCTTTTTTTTTCCAGTTTATTGAAACTGCTATGTTCTTAATGATGTTATTCTCTGTCCTTGCTGCCTTGCCAAGTTCTACCCATCTTTCAGGCCTTAGACAAAATATCATCTGTGAAGTTATTTTAAAAAACAACAAAAAAACTCAAAACCATGGTTGGGTGCTCCTATTAGACATTTCTGTACTTTCCCTGTCATTACACTTACTGAACTTCATAATTTCCACTTGAGCTACATAATTTCTAGTTTCTGCAAACTGGAAATTATGCAGGTCAGTAAGTGCCATGAGAATTCCACGTAGCTCCATGAGAACAAGAATCATATCTGTCTTGCTCCCACACTGTATCCCAGAACCCAGCAGAAGTGCTTCATACATATCTGTCAACCATGTGGATGGGAGATTGAATGCTTCAATAATCTTTGTATTGTAGTAGAGGTACCACATATTGCTCCTGGACTAGTTCCTTGGCCAAACATTAGCCTCATTTGAGCCCTCTACTCCAGTAGGCTTTGTCCTTAGACTGTCAAGACCTGTTTAGTGTGAATCTCTCACCCTTGATATCCAATAAAGTTCCTCATGTCCCTGATCCTTGATACCTAACCCGTCTCCTCTTCGCAATTTTTCATCTACTTCCTCACCCTGCCCATAGGCTATAAATCGTCACTTGCCCCTACTGTATTTAGAGTTGAGTTCCATGTCTCTCCCTTGTTGCAATGTTTTGGATAAAGTCTTCCTTGGTAGATTTCCCATTCTGTGAGAACTTCACTGACCCTTAAACAACCGGAGTGCTGCATTCTCTGTGTCTTTGAAGTAACACAAAGACACAGAGTGTTTTTGATCTTGAAGACTGCTTATTCGCTAGTTATGAGCTAAATTGGAATAAATGCAGTCTTAAATGGAGTCTGCATATTCCCTTCCACCAATTCTGAAAACTAGCACAGTCTTTGTGATCAGACCTAGTTTACTCATCTACCACTAGAGCACACCTGTGTTTTCTTTTTTTGGCATGTCATTGACCTGCGTATAAGCAAATATGTTAATAGTCCCCTTTCTACCCCTTCTGTTTGAGAAGCACTCATTCATCCATTCATTTCTTTCTTTCCCTTTCTTTCTTTTCCTTCTTTCTTTTCAAGTCTTGCTCTGTCGCCCAGGCTGAAGTTCAGTGGCGCAGTCTCGGCTCACTGCAACCTCCACCTCCTGGGTTCAAGGGATTCTCCTGCCTTAGCCTCCTCAGTAGCTGGGACTACAGGCACGCCCCACCACGCCCAACTAATTTTTGTATTTTTAGTAGAGACGGAGTTTCACTATGTTGGCCAGGATGGTCTCGATCTCTCGACCTTGTGATTCGCCTGCCTCGGTCTCCCAAAGTCATTTTTCTTTTCAATATTCACTAAGCATTTGCTATATAAGGGCACTGTTCTAGGTGCTGAAGCTACTATACAAGACAGGCAGGGCTCTTGCTTTTAAAGACCTTACAGATTAATAGATGGCCACATGAATTGTTTGACCTTATCTTCATGTTCTTAATCTGAAAAGCACTGAGAATTTGTCAGCTTCTCCTGCCCCTCTTCTTATTCTCCCTTCTAGGACATCTGCTTATTGACATTTAGCCCTCTGTGTGCTCGGCTTATGCCACAGACTGTCATGGCCAAGGTTGTGAAAAGGGGTAGAAAAGACAGATTCTTAGGTGATTAGAATTTGTCCATATGCGTATTAGCACCTTGTTATAATTTTCTTTTTGAAAATATTTCTTTGCATAAAAGATTATCAGAATGGGAAGGGATTTTAGGGAACATCTGGTCACAGAGTCCCTTTTCACTAAGTAAGGAAGAATCTGAGAGCTAGAGAGGAGGTAGCAGGTACAGAGCTGGAAGTAAAAGTCATTCTAACCTTTGCATCAGTGTTTCTACCATGCCACCTGCCACGTGCTAAGATCAGGAAGATGCTTTCACCTTCCCAGGGGCTCTACTGCCTTCCTTTCCCTTCTTCCATGGTCTTCTTCCCAACATTTGTACCTTCTTTAAGGAAAACCATGGGCTACAGGCCACACAGATTTAAAAACTCCATTGCCTTCTCCCAGAGGAATAATTTTCTGGAAAACTAAACTAAATGACACAGAGAGGGAGGGAAATTGTTATATTGTTAGAGCATTATAAAAACCCACAAAACTCTTCTTGATTCCTTTGAGCTCTGGGCATGTGAAATGCTGCTCCTTCCTCTTCCTCTTCCTTATTTTACAGAATAAATTTGTTGTAATTCAGTATAAACTGTAAATAATGGAGAAACCCTCCTTTGGCGGTTTTATATCCACTCCTGGTATCATAAAGAAGCTAGACTGTAGCATGAAATAAGCCTGGGTTGCAATCCTGGATTTGATCTGCCGCTTAATGCTATGAGATCCTGGGTAGGACGTTCAACCTTCCCTAAATTTCACTCTCTTTTGTAAAATAGAGAAATACCAATCCCTAAAGCTGTGTAGGGAATTAATAAAAGACTATACAGCAGTACTTGAGTGTAGTAGATGTTCTATAAAGGGCAGTTATTAATAAAGAAAATGATAGTAACAATTTGTCTAGAATAAGACAAGTTAGAATAGACATCAGGCGTGTGCATAGGTACACTTTGAGCTCCTCAAATGTGTATATGCCTCTTGAAGTCCCACAACAACTTCTGTAAGAAAACAGACCCCTTTCTGATCTCAAATTTTTATTTGAAAAACAAAACAAAACAAAACAAAACAAAACAAAACACAAGGCTCATTTAGAAAAGTTGGAGGACTTTTACAGAGCTACCCAGCTTGTGGTGGTATATCTAGGACTAGAGTTCAGGTCCTCTCTCTGGCCCACTTCTACAAATCAACAATTTCTCTAGGGACATAGATCTCCTAGCTACACACTCTGAACACTCACCCAAAGTGGAAGAAATAAAGACCACAAATAGCCTCTAGTTAGTTACAGTTTGTAATTTGTTACCAAATAATTATGAAAAAATTTAGATGGTCACTGTTCTTTAGATTTAGAGTTGTGAATAAGGTACTGAGAACTTGTAACAGGAACGTGTGGTATTCCTCAAGTGTGTGGGAGTATAAAACATGCTAAAATTTCCATTTTATACCATGCCACCTCCTGCATTTGATTTAAAAATTGTATCTCCTAAAAGATCAAAGTGAAATCGGAATCCATGTGGCCTAGACTGAAGTTAGAGAAGAGGAGACTAGTATAACAAATCTCTCAGGCTTGAATTCTTTGGGTCACTCTCCCCCCTTGTTAATGGGCTGGCCCAACCTTTTCATATTGAGCAGAATGGTCTCCCCAAGAGCTCTCCTTAGCTCTACCCATGAAGAAGATCAGCTGATGAACAGTACTGCCATTGGTTTTCTTCCAACCCTCTCCCCCTTTCTTATAAAGGACTATTTAAAGCGCAAATCCTGATCTCAGAGTTGGATCCATTTTTAGATGCTAAAATAAAGAAAATTAGGGGTTCTTGGATAGGGTATGTTTCTATCATGTTCACCAAATTGCAAGCTTGCCACAGCTCTTGTACAGGAATATCTTGGCTATATTTAATCACAGGAAAACTTCCCAGGGAGAGTCAGGTTAGCTTCTTTTGTACAATGACAATACACTAAAGGTTTCACTTGGAGTAACAAACAAAATTATTCCTTCAAGGCACTTTCACTAAGCCCATATCTGAGATGCAAATAACATTGCCTTTCTAGTCCAAGTCACAGATTTTGTACTAGAGATTCTTATAATTTCCTCTATCAATCACTTCCTCCCCAGTTCCTCTCTTCCTTCTTTGAGAACCCATCCACAGACTCCGCAAAAAGTCGGTTCCCACAGTCCCTGCTAAGTGAGCATGTCAGCCTCCACCTTGACCTCAGACAATTAGATTAGAAGTCATTACTCAAACTCAGCCAATCAGTGTCTCTCTCCTGGGATAAGAATTGGGCCTTCTGAGATGCTACTGAGTGTCTGTTGAGCATTTAAAGGGAAAAGTCAAGTCAGCAATGGGGACATTGTGTTTGGCTCTTGTGCCAAGAATCCAGAAATACTTGGTTTAGGAAATAGAGATAGAGAGATAGAGAGAAAGAGAATACAAAATAATGACCACATGCAGAGAGAAGCAGAGATCAGAAACCAATTCATTTGAGAGAAACTGAGAGTGAAGCCTCAATTTTGCTTTCTATTGTTGTTTTCAGGATTGTGTGGACATTCACTGCATTCTCTATCCTTTCATTCCATTATATGCTCTGTACCTTGATAAATACAACCCTCCCATTTTTCCTTTGTGTGTGTGTGTATATGTATTTATGTGTAATTGGAACGGATTTTTTTCTTTTCAACCAAGGTATCTTAAGACAGATTTGCATCACAATCTCACTTGTGACGATCAGTAACATTTTCAAGATGGCAGCTTTGTTTTTAGAGTAGAGCTCATGGTCCTGGGACTAGAACCAAGAAGTAGATCTCCTATGTTTTAGTGTCTTAGCATCACACTCATTGATTTGTCTGTCGCTGATGCTTCAACACATACATGTGCTTTTGCTCTGTTTGCATTCTTTGCATCAGGCTAAAATAGATTCTATAATTGATATCTCTCCCAGAGGAGTGTGACTTTCCATCTGGGATGGATTTTCAAAAATTCTTACTGGGAGCCCATAGAGTTGGAAGGACTCCAAGATTCTTCATCACACCATTGGTCAGGCTCTCTAGTTTCCTTCTCTGAAAGGTGTGAATATGACCTTTCCATTGGCCACCAAGGTTGCCATATTCAGCTACTTGCAACTGAGACACAAAGGGCTTTGAGGGAGAACAGCCCACAGAATTCTATTTGAGGAATGCCAAATGGTTCTCTAGGTCCCAGCTGGTACTGCTATCTCTTGCACAGTGCCTGAAATGTGCACAGCTATTTTTGGTGAGTTATAATATTATTGCTCACAAAGAAGTCTAATATTAAAGCAAAATTAACAATGCCCTTGGGGAAGGCAGAAAACTCTCGAATCTGCTTAGTTGTGTGATTCATGAAAATCACAACCTTTGTGCTTCAGTTTCCTCATCTATGAGATGGTAATAATAATAATATCTATCTCACACGGTTGTTATCGTATTAAATGAGTTACTATTTGGAACTCCCTAGAACAGTGCCTGGCTCATAGTATGAGCCCTGTGTTTGTCAAAAAACAAAACAAAACACAACAAAAAAAAACTTTTCTATCACTCAACTTGAAACAGCTCAAAGCAAGAAGCCTTTGAAAATGGGACATATAACAAATTTTCTTTAATTCCTTTTTCTTCTTTTGTCAGATAAGTGAGTTTGAATGTTTTTGTTAAACACTCCTGCCTCCTGTTAAAATGGTGAGAGGATAAACTCTGGGCCTTTCCTTTACATTATCTGTAATCTCTTCGATTTAGGATGTCTGAGCTTTGGAAGTGGGGAGGGCCAGGGAGTTGGGTTCTGGTGGATCTGGAAAACGACAGGATGAAGCAACACTTCACCAGAGCAAGGCTGAAGGTTTCTCTCTGGAAAGGATTTTTTTGTTTGTTTGTTTGTTTGTTTGAGATGGAGTTTCACTCTTGTTGCCCCGGCTGGAGTGCAATGGTGCGATCTTGGCTTACTGCAACCTCTGCCTCCTGGGTTCAAGTGATTCTCCTTCCTCAGCCTCCTGAGTAGCTAGGATTACAGGCATGTGCCACCACACCTGGCTAATTTTGTATTTTTAGTAGAGATGGGGTTTCTCCATGTTGGTCACACTGGTCTCAAACTCCTGACCTCAGGTGATCTGCTCGCCTTGGCCTCCCAAAGTGCTGGGATTACAGGCGTGAGCCACTGTGCCTGGCAGATTTTCTTAACATAGGTTATGAGGCATACAATGTTGGGCTGGGAAGAAAATGAGAGGTGAGGGATAACTTGGGAAGTTATAATAATTTTACAGTGAATAACCGTCTTTTTTTCTGGTAAAATATTTATTTCTTTCTTCAGCAAGATGTCTGTATCAGTTTGTCTGGGCTTCTGCTCTAAACTGGCCTCCCTCAGGACCCAGGCTAAAGGAGCAGCCTCCATGGGGCATGTTGCCAGTTATCACAGCCCAGGGAAGCAGGGCAGTGAATTGACCCAGGCTCTCAAAGCCTCCACCTGGAAGTGGCATATTTCACTTCAGCTCAGATGTCACTGGTCAAAGGATGGGCACACTCAACTGTAAGGAAACAGAGAAGTAAAGTCCTACCATGCATTTGACAGGATTATAGAATAGCTCCAATAGACCACATTTACATACATGTTTTGCCAGCCATAAACTCCTGGAAGGTAAAGACTGTGACTCGTTCCTCTTTGCCTCTCTCTTGGCAACAGCCTGCGGTAGAAGTGCAATACATGTTAGGTGACTGCCTGCCTGATTGTGGAACTTAGCAAGTGACTGGAACAAAATGGGAATCAAAGCCGGAAAACTATGTCTCCTGTTTCTCCTCCCCTTTTGGCACCTCTTTGCTTCTGCCAGGATTCTGACTCTGAAATTGATTGCCTCAATGATCCTGGACCATCATTTAGCTACTGTAATCCTCAGTTCCTGCAGTTGGAAAGGGGGAACATTATTACTCCCATGTAAAGATAGAGTAAGATGGCATCTCTGAAAGCCAGGGTTGATGAAGGCTTGTGCCTCTGGCTGTTGCCCAGTGCCCGCTCTGGGGACCTTGAGTGCCCATTGCCATATGCTGAGCTACCCTACTGGGGCCTGCTGTCCTCAAGTGAGGTCCTACATGAATAAAAATCTTTGTGAGAGTCTACCTTAAAGGTTCAGGCGTTGACTATATGTGTGTATGTAATTTATATTCAGGAATACAGGAGGTGGTCATGGGAGTCGGTGTGGGTCTCTGGGATATGACTACTTTTACATCATAATCCCAAGGAATTGTTGGTTAAATTGTGTTCAGAGATTACAAGAATACTGGGTTTTATTTTTTTGTTAAGTCAGATTTATTTAGGTATAATTGACATACAGTACAATTCACTCTTTTCAGTGTGCAGTTCTATGAGTTTGACAAATGCATGCAATCTTGTAGCCACCACCTCACAATCAAAATGGAGACCATTTCCAGCCCCCTTAAAAGTCCCCTTGGCCAGACTTGGTGGCTCAAGCCTGTAATCCCAGCACTTTGGGAGGCTGTGGGCGGATCACCTGAGGTCAGGAGTTCGAGACCAGCCTGGCCGACATGGCGAAACCCCGTCTCCACTAAAAATACAAAAAAAATTAGCCTGGCATCGTGGCACACGCCTGTAATCCCAGCTACTCAGGAGGCTGAGGCAGGAGAATCACTTGAACCTGGGAGATCGAGGTTGCAGTAAGCTGAGATCGTGCCATTGCACTCCAGCCTGGGCAACAAGAGCAAAACTCTGTCTCAAAATAAAATAAAATAAAATAAAATAAAATAAAATAAAAAACTCCCCTTGTGCCATTTGTGGACAGCCCCATTTCCCACCCATATCCCTGGCATCCATGGACCAATTTTTTTTTTTTTGCTTTTTATAGAATGTCAGTAAAGCTTTTCTGACCTTTGAACTCCGATCAGGTGATAATCTCTTTTAGCATCCTATAGCCCTTATTTCAATTCTAATTATACTGTGTATGCAATTATTTAAAAATTGTTCAATGTCTATCTCTTCTGCTAGACTTCTGCAAACATGTCTGAAGGAAGGAATTGCCTGGCCAATTCATTACTGTATCCTCAGCAGTTCCATCAAGTAGATGCTCAACAAATGTTTAGTGAATAAATGAGTGACTCAATGACTATAAGTAGAGTGCTCTAGGTCGCTACTGACTCAGCAAAAGCCATTTATTATTCAGTGGTATCAAATCTATCCTATTGTAAAGCACACAGAGACCTTATCATTCAAACATTCTTGAAGTGTATGGGTAAATATTTGGAGTTACATTGGATCTGAATACCAGCAATCAGAACCATCCTAGGCAATTTCAGATGCATGATAGATATATTCAATTAATCAAAAATAAGATGGAAACATTTTAATAACACTGTCTTTTGCCATTATTTTATACAGCATATTTAAAACTGTTCATTTCATAATTTTTACATTCCGTATATTTTGTAGCAGATCTGACATGACAGTGATGCTTAAGAGCAAGATCATGAAGTCTTCAAAATCTAGCTTATTTTCTGTGTGCTCATCAAGTTCAGAAAGGATCTCTCTGTATTTTGGCTTGGTTTCTTGTCCCTGTGAGAATGGAGAAATAAAAACCGAATTCGTTGTATAGACTTTAGGTTTACAGATCATAAACAATAATGTCTTAGTCTGTTTAGTGTTGCTGTAATAGAATACCTGAGACTGAGTGATTTATAAAGAAAAAAGAAAAATTTGGCTTACAATTCTGATGGCTGGAAAGTTCAAGATCAGGCATCTGCATGTGGTGAGGACCTCAGGCTGCTTCCACTCATGGTAGAAGGTGAAGGGGAGCTGGTGTATGAACAGATCACACAGCAAGAGAGGGGGCAAGAGGAGGAGGGAGGGTTCCAGGCTCTTTTAAACAACCAGCTCTTGTGGTAACTAACAGAGTGAGAACTCACTCACCACCCCCAAGGCAGGGCATTCATTTATTCAAGAAAGCTCTGTCCCCATGACTTCAAACACCTCCCATAAGGCCCCACCTCCAACATTGGAGATCAAATTTCAACATGGAGTTTGGAGGGGACAAACATCCAAATCATAGTAAATAATAAACATGTTATTAACAATAATAACACATCAAGTTGCCAACAATGCTACCAGTAAAACACCATGTGAAATCTTTTTATGTGTTATCTCCTCTAATCATCATAGTGACCTTATTGAATATATACCACTATTATCCTCATCCTACAGATGCAGTATCAGAGACAGGTGATAATTAAGAGACTTGCGCCAAGCTGGAAGATTTTGGTGTGGAGCCAGGGTTTGTAGCCCATCTACCTCTTGACAGCCCATACTCTTAACTGCTAAGCTATTCTGCCTTTTTTTGAACACACATATTATGTTTTTAAATTTTCAAAATACAATCTTTGTGTTAGGGAAGGTATCTTCTATGGGTTCGTTATCTAAGACTTAAGATTATCCAGAAATATAGAATATAATATGCTAAAAGAAAATACATGCTTTGAAAGATTATTTAGCTTTAGTTTGATTATAAATCAAACTATGTTCACAGTGTTCATAAATAGTCAGATTGAAGGAAAGCATCTTAATAGTATATAAATGGAGAGACTTTTTAATTTCAAATCACAGCTTGTGAAATATCTTCCCCAGTGACAATAAAAATGTTAAAGTCATTTGATTCACCATTATATTGAACCATATTTGCATTTAGTTTGTTCCCAAATGCTCACCCATGTGCTAGGTGTACAAAGCCATCACAGCAATGACTAAGGCACTTTGGGAATGATGCTACATTCCTCTTATAGGCTGTTTCTCCTCAAGAGGTCACCATCACCCTATCCATGAGGGCCAAGGGGAGCTCTCTACTCTCTCCCTCCAGGAGAGCTGAGTGTTATTTAGAAAGGGTCAGATTCCAAGACACAGGTAGACAGGACCACTTTACTAGCAGAATGGCACACTGTTTGCTCAGAGGTATGAGATAGGTATTGGTCTTCTTTTATTTCCTGCATATTTTAAGAGCACACCATTTTCTGAGGTCCAGTCCTCCTGGGGCATGACCTGTCACCTTTTTGTATCTTCCCAGTAGTGCCTTTAGGTGCTTTTTAAAATTCTATCTGACTGGCTATAAGGTGCTAAGATCCCCAAAACCATGTTTAGCCTTATGGGAAAGGCAATGTTCCCCTTAGAACTCAGGCCTTCGCCAAAAGAACCAGCTCAGTTTATCAGGGGACGCAACATGGGGATTGAGGAGAAAGCCCAGTTAGGAATGAAGTGGGCTCCTGAGCTTTGCCATTGACTCACGTGAATGCACCTGCCCTAGGGGGTCTCATGGGGCAGGGCGGTTGGGCCAAGGCAGCATTCTGACAGACATTGCAGAGAATGCCTTGGAATGAACTGTCCCCTCAAGTCCCTGAAATATGGCTCTGCTTTCATCTTGAGCAGAGGGCAAGATTACACTGAGGCCTGGGTGTGCCTGCTGCTAGAGAGATCCAGAAATTGGCTGTACTTCTAGGGTTTAGCCTACACTGAGAGACATGAGGCTGAAGGTGTCTTTCCTAAGGACCGGTTTTTAATTCTTTTCCCCTGGTGTTCTGAGAGGGATGATGAGTTACATCAAGATGGTGCATCCATTAGTTCTTCATTTTCATATGTGTTAAAAGCTTGCTGAGCATTTGCCAGGTTACCAGGTAATGAGCCCCCTTTCTGTCTGGCATATGGGCCCCATTTCTTTTGGCCTTGGATGTGGGCAAATGGTATAGGATTTATTTACCCATCCTTTCCTTAGACTCCCCAAAACTTGTTATCTCTTGATAAATTCTGCCTGATATTTCTGCCTGAAAAAGTAGCTTTCCAAAAAAAAAAAATCAGAAAAATACATGTTTAATATAGAACATTTAGAAAAAGTAAATTTAAAAAAAGGACTGTGACTGTAACCCTTTACCCCATTACTCAAAATAGCTAACCCTTATTAACATTTACTTCCGTTCATTTATCTGTGTATTACACTATATTCTCCCTTTCTCTTTTGAAATAATCACCCACTCACAGAAAGTTGTACCCTTGACTTAGCTCCCCCCAGTGGGTGACATCTTATATAACTGTAGTGCACTGAAACCATATATAGGTGTTTATGTATGTGTATGTGTGCATATATAGAGAGAATAATATCTTTTCAATATTTCAGAACAGATACAGGGACTTGGAGACTGCCTCTATGTGCTTTCTTGCTCTACCCATCAATAAATATTGATAGTTTAAGCTGATATGAGGCCCTCTTTTCCTCTTACACATTTTCCCTAGGCTGGTATTTTCCAAAGTATGAATATATACTGCCGATAGAATGTAATGCCATTTTAGGTGATGCAAGAATAAATATTAAACACTAAATAAGAATTGATAGTCGTCTATTTTTTCACTATTATTTTTTACTCTAATCCACTGAATTTACAATAAGAATAATGATACGGTGTCCTTATAAAAATTTACTTAAGTAGAGAGAAAACATAAAGGAAAAGTTCTAAGCAACACAGGCTATAGGCAGTTGTGGGAAAAATACTAAATATGGTATTCAATGACTGAAATTCGAGAAATATACCCTTAGGTGAGTAAGGTAGTAACCTTTAGGCCAGTGACTGATTATATACTGCTGACTCTCATTTCCATATTTTGAACACAGATCTCTATTCTCACCTTTGAACTCATCTGTCCTGTTGCTAAGTCTTCCTCTTAAATATTTCATGGACATCTAAACACTGACACAACCTAATGAAACTCGCCATCTCCTCCCTACCTCCATCCCACCTCAAACCTGCTTATTCTTTAGCCTTTTTCTTCTCTAGGAGTGGGAACACCACCATTCCTTTTGTAAGTCAGAAATTGGGTTGTCATCATTTTCTTTCCTATCCTTCAACTCTCACAGTCAATCAATTGTCAGATCTTGTTCATTCCACCTTCTAAACGTCTCTTCTATTTGTTTGTTTATCTCCATCTTCACCGCCGTAGTCTAAGCCATCACCATCTTTCTCTTGAATTGCCTCCCCACAGCTAGTTATTCCCTTTTTTCCTATTCCACCCCCAACCCTAGTCTGTTCTCTGTACTGCAGCTGGTGTAATTTCTTAGGCCTGGACGTAGACATAGTTCCTGGCTTCCTCTTGCTATCAGGCTATGCTTCTGTAAGATTTGGCTTCTCCTCGCCTCCCCAGCCTCATCTCTAACCACTTCCCAGCTACCGTCCCATCCCTTCTCACCAACTGGCCCTCCAGATCTCTGCTTGGAACGCCATCATTCTCACTCCCCCTTGCCTAGCTACCTCCTGCTTATTCTTCAGATCTCAGCTATACCTTAGTTTTCCAGGAGCCCATCTTTGATTACCTGCCCCAAGATAGTTCCTCTGTTTTACTCTCACTGAATGCTCTACTCTTTCACATCCTTTGACTATTTTTAATTACTTTTTTAGTGTATTTCTTTCTTCTGCTGGGGATTGCTGTCTTCACTGCATCAACTCCAGTGCAGCTCACTGCCTGGCATAAGGTAGGTGTTCAATAAACATTTGTTACGTGAGACAACATGACAGGGACCTGGAGCTGGAGTTATTTGCTCATTGGGTCAGCCATGAGGGTGTAGTTTCTGTTTCTTTATGCAAGTTAATTCTCTCACCTCTGCGAAATTCCTAAATTGGGTTTGCAGCAGATCTTTGGCAATAGCTTTTTCAAGTTTACCATCAGAGTCAGAAGAATTTCTGAAAATCAGAGCAGTGGTGGCAATAGCTTTTTCCAGATCTGAGCACTTCCTCAGAGCTAGGAGAGAAGAAATGTGGAATAAAGTATCCTGAGTTAGAAATAACCCTTCCCCAGACCTGCTGTTGTGTCTTCCAAGGGAACTGTAGGGAACCTTCTAAATCTTGGCCCTTTGCCTCCTATCTGGGAGAAGGATGTGGGAGTTTCCAATCCTGCATCTTTAAACAACCGAGAACAAAGGTCCCTTAATAGCAATTAGAATTAGTAGAGTTAGATATGAGATTTACCACTTGCTTGCCATGTGACCTTAGAAAAGTCTCTCACCTCTCTAAGCTTTGGTTTTCTGATCTGTAATTTCATTCAGTTATTCAACAAATATTGATAGAGCATGTACTATGGACGAGGCTCAGTCCTTGATATTAGGAATCACCGAATAAAATGAAGTCCTACTCTTGTGGAATTTATATTCTGTGTCAGACACAGCATCACTTCGTGTCAGTATGAGAAAGGAGAATGACTTTCAGGAAAAGCTCTTTGCTATAATGATGAATAAGGGTTCTCTTTGACTCGTGGCCTAAAACAGAGTGATCTCCCAGCTGGTTTCTCTCAGGTAAGCTTCTTGATAGGGCAATGCTAATTCGTTTCTTTCCACTGTGCTGCTGTGAACACAGGGAAATGTACAAGTTACCATGAAGAAAATTCGTATGCTTTGTGTTCTTTTAGTCACCAATACATCCCCTAGTGTAGAACTTATCACCCTTTACAGATATTACATGTTTACCTGTCCTTTCCTCAACTAGAAAGCAGTCTCCATGGGCCAGGGATCAGACCTTTTTTCTTAAAATCACTGTATTCCCAGTGACAGTACAAATGTCTGCTACATTGTAGGTGCTAATAAATGCTGTTAAATGAATGAATCTGAAGAAAATAAGAACAAAATGTCCCAGCTTTCAGTCCAGGTAATGTGCAACAATGACAGTTTCAAAGAATGATGTTCAGTCCGAATAACATGATTTTCATATTGAGTGCTTACTAAGTGCCTGTTACTTCCCAGAATACAGAGCGGACAAGACCAGATGTGGGGCCAGGCACTGGATCTCATGCCTGTAATCCCAGCACTTTGGAAGGCCGAGATGGGATGATTGCTAGAGGCCAGGAGTTTGAGACCAGCCTGGTCAACATAGCAAGACCCTTGTCCCTATTTTTTTTTTAATTAAAAAACCTCAGATGTGGTTTCTGCTCTCATAGATCTTACGATCTAGCAAAGAAATCAATAATAATCAAGAGTATGTATATGTATACACATGTATTTATTTTTTCTGTTATTGTATGTTATTTGTCCACTTATATATATTTTACATATATATATATATATATATATATTTACAACTTGTGATGTATGAGGCAAGGAAGGTACAGAGACAGGAAAAAAATTACAGAGTGGGTCTGGGAGGAAAACTACTTAGATGGGTGGTCTGGAAGGCCTCCGTGAGTAGATTAATATTTAAGCTAAGATTACTAGGATGAGGAGGAGCCAGCCACGAAAAGGGTGAGGTTCAGGGTGAGATTAGGAATTTGCTGAATGTTCCAGGCTTGGGAAGCTGGATACGTGAAGTCTCAGGTCAGAAGAAATCTGACATATTTGGCAGATTTCTGAAAGAAGACAGTTGTGAGTAGAGTCTAGGGGCTGGAAGGGTGTTTGTAGGCAAAAGCTAGATCATGCAGGACTTGTAGGCCGTGTAAAGGAATCAGGATTTTCTTCAAAGTGGAAAGAGAAGGCATCAAAGCATTTTGAGCAACTAATTTTTCAGTTAAAGGTGAGGAGGATGGACAAGAGTGAAGACAAGTGGGTGAAAGGAGGAAGTGTGTGGGCCTTCTCAGTTTTTATTGTATCTCTGAGCAGTGCCCAGGCTATATATTTGGTTAAATAAAGTTCACATTGCTAAGATGTCGCAAAGAAAGTATATGAAATCTTTGACTTCAAAGTCCATAGAAAGATTAGCCACTTAGGAGTATCTTCTTGCAAGGGCATCCCCATCGTGATTGTGGAATCCAGATATTTTTTGACCCTCTGATGAAGTTCAGGTCTGACTGCACTCTGAAATGGGAACTCCATCTGGTCTAGCCAACTTCCCATTCTTTTCCTGCATCTCTTTTAAAAAACAGCATGCCTTTCCCTTCACTATAAAATAGCATATGGCCATGGTAAAAACAGAGCTAGAAAATATTAAAAATAAAAGATAACGAGGAACTCTGGTTGTTCTAATAACACTGATGATATTCGGTGAGGCGTTTTAGTTTCCTGTTTTTATGGTTGGATTCTTCCCTTAATAAACCCAGCATGCTGCCTCTTAATTCCTTCACTGTCTGCCTCGCAGAGTTGGGAACTAGTATGTGAAAGCATATTGTAAAGGGCTAAGTGCAACTGAAAACACAAGGGACTGCTCTTTCTCTTTTGGCATCTTTTATTGGCTCTCTTGCCTCTGGAATGGGGGTGCAGGGAAAGACATTAAGCCAGGCCGATTTCTGCTGCCCTCTTTGTTATTCCCTAGCTCACTGTCAGTACTTTAATAATACTGAACTGTGTGTAGTCGCTGCATACTCTATCCATCCAACAAGTATTTATTGGCAAGTATTTATTACCAGGCCCTGTGATAGTTCTGGGGCGTAGGGCAGTGAGCAACATCAAAAGAACAAACTCTGACTTTTTGGAGCTTGTGTTCTGGTGGACAATAATATACGACACACATTCTACATGCCAATGACTCCTCCCTGGGATGAATGCACATGACTCAACTCACTACATTCTGATGTCAGTCCGATGAGGTATGTCTTAGTATCAACCCCCACTCTATCGATGAAGAAACGGAGACAGCAAGAGGCTAAGTATTATAGCTTGCCCACACAACTGCTCTGGTTTCACTCCAAGATGCACGCTGCCTCTAGGTGTTGTGTTTTCAGGCAGTGTATTTTGCAGGACTCTTTCCCAAACTCCCAGGTGGGGCTACATGTCCTTCCTTTGTGCTTCTGTAATTCTTAAACATAATCTTTTCATAATCTTCAAACTGAAACACTCTGTTTATATTATCTTCTACATCAGTGCTGTACCCCCACCAAAAATAATTTGAGCCACAATCATAATTTTAAAATTTCTGATAGATGGCCACTTTAAAGAAGTAAAAATAAACAGGTAAAAGTTAATTTTAATAATCTATTTTACTGAAGCCAATATATTAAAATATTATCATTTCAACATGTCATCAATATAAACAAATTATTGGGATATTTTACATTTTTTTTCCTACTAAGTCTCCTAAGTCTTAACACATCTCAATTCAAATTAACCAAATTTCAAGTGCTCAGTATCTACATGAAGCTGGTGGCTGCTATACTGTATAGCACATTGGACTATATATTCTTTGTGGACAGTTATTGCCTCTTGTTTATCTTTGCATTCATTCCCAGGCCCTGGCATGTTGTAGGCTTCACTATACATGTGTTAAACTGGGCTGTTTTGAACTTCAGAAAAATCCTCTGCCTCTTCCTCCTCACCTGCTCTGGAATGTGGAACACTAAATCTCCTAATTCGTTCACTGTCAGTTCACATTGAATGGTGTCATGGAAATACCAGTCTCAATACAGAAGAATGAAAGAATCTCCTCATTTTAGAACTTGTCCTAATATCAGTTATTTTTGTGAATGATGTGAAGACCTACAGGAGAGAAGTTGTTTGCTCAAGCTCACATAGGTAGTATATATCAGAACTAAAAACTAGGTCCCTGCTGTCTACTTTTTAGGCCAGTAATTTTCCCAGTGCTTCTCAAATTTTCCCACTGCAAAAATACCCTGGGTGTTAGAGGCAAATATATACTCACCCTGCATTCCTAATCCTCATGAGATTGGGGCATAGGCCCAAGTAGCCAGCAGAGAAAATGTGGGTTTGTATTGACTTCTATGTCACGACCTATCCATGTCTGATTTTGATGAATAACATTTAGAATTACTTCCCACTAAATAAAATACATTCTGGGGAGATGAATCATGTTTATCCTGTGTTTTTTTTAAGGCATAAGAATAAATGTGGTTCAGTGGTCCGATTTAAGGAGTCTGGTGCTAGGAATGTTGTGTACGTGGGCAGGGGTGGGTGTGTGGTGGAGGTGACCGAGTTACAATCTCAACCTCCCAGAAGGAGAAGTTATGTTAGACATGTGATGGGACAATTCTCAAAAGTGCCTGAAGTTGTGTAAATTATTGAAACATAAATCACCAGTCTGCTGTGTTGTAATAATATAAAAATAGTTCCATGAAGATGGAGATTTATTTAAATAAAATTACAGAGTCTCTTTTGGAGAGTTTGGCTAGTCATCTAGGAGGGAAAAACCTGCAATATAGTAATGTACAGCTGTGCTTGTTACTCTGTAAACAGGTGAAGCCTTATACTTTTGAATAAAAGAATGATCCAAGTATACAAGCGTTTTTTTCTTACATTGTTATTTCCATGGCAATGTTGTTAGTCCCAAACTTATTTTACCTATGCAATTGATTTCCAGGGGCAAATATTTACACTTCGAGAGGTGGCCACACTGTTTCCACTCAGTCAACAGAGGCAGTTGGGAGCTGATTGCATCCTGAGTTCCACTTAACATTCATGAGTCAGATACTCATGGTCCTGCTCTAGACATTCTAAGGATGCTGCCCTTGGAGACGCAACTGGATATGGTGGGAAGAACGCTGAATTAGGAGCCAGGGGATCCATGGTCTCATCTCAGCTCTGTCTTTAATGAACTGTGTAAGTTTAGGTAAGTTAATTCCTACTCCGGGACTTCAGTTCCCACATCTTTAAAAAGAACATCATGAATATTTGATGATTTATTCAAAAGTTCCCTTACATCTCTGGCATTCTTTGATGTCCTATTATTTTTTTTTAACACTTGGCATGCCATCTTGGTAGAGGAGAAAAATGTACATCTGCGTCATCTGTGCCTTACCTTTCACTGAAGCCAGTTGTTTGGATATTGAAATCCTGCCAACAAAATGAAAGAAACAGAATGATTCTGGGAGTTGGGGTATTGATATCAGCATCTATAGCAGAGCAATATAATGATTTAAAAATTGTTTATTTTGGTAAACATTCTCTGAGATTTTAGTGGAGCAGCCATCTGTGTTTCAAAATCCTTTTTCTCCCTGCCACATAGTAAAGAAATGCCTGCACATGGCTGGCCAGCTACCCACGTATATCAGTCTTCCTTGTAGTTTTGCAGCTATGTGACTAAGTTCCTCCAGACGGAAATGGAGCAGAAGAGAAGTGAATACCTTCCATGTAAGCTCCTCCATGCTTTTCCCCATTCAAGCTGACTAAGGTGGAAATTATCAGGAAGACTTTAGAAGCCACATGCTGATCATCCTGTGTCTCACGTGACTGCATGGAGTAAAACAGTCACAGACCTGGAACTCCCACTCTGGACTGTCACATGGCAAAGAAAAAAGGACTTCGCATTCTGTAAAATGCTCAGACTTTGAAGTTTTTTTGTTCCAGCAGCTTAGCCTTCCTAACTAAGAATCTGGGTATTATGCTGAGGTGTGGGATGCATGAGTGACTGATAGAGACATTCCTACCCTCTTGGGGCTAAGTCTAGAAAAGAAGACAGTTACTAGGCAGGTAACTCGATAAAAAGTAATGGCAGAGCACATAGAGAGGGCAAAGAGGTAATAACCTAGTCTACAGTGAGGGTAATGGCACTCTGCCTGAGCCTAATGAATCAGTAGTGAAGAAGGAGGAAGCGTGTTCCATGCAGAGGAAACTTATGTGTTGAGGCCTGATGTGGCAGAAATCACCATATGATTGAAGAACCAGAGGAGGTATAGTGTGGGTGGCACCTAGAGAAAGAAGGAGATAGTGGTTAAAGGCCAGGCAGGGCCAGGGCATATTGAGCCTTGGAGGCCTTATGGAGGATGCCAGTTATTATCCTAAGGGCAACAGGAATCACATGATCAGATTTGCATTTTAGGAAATTATTTCATGGTTATATCAGAAGTAGATAGAAAAGGGGCCAAATTGGAGGCAGGAAGTTGTATCTTGCTCTCTTATAAACAGCAAATCAAAGTTTGCTTGATTTTTCAACCCCCAATGGCTGGAGTGTTTTTTGAGAAAGCCAGTAAGGATAATAGAATTTGGTAGTACCTTGGATAACTCCTTAAAAGGAACTTTTGGGTTCAGGATCTGGTTTTGGCATTAACTACTTGAGGGAACTTTGTCTTTAGGGGTTCCTCATTTTTTTCACTTGTAACATTACAAAGCTGGACCCTGTGTTATCTCGAACCCTTCGTGGTCTTCTTGGTGAGTGCCTCCTGCTCTTCTACAACCTCTGCACCATTATTATTTCCTTTATAAGAAGAAGGACGTTTCACTTTGCACAATGTGCACTGGTAACATGGCATGTATTTCTTTCTATTGCCATGATTGAGAAGGGTCTCAAGGGTCTGTGAGACCCTTGAGAAGAAAGAATCATGCAGTTCATATCCATATCTCCTTCCCCTGCCCTCGCAGACTACCTAGAACTTGCTAGGTGTCCACAAAAGGTTTTTGAAACTAAAGCCAGTCTCCTAAATGAAATTATATGAGAAAGAACATTTTTCACTTATTAAACATAACTTTACACATTTGAATAATATAAAACAATTTCTCTCTGTTGTGCATAATTTGAGAGAATATGCTACACAGTTAAGTCATCACCAATTTTGATTTACAAATGTTTCTCAAGAGGCAATCAAAGATATTTGCATTAATTGCACCATCTTTTCACTTTGCAGTCAAGGCTGCAAGTTTGTTGTCTTTGTTTTTCCAAGTCAATTTAAAGCCGGATTAGGGTAGGTAATAGGCACCAAACTGGCAATAACTTGGCTTATAAAGCTGTTGACATAAACTCTTTGGAAATATATCTGCAAGCTTAAATGAAACTCAATAAAAGACAGCCAAGTGCCACTGACCTTTTGGGCATTTTCCTAGGTGCGCAGGTGGATGTTGGGGCTGCAGAAGGATTGGGATCTCCTTCCAAGTGGAGAGATTTGTCCTGGGTACTGTGCATACAGCCACCCATTCTCTCATCTTCTGTTTTGTGTCAGTCCTTCCTAAGCAACAGTCACTTGCCCACTGTTACTATTGTCATTCACTCCATGGCAACTATACAGTTGCATGTCTAGAAGAACTTTTCCACAGTGTCATTGTATTTAGACATAAAATCATTCAATAAATATTTTCATGCCTACTGTTAGCATGGCACTGTACAAGGTGCTGGGGAAACAACAGTGAGCAAAATCAGATGTAGACCCTGGTCTTAGGGAGTTTAGTGGGAATGACTGATATTAATCAAGTAATTGCACAAAAAGTCACACCTGTGAACAGTACTATGCAAGGCAGATGCCATGAGATTGACATCAGTCAGGGAGGTCAGCGAGGCATCCCTGGGGAAGTGATGCTTGATGATGAGTAGGTGTTAACTAGGTGAAAGGATAAGGGATCCATATTGTAGACAGAAGGAATAGCCTGCGCTGAGCCCTGGGGCAGGAGGGAATGTGGTGATCAAAAGGGACTGAAGGAAAGCCAGCGTGACTGAACCAAAGAGATCGGGGGCGTGTGTCTCAAGCTGAGGCTAAAGAGCAGACTCAGTGGCCAGGCCATGCAGGAACTTTTAGGTTACTGTAGGGATTTTTTACTGTATGTCAAAAGAATAGGAAGCCATTTGTGTATTTTAAGCAAGGAGGTTAATGAAGTTAAATTTACATTTTTGAGAGATCACCCCAACTTCAAAGTGAATAATGGTTTAGAGAGGTGGACAGAGTAAATATAGGAAGGCCGATAGGGAGGCTATTTCTCTTGTAGCTTAGAGCACTTTCTGTAAAAACGAGAGGTTGTATCAGCTCAGCGAAATGAGTCAGGTTCAGGAAAGACATGTCAAACAATTGCCTAAGTCACTGATGAGCTGATGCGTGAGAGGAGCTAGAATTCTCAAGAGAAGCTAAGGATAATCACTATTCAGGCTATGATAGGCTCCAGGGTCTCTGCCATCTTACTGCTGCTTCACTGGTCACTGCTCCACCATCAAATGACCATGTGTGTCACTCTCCCATTGCCTGCTTCTCTTTATGGGTTTTCTTTTTTTTGTTCCCTCTACCTCTTCATTAATTTCCTTAGCATTTTCAATTCAAATTTGGGATACAGGGGAAAGTTTGACTGGTCTTACTAATTACCATTGCCCATGCTGGTCAGAGTTTTAGTGCCAGTTCACCCCATAGGTAGTCAGTTACCCCATGCAATTAGCTCCTGTGGGTCACGTGATGACCCCGAGCCACTCTCACTGCTCAAGTGAGACCCTAGAGATGGCTTCCTCAGAAGGGGCAGTCTGGGCAAGTTTCCCAAAATCTGGATTTTCTTTTTTTTTTTAATTTATTTTATTTTATTATTATTATACTTTAAGTTTTAGGGTACATGTGCACAATGTGCAGGTTTGTTACACATGTATACATGTGCCATGTTGGTGTGCTGCACCCATTAACTTGTCATTTAGCATTAGGTATATCTCCTAATGCTATCCCTCCCCCCGCCCCCCACCCCACAACAGGCCCCGGTGTGTGATGTTCCCCTTCCTATGTCCATGTGTTCTCATTGTTCAATTCCCATCTATGACTGAGAACATGCGGTGTTTGGTTTTTTGTCCTTGAGATAGTTTGCTCAGAATGATGGTTTCCAGTTTCATCCATGTCCCTACAAAGGACATGAACTCATCATTTTTTATGGCTGCATGGTATTCCATGGTGTATATGTGCCACATTTTCTTAACCTAGTCTATCGTTGTTGGACATTTAGGTTGGTTCCAAGTATTTGCTATTGTGAATAGTGCCGCTATAAACATACGTGTGCATGTGTCTTTATAGCAGCATGATTTATAATCCTTTGGGTATATACCCAGTAATGGGATGGCTGGGTCAGATGGTATTTCTAGTTCTAGATCCCTGAGGAATCACCACACTGACTTCCACAATGGTTGAACGAATTTGCAGTCCCACCAACAGTGTAAAAGTGTTCCTATTTCTCCGCATCCTCTCCAGCACCTGTTGTTTCCTGACTTTTTAATAATCGCCATTCTAACTGGTGTGAGATGGTATCTCATTGTGATTTTGATTTGCATTTCTCTGATGGCCAGTGATGACGAGCATTTTTTCATGTGTTTTTTGGCTGCATAAATGTCTTCTTTTGAGAACTGTCTGTTCATATCCTTCACCCACTTTTTGATGGGGTTGTTTGTTTTTTTCTTGTAAATTTGTTTGAGTTCATTGTAGATTCTGGATATTAGCCCTTTGTCAGATGAATAGATTGCAAAAATTTTCTCCCATTCTGTAGGTTGCCTGTTCACTCTGATGGTAGTTTCTTTTGCTGTGCAGAAGCTCTTTAGTTTAATTAGATCCCATTTGTTGATTTTGTCTTTTGTTGCCATTGCTTTTGGTGTTTTAGTCATGAAGTCCTTGCCCATGCCTATGTCCTGAATGGTATTGCCTAGGTTTTCTTCTCGGGTTTTTATGGTTTTAGGTCTAACATTTAAGTCTTTAATCCATCTTGAATTAATTTTTGTATAAGGTGTAAGGAAGGGATCCAGTTTCAGCTTTCTACATATGGCTAGCCAGTTTTCCCAGCACCATTTATTAAATAGGGAATCCTTTCCCCATTGCTTGTTTTTGTCAAGTTTGTCAAAGATCAGATAGTTGTAGATATGTGGCATTATTTCTGAGGGCTCTGTTCTGTTCCATTGGTGTATATCTCTGTTTTGGTACCAGTACCATGCTGTTTTGGTTACTGTAGCCTTGTAGTATAGTTTGAAGTCAGGTAGCGTGATGCCTCCAGCTTCATTCTTTTGGCTTAGGATTGACTTGGCAATGCGGGCTCTTTTTTGGTTCCATATGAACTTTAAAGTAGTTTTTTCCAATTCTGTGAAGAAAGGCATTGGTAGCTTGATGGGGATGGCATTGAATCTATAAATAACCTTGGGCAGTATGGCCATTTTCACAATATTGATTCTTCCTACCCATGAGCATGGAATGTTCTTCCATTTGTTTGTATCCTCTTTTATTTCATTGAGCAGTGGTTTGTGGTTCTCCTTGAAGAGGTCCTTCACATCCCTTGTAAGTTGGATTCCTAGGTATTTTATTCTCTTTGAAGCAATTGTGAATGGGAGTTCACTCATGATTTGGCTCTCTGTTTGTCTGTTATTGGTGTATAAGAATGCTTGTGATTTTTGTACATTGATTTTGTATCCTGAGACTTTGCTGAAGTTGCTTATCAGCTTGAGGAGATTTTGGGCTGAGATGATGGGGTTTTCTAGATATACAATCATGTCATCTGCAAACAGGGACAACTGGACTTCCTCTTTTCCTAATTGAAAACCGTTTATTTCCTTCTCCTGCCTAATTGCCCTGGCCAGAACTTCCAACACTATGTTGAATAGGAGTGGTGAGAGGGGGCATCCCTGTCTTGTGCCCGTTTTCAAAGGGAATGCTTCCAGTTTTTGCCCATTCAGTATGATATTGGCTGTGGGTTTGTCATAGATAGCTCTTATTATTTTGAGACACGACCCATCAATACCTAATTTATAGAGAGTTTTTAGCATGAAGGGATGTTGAATTTTGTCAAAGGCCTTTTCTGCATCTATTGAGATAATCATGTGGTTTTTGTCTTTGGTTCTGTTTATATGCTGGATTACATTTATTGATTTGTGTATGTTGAACCAGCCTTGCATCCCAGGGATGAAGCCCACTTGATCATGGTCGATAAGCTTTTTGATGTGCTGCTGGATTCGGTTTGCCAGTATTTTATTAAGGATTTTTGCATCGATGTTCATCAAGGATATTGGTCTAAAATTCTCTTTTTTGGTTGTGTCTCTGCCAGGCTTTGGTATCAGGATGATGCTGGCCTCATAAAATGAGTTAGGGAGGATTCCCTCTTTTTCTATTGATTGGAATAGTTTCAGAAGGAATGGTACCAGCTCCTCTTTGTACCTCTGGTAGAATTCAGCTATGAATCCATCTGGTCCTGGACTTTTTTTGGTTGGTAAGGTATTGATTATTGCCTCAATTTCAGAGCCTGTTATTGGCCTATTCAGAGATTCAGCTTCTTCCTGGTTTAGTCTTGGGAGGATATATGTGTCGAGGAATTTATCCATCTCTTCTAGATTTTCTAGTTTATTTGCATAGAGGTGTTTATATTATTCTCTGATGGTAGTTTGTATTTCAGTGGGATCGGTGGTGATATCCCCTTTATCATTTTTTATTGCATCTATTTGATTCTTCTCTCTTATTAGTCTTGCTAGCGGTCTATTAATTTTGTTGATCTTTTCAAAAAACCAGCTCCTGGATTCATTGATTTTTGAAGGGTTTTTTGTCTCTATTTCCTTCAGTTCTGCTCTGATCTTAGTTATTTCTTGTCTTCTGCTAGCTTTTGAATGTGTTTGCTCTTGCTTGTCTAGTTCTTTTAATAGTGATGTTAGGGTGTCAATTTTAGATCTTTCCTGCTTTGTCTTGTGGGCATTTAGTGCTATAAATTTCCCTCTACACACTGCTTTGAATGTGTCCCAGAGATTCTGGTATGTTGTGTCTTTGTTCTCGTTGGTTTCAAAGAACATCTTTATTTCTGCCTTCATTTCATTATTTACCCAGTAGTCATTCAGGAACAGGTTGTTCAGTTTCCATGTAGTTGAGTGGTTTTGAGTGAGTTTCTTAATCCTGAGTTCTAGTTTGATTGCACTGTGGTCTGAGAGACAGTTTGTTATAATTTCTGTTTGTTTACATTTGCTGAGGAGTGCTTTACTTCCAACTATGTCGTCAATTTTGGAATAGGTGTGGTGTGGTGCTGAAAAGAATGTATATTCTGTTGATTTGGGGTGGAGAGTTCTGTAGATGTCTATTAGGTCCGCTTGGTGCAGAGCTGAGTTCAATTCCTGGATATGCTTGTTAACTTTCTGTCTCGTTGATCTGTCTAATGTTGACAGTGGGGTGTTAAAGTCTCCCATTATTATTGTGTGGGAGTCTAAGTCTCTTTGTAGGTCACTCAGGACTTGCTTTATGAATCTGGGTGCTCCTGTATTGGGTGCATATATATTTAGGATAGTTAGCTCTTCTTGTTGAATTGATCCCTTTACCATTATGTAATGGCCTTCTTTGTCTCTTTTGATCTTTGTCGGTTTAAAGTCTGTTTTATCAGAGACTGGGATTGCAACCCCTGCCTTTTTTTGTTTTCCATTTGCTTGGTAGATCTTCCTCCATCCCTTTATTTTGAGCCAATGTGTGTCCCTGCACGTGAGATGGGTTTCCTAAATACAGCACACTGATGGGTCTTGACTCTTTTATCCAATTTGCCAGTCTGTGTCTTTTAATTGGAGCACTTAGCCCATTTACATTTAAAGTTAATATTGTTATGTGTGAATTTGATCCTGTCATTATGATGTCAGCTGGTTATTTTGCTCGTTAGTTGATGAAGTTTCTTCCTAGCCTTGATGGTCTTTACAATTTGGCATGTTTTTGTAGTGGCTGGTACTGGTTGTTCCTTTCCATGTTTAGTGCTTCCTTCAGGAGTCTTTTAGGGCAGGCCTGGTGGTGACAAAATCTCTCAGCATTTGCTTGTCTGTAAAGGATTTTATTTCTCCTTCACTTATGAAGCTTAATTTGGCTGGATATGAAATTCTGGGTTGAAAATTCTTTCCTTTAAGAATGTTGAATATTGGTCCCCACTCTCTTCTGGCTTGTAGAGTTTCTTCCAAGAGATCAGCTGTTAGTCTGATGGGCTTCCCTTTGTGGGTAACCCGACCTTTCTCTCTGGCTGCCCTTAACATTTTTTCCTTCATTTCAACTTTGGTGAATCTGACAATTATGTGTCTTGGAATTGCTCTTCTCGAGGAGTATCTTTGTGGCATTTTCTGTATTTCCTGAATTTGAATGTTAGCCTGCCTTGCTAGATTGGGGAAATTCTCCTGGATAATATACTGAAGAGTGTTTTCCAACTTGGTTCTATTCTCCCCGTGACTTTCAGATACACCAATCTGACGTAGATTTGGTCTTTTCACATAGTCCCATATTTCTTGGAGGCTTTGTTTGTTTCTTTTTATTCTTTTTTCTCTAAACTTCTCTTCTCGCTTCATTTCATTCATTTCGTCTTCCATTGCTGATACCCTTTCTTCCAGTTGATCGCATTGGCTACTGAGGCTTATACATTCGTCACTTAGCTCTCGTGCCTTGGTTTTCAGCTCCATCAGGTCCTTTAAGGACTTCTCTGCATTGGTTATTCTAGTTATCCATTCGTCATTCTAGTTATCCATTCGTCTAATTTTTTTTCAAAGCTTTTAATTTCTTTGCCATTGGTTCGAATTTCCTCCTGTAGC